>NC_000006.12:167276317-167591393 GCF_000001405.40 Homo sapiens | reverse complement strand
GTGGTGGTGGTAGAGGTGGTGGTAGAGGTGGTGGTGGTAGTGAAGGTAGTGGTCATGATGGATGGTGGTGGAGGTAATGGTGATGGCAGTGGTGATGGAGGTAATGGTGGTGATAGTGATGATGACAGTGTGGTGGTGTTGGTGTTGGTAGAGGTGATGATGGTGATGGTGGTGATGGTGGTATTAATGATTGAGACTGTGATTGTGGTGGTGGTGGTGGAGGGTATAATGATAGTGGTAATGGCTGTGGAGGTGGTGGTGGTAGTGAGAATGATGGTGGTGGTGATGATTGAGGCAATGGTTGTGGTGGTGATGATATGTATGTGTTTGTTTTTTCCGTGCATAGGGTTCTGATGGTGGTGGTGTGGTGTTGTGTGTCTGTTTCTGTTCTGTATGTGGGGTGGTGGAAGTGGTGGTGGTGATGGTGCCATACGTGTGTATGTGTCTTCTTTTTGTGGGGAGGGGGAAGTGATATTGATAGTGGTGACAGTGGTGGTGGAGGTGGTGGTAGAGATAGTGTGTGTGTGTGTGTGTCCCGTGTAGTGCAGTGATGGTGTGGTGTGATTCTGTGTGTGTTTGCGTTCTGTATGTAGGAAAGTGTTGGTGGTGGAGGTGGTGGTGATAATGGTGAAAATGGTGGTGGTGGTGGAGATGGAGGTGATAATGGTGGTGGTGATGGTAATGGTGTGTGTGTGTTCTCTGCGTAGGGAGGTGATGGTGTGGTGTGCTGTGTGCATGTTTGTGTTTGTGTGTAGGGAGGAGGTGATGGACGTGGAGGTGATGGTTGTGTTGGTAATGGTGTGTGTATGTTCTCTGCATAGGGAGGTGATGATGTGGCATAGTGCTGTGAGCATGTTTGTGTTTGTGTGTAGGGAGGAGGTGGTGGTGGAGGTGGAGGTGTTAATGGTGGTGGAGGTGGTGATGGTAATGGTGTGTGTGTGTGTTCCCTGCATAGGAGGTGATGGTGGGGTGCTGTGAGCATGTTTGTGTTTGTATGTAGGCAGGAGGTGGCGGTGGAGGTGGAGGTGATGCTTGTGATGGTAATGGTGTGTGTGTGCGTTCTCCGCATAGGGAGGTGATGGTGTGTGGTGCTGTGTGCATGTTTGTGTTTGTATATAGGGAGGAGGTGGTGGTGGAGGTGGAGGTGATAATGGTGGTGGAGGTGGTGATGGTAATGCTGTGTGTGTGCCTTCTCTGCATAGGGAGGTGATGGTGTGGTGTGGTGCCGTGCGCACATTTGTGTCTGTATGTCTGTGTTCTGGCTTAAGAACCCAGAGGGTTAAGGTTGTGGTGGTGATGTGCCTCATACAAGGCTTCGAGACTGTTTGCAGCTTAGAAGTCTGGGAATTTCTGTCATGCCTCTGCAGAGCCTCCTGAGATGTGATGTGCCAGTTGGTAGTTTGTTTTCTGACACTGTCCTTGGCGTTGCTGTGCCTCAGTCTCCTGCAGACATCCTTTATAGCTCTATGGTTCAGAAATTGGCCAAACCCATCGGAGAGCATTTATATTTTTGCCTGGACTCCTTCAAGAGCAGTATTGAGTTCCATAAACTTCCGACCGCCTTTGTGAGAGTGGGCGTTTAAAACATTTGCTCTAAAGGCTCCCGTTTGTGGATTAAGGGCGTGGGCGCCGTCTGCTCAGCCCCCAGGGACCTGACACGTTTCAGGGCACGGGAGGTTCTGCTTCCTCCCAGAGGATTTGGGCAGGGCTGTGTTGGAGGGAAAGGCAGGGTCTGTGGGGGTGAAGATGTGAAGGAAACTTCCTTTAGGGGGATGTGTTTTACTCCCCACAGCCTGTGCTGGGCATGGGACCCAGAGAGTCCTTGCCTGCCAGTCCATCTGGGTGCTTCCCTCTCCTGCAGCCATGCTGCGGTGCTCCAGACCTGAGGGCTGGCCACTGGGTTGGAACATGTTGTTCCTAAAGGAGGCATGAGCCACCGCCTCGTGAAGCCCCTTCCCACCTGGGTCCGCAGGCTGCTGAAGCCGAGTCAGGTGGCATCACCACCGTGTCCTCGTGCCATGCAGGCAGGCTCACCTGTGGAGCTGCAGCCACTGGTGTGGGGTTGTCGGGTGTGGGCTGGGAGTGGGCGTAGGGTGAGGGGTAGCAGCACTCCTGTTTTGGGAGAGGGAGTGGAAGCTCAGGGTACAATCTCCTCTGCTCACGGCCCTGCGGTACCACCTGCCCTAAAACAGCTTTTGGTCGGTTTCTTGGACAGGAATTTAAGAGTGAGACTCCACTGCAGGAGGTACCTTGCTGGATGAAAGGTCTCAGCCAGAGGTTGGCGTGGGCTCCTCTGAAGGAGGAGGATGGAGCAGGGTCTCACATGGCATCCTCTGTGTGGGGCCTCGGGTGTGCCTATCCCACCGTTTTCATTGGTGACAAATGTGGAGCCTGAATGGAGGAGAGAGGACCCTGAGGAAGCCTCCACAGGCCAGCGGCACCACACAGCGGATCCTCGGTGGCTGCTGTCCACACCTCTCAGGTCACTCAGAAAGGAGAGCAGGGGCAGAATAGCCCCACACCCCTTGGGTAGGGGTCCTGATGGTGCCCTAGACGCTTGCCATGGCCTACCCAGGGACCGCAGGGCTTCTGAGCCTGGCCTCAACGAAGAACAGCCTCCCAGTAGGTGACCAGACCAGATGGGCACATGTGTGCATGTGCGTGCGTATGTGGTCCCCTGGAGGTCGGCGTTCAGTGACCGGGTGTGGTGGGGTTCACTTGGCTGGTCCACATGTCAGGCAGGAAAGGCCTGTCTCATTGTAGACTCCCAGGGTCTCGTTCGGCTTCAGTGCCACACAAAGGGGATCTGTATGTTGTTTAGCTCCGATTTCTGTTACTATTTGGCCTCATCCATTGTGTAGTTTTTCTCAGGCTGCTGACTCATCTGAGCAAATCGGCTGGTAGTCGGGCTGCACTGCTGGGGCGCTGTGGAGAATAACACAGAGAGCAATGCCTGCCATGATTCCCTCTGAAAGTGTCCAGATGATTAAATGCTAAAGGAAGAATGGATAATTGTTGGAATTTCAATGGAACACTTCTATTATCAGAGGAAGGAACAGTTTAGTTCCGCACCCCTCCCTAGTTCCAGCTCCACGAGCCCTTGGAAGCTCGGCAGGCGGGAGTCTCCCGGGCTCTGAGTTGTTAATCCTGTCCCCAGGCTGGCATCCACATCTGTGTCAACATGACTAGGGCACTGCAGGGCTCAGCCGACTCATTCCTTGAAAATTAGGAACAAACTCTTGAGGAGGTCTAGATTCTTAGGAAAATGTTGACAACTAAAAGAGACCATAGGGGTCATCTCTCCTGGGCCTCGTTATTTTAAATCTGTGGAAATGGAGGCTCAGAAATGGCAAATGAGTTACTCAAAGAACTTGTTGATGATGGTGTTGGGTCTTGCTTAGACCCCCCACCCGGGTTCCGAGTCACAAATTTCACGCATTTAATCCAGAGTCAGCCACATCTACAAGCTTTGGTTTGGAAAATGTCAGCACCTTCTCCATGGTGCTCTGACAAGGGCCACTTCAGGGGTCATCAGATTGGGGGGTGAGCAAGTGCAGAGGGCAAGATAGGAATGAGCGCACCTATGCAGTGTCCTGAACTTCACCCTGGCTGGAAACACCCTCTCCTCTCCTGCCTCCTCTCCCCTCCCCCCTCCACCTCTCCCTCTTCCACTCCGCCTCTTTCTCCTCCCCTCCCCTTGTCTTTCTCCTCCCCCTCCTTCTCTTTCCCTCCTCTCCCATCTTCCATGCTGTTTTCTATAATGGTTGTACTAATTTATATTTCTGCCAACAGTGTGTGAGGGCTCTCTTTTCTCCACATCCTTGCCAACACTTGTTAAATCTTTTGTCTTTTTGATAACAACCATCTTAACAGATATGAGGCGATATCTCATTGTGGTTTTAATTTGTGTTTTCCTGATGATTAGTGATGAGTGTTTTTCCGTAAATCTATTGACCATTTGTATGTCTTCTTTTCAGAAATGTCTACTCAGATGCTTCGTCCATTTATAGAAAGTGTTGTTTTCTTGCTATTGAGTTGTTTGAGTTCTTTATATGCACTCATGCCCAGCACAACCTATGCCCACCCCCACCCTACACCCCACAACCCCACACCAGTGGCTGCAGCTCCACAGGTGAGCCGGCCTGCATGGCACGAGGACATAGTGGTGACGCCACCTGACATTTTGGACAATCATGGAGCACATATACAACAGTGGTCCATACAATTTTAAGACCATTTTTTACTGTAATTTTACTATGTTTAGATACACAAACACCTAATGTTGTGTTACAATTGCCTCTAGTATTCAGTATAGTAACACGCTGTATAGGTTTGTAGCCTTGGAGCAATAGGCTATACTGTATAGCCTAAGTGTGTAGTGTGCTGTACCATCTAGGTGTGTGTAAGTACACTCTAATGATATTCACACAACAATTAAATCTTGTAATGACACATCTCAGAACGTATTCCTGTCATTAAGCATCACATGACTATATTTTGGATATTAATCCCTTATCAGTTATAGAGTTTGCAAATATTTTATCCCATTCTGTGGGCTGTCTCTTCACTCTGTTGATTCTTTCCTTGCTGTGTAATCCCATTTGTCTATTTTTGCTTTTGTTATCTGTGCTTTTGAGGATATATCCAAAAAATTATCACCCAGACCAATGTCATTGAGCTTTTCCCTATGTTTTCTTATGGTAGTTTTATAGTTTTGGGTCTTACACTGAAGTCTTTAATGCGTTTGGAATTGATTTTTGTATATGGTGTGAGTTAGGGGTCTAGTGTCATTCTACATGTGAATATCCAGCCTTCCCAATGCTATTTATTGAAGACTGTCCTTTCCCCACTGCATGTTCTTAGCATCCTTGTTGAAAATGAGCTGGCTGTAAATATGTGGGTTTATTTCTGGGCTACCTATTCTGTTCCATTGGTCTATGTGTCTGTTTTTATGTCAGTATAGTGCTGTTTTGTTTACCGTACCTTTTAGTATATTTTGAAGTCAGGTAGCATTATGCCTCCTGCTTTGTTCTTGTTGCTCAAGATTACTTTGGCTGTTGGAGGTCTTTTGTGGCTCCATACACATTTTAGGATGTTTTTTCTATTTCTGTGAAGAATAGAATTGGTATTTTGACAGAGATGGCATTGAATCTGTAGATCACTTTGTGTAGTATGGACAGTTTATTAGTACTAATTTTTCTGATCCATGAAAACAGAACATCTTTTTGTTTATTTGTGTCTACTTCAATTACTTTCATCAGTATTTTATAGTTTTCAATACAGAGACCTTTCACTCTTGGGTTACATTTATTTCTATTTTATTTTTTGGCAGCTACTGTAAATGGGATTGTTTTCTTGATTTCTTTTTTTTTGGATAGTTCACTGTTAATATATAGAAACACTACAGATTTTTGTATGTTCATTTTGTATCTTGCAAGTTTCCCGAATTTATTTGTTCTAACAGTTTTTAAATAGTCTTTAGGGTTGTCTATATATAAGATCATGTCATCTGCAAACAGGGACAATTTAACTTGTTCCTTTCCAATTTGGATGCCTTTTAATTCTTTCTTTTGCCTAATTGCTCTTGCTAGGACTTCCAATGCTAGAAGTTGCATAGAAGTGGTAAGGGGGCATCCTTGTCTTGTTCTAGATCTTAGAGGAAAAGCTTTCAACTTTTCCTTGTTCAATATGATGTAAGCTGGGGTGTGTCATGCATGGCCTTTATTATGTTTAGGTACTTTCCTTCTATATCTATTTTATTGAGAGTTTTCATCATGAAGGATTTTGAATTTTATCAAATGATTTTTCTGCATCTATTGAAATGATTGTATGGTTTTTATCCTGAAATATGTTAATGTGATGTGTCACATTTATTTTGATTTACGTATGCTGAACCATCCTTGTATTCCTGAGATGAATCCCACATTACCATGGTGAATGATCTTTTTGATGTATTGTTAAATTTGGTTTGCTAGTATTTTGTTGAGGAGTTTTGCATCTATCTTCATCAAGGATATTGGCCTGCTCTTTTCTTTTTGTGCATGCCTCTGTGTGTGTGTGTGCGTGTGTCTGTGTGTGTGCTGTCCTTGTTCAGCTTTGGTATTGGCGTAATGTTGGCCTTGTAAAATGAGTTGAGAAGTGTTCTATTTTCTTCAATGTTTTGAAAGATTTTAACAATAATTGGTATTAGTTTTTCTTTAAATGTTTGATAGAATTAAACAAAAGCCATACAGTTCTTGCCTTTTCTTTGATGAGAGACTTTTTATTACTGTTTTGATCTCATTACTCATTATTGGTCTGTTCAGGTTTTCTATTTCTTTATGATTCAGTTTTGATAAGTTATATGTGTCAAGGAATTTATTTCTTTTAGGTTATTCAATTTGTTGGCATATAATTGCTCATATTAGTCTCATGTTTTTTTTTGTATTTCTGTTGTATCAGTTGAAATGCCTCTCTTTTTATCTATGATTTTATTTGCACATTCTCTTTTTTTCTTAGTTTAACTAAAGTCTAGTGGAATTTATTTATCTGTTTAAAAGCACAACTCTCATTTTTGTTGATCTTTTCTATTTTTTTAGTCTCTATTTCATTTATTCCTGCTGTGACCTTTATTATTTTCTTCCTTTTACTTACTTTGGGGTTAGTTTGTTCTTGTTTTTCTGATTCCTTGAGGTGCAATGTTAGGTTGTTTATTTAGTGTCCTTCTTTTTTTTGTGTAGGAGTTGATTGCTATAAACTTCCCTTTAGAACTGCCTTTCCTATATCCCACAAGTTTTGGTATGTCATATTTTCACTTTTGTTTGCCTGAACAAAATTTTACATTTCCCTTTTAATTTCTTCATGGCTTCATTGGTTGTTCAATAGCATGTTTAACTTGCATGTATTTGTGAATTTTCCAAAGTTCCTTATGTAATTGATTCCTAGTTTTATACCACTGTGGTCAGAAAAGTTACTTTTAATCTTAAATTTGTTAAGATTTGCTTTGTAGCCTAGCACATAATTATTCTAGGAACTGTTCCATGTGCAGTTGAGAAAAATGAGTATTCTGCAGCTGCTGGATGGAATGTTCTAGATATGTCTGTTATGTCCATTTGGTCTAGAGTATAGTTTAAGTTCAATGCTTCCTTATTTACTTTCTGTATAGCTGATCTGACCAATGTCGAAAGTGGCATATTGATGTTCCCCACTATTATTGTGTTACAGTCTATATCTCCCTTCAGCTCTATTAATATTTGCTTCATAAATTTGTATACTCCAATTCCAGTATCTAAATATATAGACCAAATATTATATAAATATTATATAAAATATTAATAATCATTATATCTTCTTGCTGGATTGTTTCTTTTGTTGTTATTAATGACCCTCTTTGTCCTTTTTTTACAGTTTTTTAAAGTCTATTTTATCTGATATAACTATTCCTATTTTGATTTCCATTTGCATGGACTGTCTTTACCTATTCCTTCACTTTCAGTCTATGTGTGTCCTTTTCTTACATTGCATATCCTTAACAATTTTTGCAGCTATAGTTATTTTTAATAACTTTGTCTTTTAACCTTCATAGTAAAGATATAAGTAATTTGCACACCACCACTATAGTGGCAGAGTTCTAAATTTGACTGTGTACTTACTTTTACCAACAAATTTATACTGGAAGAACTCCCTTTAGCATTTCTTGTAAAACAGCTCTGATAGTTATGAACTCTGTCAGCGTTTGTCTAAGAAAATATCCTTTCTTAATTAGTGAAGAACAGCTTTGCTGGGTACAATATTCTTGCTTGGCATTTTTTTGTTGTTGTTTCTTAAACACTCGGAATATATCATCCCACTGCCTCCTGTAAAGTTTCTTCTGAAAGGTCTGCTGATAGCTGTTTGGGAAGTCCCTTATATGTTATTTGCTTTTTTTCCTCTTGCTGCCCCCAGAATCCTCTCTATGTCTTTGATTTTTGACAATATGATTATATGTCTGGGGTAGTCTTATTTGGATTGAATCTTATTTGGATTGGTGACCTTTGACTTTCCTGTACCTGGATACTTAAGTGTATTTTCAGGTTTTAAAAGTTTCTGCTACTGTTTCTTTTTTTTTTTAACTCTTCGTTTAAATACACTTTTTACCACTTTATCTTCCTCTTCTTCTTTAACTCCTATGATTCAAATATTTGCTCTTTTTATGCTGTTTCATAAATCCCATAAGCTTTTTTCATTTATTTTCATTCTTTTTTCCCTCTGAGTGTATATTTTCAAATAACTTATCTTTGAGTTCATAGATTCTTTCTTCTGCTTTATCAATTTTACTATTGATACTCTATTAAATTTTTCATTTCGTTCATTGTATTTGAATTTTTCAGCTCCAGGATTTCTGTTTTATTTATTTATTTAATTATTGCAATCTCTCTATTAAATTTCTCATCTGGCCAGTTATTGTTTTCCTTAATTCATTGAATTGCTTCTCTGCCTTTTCTTGAAGTTCGCTAAGCTTCTTTAAAAGTTACTTTAAATTGTTTTTCAGGAAGTTTATTTATCTCCATTTCTTTAAGGTTGGTCAATAACACTTTAGTTTGTTGCATTGGTGATGTCATGTTTCCCTGATTGTTCTTAACCCTTGTGGCTATGCATTGATGTTGGTATATTTGCAGATGTAGGTATCTATTTCAGTCTTCTGAGAAGTGCTTTGTCTGGGAAAGCCCTTCAGTAGTCTGCCTGGGCCAGGCACAGTGGTTCATGCCTGTAATTCCAACACTCTGGGAAGCTGAGGTGGGAGGATCGCTTGAGTCCAGGAGGTTGAGGCCAATCTGGGCAACATAGTGAGACCCTGTCTTTGCAAAAAATAAACAAAATTAACTGGGTGTCTTGGCATGTGCATGTATTCCCAGCTACTTGGGAGGCTGAGATGGGAGGATTTCTTCAGCCTTGGAGGTGGAGGCCACAGTGAGCCATGATCATAACACTGCATTCCAGCCTGGGTGACAAAGCAAGAGCCTCTCTCTCTTTCTCTCTCTCTCTCTCTATATATATATACACACATATATATATATATATATACACACACACACACATATATATACACACACATATATATACACCCACACATATATATATACACACATATATATATACACACATATATATACACATATATGTGTGTGTGTATATATACACATATATGTATGTATATATATACACTCATATATATGTATGTATATATATATATACATACATATATATGTGTGTGTGTATATATATATATGCACGTATATATATATATAAAGTCAGCCTGTCCAGAGATTCTAAGCAGGCTTTCTGGCTTAGTTCTGAAGCCTGGGACTGCTACCAATGTGCATGGCACTGGGGCATGCCAGAAGTCTGCAGTTGCTGCACCTGGTGCATTGCTTGGGTGAGCCAGAAGCTCAGGGCTCAACCTGGCTGGAGCAGTGCTGGGGCAAGCCAGAAGCCTGGGGCCCACTGGTACTGTGCTGGGGCCTACCTGAAGCTAGGAGCCATTGGGTCCTGCCTGCTGATGAGGACTGTAGGGAGGCCGGGGCTGCTGACATTGACTGAGGAGTTGCGTGGGCCAGAGGTCAAGTTAGCCACGCAAGCCAGAAGCCTGAGGCTATGTGGTCCAGCCTGGCACTGCAGCAGGTCTGGAGGCTCAGTCTTTGGGTTCCAACCTGGACTCTGGGGCCATGGAGGCCTGCCCAGTGCTGGATTTTACTGCGGCGGGCTCAGTATTTGGACATCTTTGCTCACTTCCCGGTTTCCCCTGAGCAGACAGTCTCTCCATGCTATGCTCCTGGGCTGGAGGAGGGGTGATGTGGATAATGGAAAAGAGAACTTTGTATCTTATTTGACACATCTTTTCTTATTGTGCTATAACCCAGTGGTATGGTCTCACATCTGATTGACTCAGCTCTTGTGATGGTACTTTCATTTGCATGTTCAAATTGGTGTTTTTGTGAGGGAATCATCACGAGAGAGACCTCTTCTGCTGTCTTGCTCCCCACTCTAGGCTGTCAGTGTGTCTTTGAATGGAGAATAAATTATATGCTGTCAAATCACCAGTGTCAGATGTAGATAAAAATCATAATCTATGAAAAATGCAAATAAAATTTGAAATCTACAAATAACCTTTAAATCTTATTTCATTTAAAACCAACCTTGAACCCTTTGAAACTGTAAGCACATACATTGTATTCTTTTTAATGCCCATAAAGTGCTTTTTAAGTTCTTTCTCACACAGTAAAAATTTCTAAACAATGAAACTCATTTCTCGGATCCTGTCTAGATGTTTAGCATAGTGTCTATGGTGCATTTTCTTGCTTTAGGAAAAGCGTCCAATGTCATTGGCTTGGACATCCTGATGGTCTCTCTGTCTACTTTTCTCCTTGTCCCCTCTGTCGTCCTGTCCATCTCCTGTCTTCTGGGGAGTGTTCAAGTGCACAGCCATCAATAAGAACCTTTGAACAGAATAATCTGTATAAAGCAGTACTCAGAGACGCTACTGTGCAAATAAAGAATGTGTATTGTAGATAATACCCCAAATAGGAACTATAAAAGACGGGACTTGAAGATGTGACTGTATTTTTTTCCCTTCCCAGTGAAGAGTCTTGTGCAATCCTGGGCAGGCGCCACTCTGAGCCCACTCTGAGCTGGCCCCTGTAGACACGAAACCAAGAGGGAGGCTGTCTGGGTGTGTCTGGGTTTGTGCTCTTCTAGAAATGTGTCCATTTTAGAAAATGGGTATTTGCTCAGCTGTTTCTAATTCACTATGTCAGTCTGTTTCCTGCTACTGTGAATAGAAGAATATATTCAGTAATTCCTTTAGGGGGTGGTCTTTGTATATTCATTTCGTGAGATAACTGCCAGTTAATTTTTCTCTAATTTCCTCCCCAGCTGCTACACTCCTGTTGCTCTAAGAACTATAGCCACTCAAAATGTGTCTAGTTCATGGATTCCCCTCCTTGCTTGTTTTAATATTAAACTGGAAAATGTGTCTTTAATATTCTACTTTCATTTATTGATGGCTTTGTATTCCTTTTAGCATTCAACGTCTTTGTGAGTTAATTTCTCCCACATTGCTTATTTTAAGAAAAAAATTCCAAAGTGTCATTTTTGACAAGGACTTTGTTTGAAATGACAATGTATGTATTATGCTCCATTAAATGGGCTAAGATCTCAGTGTGATTACAAGAAAATCCTTGAAGCTAATGTGAATATTTGATCTTCCACCAAGAGACGAGCTCCTTTATTTTCAACTAAAGCATTTTTTTTTCAACATAGGAACGTTTTTACTAATCTTACTAGAGAGTGACGTACAAATGAAAATGGTGTGAAAGGCAGAAAGCATTCATATTATTGGCTTCTTACTGTGTGCTTGTCATTGGAGCCAAGCAGTCAACAGGCTCCCTCGATCCCATTAATTCTCCTGACTCATGAGCTGCATGACACAGGCCCCTTCTGTGAATGGGGGTCTGAGGCTCAGAGTGGAATGAAGGCAGGAATTGAACCCGGGTCGTTCGACTGCACAAAATACACAGGCACCCCCTCCTCTTTGTCTCTCCAGATCACAGTTTATGCCCAGCCTCCTCACTTGTCCTCTCATCAAGCTCTGCTCTCTTCACACCTTTTTACTCCACACCTGGCTTTCTCCTTCCCAATTTATCTTTTCTCTCTGTCATTCCCCAGGGCCCAATGGCAACGGGTCAGCGCAGAGTCACATGTGCTCACGTAACAGGTGCCAGTGGCTTCACACAAGCTTTTCCAACAAAAGCCTTTTTAAGCACAACATGCAAGAGCATGGCACCACATTCTAAACTTCAGACACCAGGGCTGGCCACCAGAAGAGTTCAACTGCAAATAAACAGATTTCATAGCAGAAAATGGAGGGTCCTTTGAATGGGGGCTGGAGAGATTTGGGGGGGAAGCAGGAGTTGGTCAGTGTTCTTTGTCCCCTACCCTGTGCCCTGACTCCTCAGGTAGGTAAATATGGGGTGAGGTCCTTGCCCTAGGGGAACTCATGCATAGAAGGTGTGCGAGAAAACACACAAGACAAACACACTGATGAGTTCAAGTCAACACAGGACCACAAAGAAAATGAAGAGGCTCAGAGCACGTTACCAAAGCCACCTGGTCTGTTTTTTAAAACGCTTTAAACTTTAAATTTGTAGTTGTTGTGTTCTAAGCCTCGTGCCTGTGGCTGTGACCTTACTTGGAAGCAGGTTCTTTGCAGATGTCATCAAGTGAAGTGAGGCCACAAGGTGGGCCCAACATTGGAAGTCGGGCCCGGTGAGAGGAGACTGGTTCACAGGGCAGTTTGCCATGAATGGTTTAGCACCATCCTCTTTGGTACTCTCCTCGTGAGAGTGAGTGGGTTCTCATGAGATGTGGTTGTTAAAAGTGTGTGGCACCTCCCTTCCGCCTGCTCCCACCATGTGACCCGCCTGCTCCCCCTTTGCCTTCTGCCAGGAGGAAGCTTTCTGAGGCCTCCCCAAAGCAGAAGCTGCTATGCTTCCTGTACAACCAGCAGACCCATGAGACAATTAACCTCTTTTCTTTATAAATTACCCCGTCTCAGGCGTTCCTTCACAGCCCTGCGAGCATAGACGAATCCGGCAACCAGGAAGACGACTCGGCATTGGGCTCTTCTCATCACCAGCTTCTAAAATAGAGAAAACAGAGAGAGTGTGGTGCAGCAGCATGTGGCATTGAGGAGAGCTCGAGTCCTTTCCACGCTGGGCTGCGTGGTGGCTGCAGGGCTGTGGGTGCAGCCTGCTCCCTCTCCCTCCTTGACGCCACTGGCCCAGCGCCTGCTGCTATAGGCAGCTGAGCATTCCCAGGTTCCTCCTCGGCCTTCCTCTGCCCTGTCCACCTACCAGGAGGGTGCCCTCAGACCTCTGGACTTCTAAAGTTTTCCCGTGCCGGCCACCAGGGCTTTAGGTGTTAATTTCACCATCTTGAGCTTTGGACAGAGCAGGGTGTAGTTTTCAAGTCCTTTCTGCTTCTTCAGTCACCCCTGCATCCCCGTCCTGTTTTCGCATCAAGGCCCTTAGCCGTGCTGAGGACAAGCTTTGTGGTGAGATCCTTGCTGGGCATCAGCCTCTGTGGGAAGAGGCCTTGGATCAGAGCTCTCCCACCGCCACGGCCCTGGCCTCCCCGGATAGCATCTCTGGTGGGTCTCACCCATTCACGCAGCGTGCAGACGCTCATGCCAGCTTTGCTTCTGACTCTGCAGGATGCAGTCTGGGATAACAGGCCCACACACAGACTCTGCAGAGACAGGTGCCTCCCTGCATCACCAGGTGGACGCTGATGTCAGCCCAGCCCCACGCTCCACACACCCAGCTGTGTGCTCCAAGCCGAACTCTCAGGAATGAGTGAGAGCTCCGTGCACTCACAGCTCTCTGTGCATGGGGAGCAGGGGGACCCGATGCCCCTGCCCAAGATCCAGGGGTGGCAGTGCTGATGGCTGGAGGCAAATGGCCCCACGGTGCCTCTCCTGAGACTGAGTTTCTCTTGGCCTTTACCCACCCTGCTCTGTAACCCAACACCAACTGCACGAAAGGGTGGCCTTGCTGCTTGTTTTTTAGCTAAAGTGCAATGGGAAATATCCTGAATGCTGGGATTTGAAAACAAACAACAAAAAATTAAAAAACAAACAAACAAAATTTGTTTGAAAATAGCACTCCTGCTCTGAGGGAATTTCCTTAGGTCTGACAGGCTTACGTCGCTCCCTTCTATGCCCTGGATGCCTTCACTGAGGGCTTGCTACTCCCTAACACTGGGCTTAGCACTTCTCTTGCATGATCTTATTTATATTAGCAAAAGCTCCATCAGACTTTCAATACCATCACTGAACAGAGGAAACAACATTCAGGAGAGTGAAGTCAAAGGCCAATGGTTGAATGACGAGGCACTTGCAGGACGGAGGTTTGGGCTCAGACACAGGGCGGTGGACACGGCTGCGGACCACGCCACATCCCAGCACACACACTGCACCACGTCTGCACACAGTTCATGGCTGACCCCGCCGGCGACATCTGCCCACACTCCAGGAACAAGATGTTTTCTTCTTCCACTGTTGTGAGCTGGGATGGAGCAGAGCCAGCCCTCCCACTCTGAGGGCATGTGAGGAAGGGCTTTTAATCTTAGTGGCTTTGTCGTTTAGCTGCTTGGTAAAGAAGTGTCCCAGGTGCGAGAGGGAGAGAGGATGAGTGAGTCAGTGCCCTACGCATACGGTGCCTGGGAGGGGGCTGCACGGGAGTCTGGGGGAGGGCGTCCTCAGCCCATATGCCTTGCCACCCCTCCAGGTGTCCCACAAACGCTCTCTTTAATGTGCTTTCTGTGCTCCCAGGCAGGGTTCCTCACCATCTGTAGGAGGCTTCAGATCCTGGAGAGGTCTAACTGCAAACATCTGTCGCTGTTTGTCCTGCTGCTTTGTAGATCAGGCTAAAGGGTCTCTATGAGCCCAAATTTCCTGCGGTGCAAATATCAAACCTGTCTGAGAAAACACGTCCAACCTGCTTTGAAACCTTCGCAGTTAGATAGAGATCTTGTTCTTCAGGAATTTGGGTACCTGACATTTCTCATCGCCCGTGTTTTCTTTGCGCGGGTAGTGTCCCTGCATGGGCAGGGCCGGGGTTCTGGGCTGTGAGGGGGCGTCTGTGCAGCAGCCTGGCATTCTGGGACTTTGGGGTGAGGAGGGCAGAGGAAGAGTCAGGATGATGCTAAGGATGGGGAGACGGGAGGCAAATTCAAGGACGGTTTCCAGACCCCTCCCCAGGCAGTGGGTTTGGCAGCGAGGCGGGAGTTGAAAGTCCTTCTGAACTGGGAGGGGTCCCTAGCACTGGCACCCATGCAGCCCTCCAATACGCCTAGTGCTGGAACCCACGCAGCCCTCTGACACCCCTAGAGCTGGCACCCACACGGCCCTCCAATATCCCTAGCACTGGCACCCACATGGTCCTCTGACGCCTCTAGCCTTGGCACCCACGCTGCCCTCCCATGCTCCTAACGCTGGCACTCACGCGGCCCTCGACGCCCCTAGCGCTGGCGCCCACTCGGCCCTCCTACACCATAAGCTTGAATCCTGCCCTCGTCAATGGGTGACCTAGGAGCCACGGCTCCGGACCCTGGACTCCACACTCCTGCTTCCCCCGAGCCCTAGACACAAGTTCTTTTGGCACCTTCCCTGCATCCAAGACCCCTCTGCGCCATTCTTGCAACAAATGAGCCTCCTCTTAGCTCAGCCCCAGCCACTGGGAGGCCAGAGGATGCCCAGGGCCCTGCTGAAGGGAGCATCTGGGGGCTTTTCCTGTATCTCAGGCATTTCTCTGGCTCTTCTCATTAACAACCCCTGACACTATTCCATTCCAGTCTTTTTTCCTAAGCATCCCCCGAAAGAAGATCTAGGAGTGTGCGTTTGGCTTTTCGAGGATGGAGCAGACACAGCAAAACCCCGGGGGAGAGTTGTGCACAAAGCCCTCTCCCCACCTTGGCCTCACCCTCTCCCACCTTGGCCCCACCCTCTCCCACCTTGGCCCCACCCTCTCCCACCTTGGCCTCACCCTCTCCCACCTTGGCCTCACCCTCTCCCACCTTGGCCCCACCCTCTCCTACCTTGGCCCCACCCTCTCCCACCTTGGCCCCACCCTCTCCCACCTTGGCCCCACCCTCTCCCACCTTAGCCCCACCCTCTCCCACCTTGGCCCCACCCTCTCCCACCTTGGCCCCACCCTCTCCTGACGCATAAAACGGCGCTTTCCCCAGGCCCCGTCTCAGTGCATCCTAGTTGCGTGACAGAAGCGCCACACACACAGTTCTGGAGGCTGGGAGGCCAAGGCGAAGGCAGGTTAGACGTCTGGGGAGAACAGCTCCTGGCTCACAGATGGCGCCTTCTCGCTGTGCCCTCACGTGGCGGAAGGGGTGATGGAGTCTCAGGGGCCTCTTCTGTAAGGGAGGGCACCCATCCCCTTCACAAGGGCTCCACCCTCATGACTTTGCCACCTCCCAACGGTGATTAGTCGCCTCCTAAACCGCCACTGTGGGATGAAGGTTCCTACCCTATGAACGTTGGGGACGAAAGCATTCAGGCCGTGACAGACCCAGCATGGCGAATGGATGAGAGCCCTGCTGACGCCTTCGTCTCAGACTTCCGGCTTCCAGAACTGGGGGAGGATACATTTCTGTTGTCTTAAGCCAGTTTCTGTCATTCGTGGTACTTCACAGCAGCTCTAGAAAATGAATTCATTTGGTAAAGTGTGAATAAATCGTATTTGAATACGCCGACATCAAATGAATGTTTATTGTGAATTCTTTAAAAAGTGTCTCATTATGCAGACTCACTTTGGCCTCTCCACGGCTACGCCGACCTCAGCTTTTTCTCGGTGGAAGTGCGGGAGCAGCCGCCGTGCGCTTGGGAACAGCTGTGCTGGAACAGTGCACAGGGCTAAGAACAAGAGAGGAGCGGCCCTGGCTGTGGAGGGCGGCGGGACCGCTCTCCAGGGAGTCTCTGGCTCACCCAGGCAGAATCCTGTGAAACGCTTTCCTCTCGCCTGGCACAGGGCAGCCCTGTCAGCGGCCGGCCTCTAGAGCTCGAGGTTGCTGTGCTTTCAAACCATGGGGTGGGGCTTTCAGACGAGGGAACCTAAGGTCCCTGGGGAGTCTGCCTCGTAGGCTGGGCCAGGGAGTGGACATTGGGATGTTTGAAAAGTCTCCCAGGTCTTCCTGAGGGGCACCAAAAGGGTAGATCCACAAGTGTGGGGGTTCCGAGCCTGGCACGGCAGAGGGACCCCACATGGACACGTACCTGAGTAGGCTCCCCACGGCAGGCTCCACACGCGTCTGCCCACAGCCCCGTTCACATGACTTTATCAAGCATGAGTGGTGGACATTTTCTAAACATCAATAATAATAATAATAAAATAAAATCAAACAAGCCTGTTAGAAGCAAGACTTGACTAGTTTTCTACTCTCTTTAGAGAAAATATGTCGAAGTGCCAGTCACCATCAGGCACTTAATCAACAAAATCGTTTTTCCTTTTTATGACGCCTGTTGTATTTGTCAGCTTTTGAACCGTCATAATTTGTTGTAATTTCTTTTCTATTCCAAATAATTTTCCAATTTCTATCTCATTTTGTGTTTATAATTTCACGTTCTTTTTCTTAATTGTGCTCCCTAATTGTGTACGTTTCAAAGCCTTTACAAAGTAGCTCAGCCCCTCATGAAAAACCATAGCATGGGAAGAACCACCTGTTCCAGAGGCTTCCATAGCTCCTTCCCCAGGTCTTTCTGGGTCCCAATGAGTCTGGGGCTAGGACCGGGGGTCCCAGCAGCCATTGGAGAGGCCAGGGAGGCCAGGGGGGAACGGGTGACATGGGAAGGTCCTGGCCACAGCCTGACCCCATGAAGACTTTTGAGAGCAGAAAGAAAAAAAAAAAAAAAGACTTTGGCAGCTGCTATGAGTTTGGAATTTTGGGGAGTGTATGAGATGTCAAGTAAGAATTTTAAGGAGTGCTGCTGAGAATTTTGCTTGTATTTCTGCCTGCGTTTATGTGTGTGTGTCTTGGCAGAAAGGGAGAGAGCAGGGAGGCAGAGAGAGACAACAGAGAATTCAGTTATTTTTAAAACTTTTTTTTTTTTTTGGCAGTGAGTCTGTTATTTGAATGTAACTTTAAACAAAGATTGAGCCACACGGGGCCTGGGATTCTGTTCAGGTTTTGCACCGTGACCAACGTCAGGATGCTGTTTTCTTTTTGATTTTCCCGGCTCCCCAGTGCCGTTAGCCACGGGGATCGCAGCTGTGTGTGTGCAGCAGTGCCTTCTTCTGTGGCCGAGCCTCAGCCTCTCCTACCCCTTCACCCAGGGCGGGCTCCCGAGCTCTGCGCAGCCACCTCACCTGCCACAGAGGGGAATTCCATAGAACAGGGCCCGTTTCAGATTCTTGTTAGAGGTCCTTATTAATAAAGTCTTTGAAGGAATCTTCCAATCAAGAGTTGACAAAACCGCATATTTTGGATGGGGTGTGAACATCGTGGTGAGTCCTGGGGCTCAGAGAACCTGAAGTTCTCAGCACTTTTGGTCAGTCTTTCTGTGGGTTGCGATGAAAGGAAATGAATGAGAAGGCAGAAGGGGACCCTGTCCCCAGGTTGGAGGCAGTGCCTGTCCCCAGGAGGCAGAGGAGGCACCCGCAGAGGTACCAGGAAGCCCCAGTGCGTGGGGCTGTCAAGGAAGGCAGTGGCCTACATGGCAGGGCTTTGCTGGCTGGGGATCTGCTCTGTGTAGGGAGAGGAACGGGTGCTGGAAGGATGCCTCGGGTGCATGCTGTTTCTGGGCCAGATTGGCAGGCTCTGGAGCGTCTGGGGGGACGTCCTGGGATCTGAGTGACAGCGAGTCTGTCGTAGCTGAATTGAGATTCACATTGTTTTTAGTTGATGTGACTCCCGGCTCCATTCGGGTGAGTTCCTGGGGCGGGGCTGACATGGCTCCATCTGCAGAGTGAGGACGCAGATTCAGGGAACTGCTGGGGCGCCCTCACAGGCTCAAAGTTCTCATCATTTCCAGAATCCATCATCCAATTTTGCGGGGAGGAGGTGTGTACGGGGGGTGGTACGGAGAGAAGAGTGTTTGGGTAGCAAAAATGCTCTTAAATGATGCATGATTCTATTCGATGGCCTTTTATAGAAATGTAACAGTGATTTGCTGTGATGTTTATTAACAGGCTCTCTCCTCCATAATTTATTTTGTTTTTTAAACCCTGCAGACCCCACCCCCAATTCCAGAGTGTCAGGGCAGCTGCTGACTTCCTCAGGTGTTAGAGGCTGGGAGTGGAAGGAAGCTATTTTCCCATTTTTACTGAAACCTGGGTATCCTGACAGGGAAGAGTAGAAATGAACTGCTTTTGAAGGTGAGGGTAAGGGAGAAGGTTGCCCAGCCCGGGAAGGAACCCAGGCTGGTGGCGCCCATGAGCCCCTCAGTGGTGGGGCTGGTGGGGTTGAGGAGCTGGTGACATCGGCTGCCCGGCGTGCCTGCGTGTAGCAAGGCTGGGCTGGGCACAGGGACCCCAAGCCTCAGGGATCTCCCGCTTGCCTGGGGGGACCCCCGGGCCTCAAGGAACCCCCTATTGCCTGAGGGGACCCCTGTGTCTCAAGGAACCCCCCATTGCCTGAGGGGACCCCGGGCCTCAGGGGCACACAAGCAGCAGGGCCCTGACTCAAGGGTTCATCTGGGTAACCGGGTGGGCTGGTGAGAAAGGCCTTTCCTGGATGCTTACCTCAGTGTTAGACCCTTGGTGGGGGCCCCATCCCCACTCTGGGGTGTCAGGGAAACCTCAGTTTTCATTAAGACAGAATTTCCCGTGAGCTTTTATGGAATGTTGGTTGGAGTTGGATTTAGCTTGATTTAAATAAAATAAGCAACGGTGACATTGTACCCTAAGATCGGGGAAGCAAATTCCTGCCCACTGTGTTAATCTGACATATACAGTTTTCTCAAAACAAAACAAAGTGTTGTCTGGTATCTGAGCAGGGGTACGGATTGAATTAAAATGAAGCCTTTAAATCACAGCGCACAGCATTGACAGAAGGTTGGATGCGGGGGAAGGCAGGGCTCGGCTTAGGGAAAGCCACAGAGCAGCCAGGGCTGTCTTAGCCTTGAGTATTCACGGCCCCTGGAGGACCCAGCTCTGGTGTGGAGGCCCGGGGACCACACAGGCGCAGCCTAGCTGAGGCAGAGCCCGGCCTGCTGGCTGGGGATCCTGGCCGCACCCATCACCAGCAATGTGACCTTGGGTAAATTTCCTGTCTTCCCTGTGCCTTGGTTTCCTCATCTGTGAGGTGGGTACTAACAATACCTAGGCTGGCATTAGTGGGAGGATTCCTAGATATATGTGTGTACATGGACGTTGCCTGGAAATATAGTAATCACTTTTTTTTTTTTTTTTTTTTTTTTGCTATTGTATTAGGGACATTTTTACAGAAAAGTTACTGAGAAAACGTTCTGGAAGAAGGCTATTCTGATTTCTATTCATTTAGAAACGACACCTCTGGAAGGACTTGAGTCTGGCTGTCCCAAAAGGCAGCTGCCTGTCTGTGCACAGTTGAGCTGTCAGGCCCCAGGGGTGCCCTGTTGGAGCGAGGAGGACACTCCCTCCCATGCTAAAGGGGCCTTCCTGGCGCTGGCCGGGCACACAGTTCACAAACATCTCCTCTTCAGACTTGATTTACGTTAGTGATTCCCTCAGGCCTGCCTCCATAGTGGTGTCACACCCTCACCCCCAGGAGCCCAGCGTTGAGCCCCTGTGGAGTCTCCAATTCCCACTCCCTGTCATCATCAGGATGCAATCAACTTTCAAACTTCCGCGTCTCTCACATTGGTCCCATCCAGTGGACACCACGCCTAGACTCCTCCAACCCATTTCCGGCGTCACTTCCCCGCCTTATTGTCAGTATACCGAGCACTCACCGCATTCGAGACAGTGTTAGGCACAGTCAGACCTGGGCCTCAGCTCCAGAGGCTGGCATTTCAGTTGGGAGAGCAGATGCCAGGCTGTTCATACCCAGTGGAACCACAGTGATGATGAGTGGCTTGGCAGATTCCCGGGGCCTGAGTGACCTCTGATGGAGTCTGGTGGTTGGGGGAAGGCTTGTGTGAGCTCACGATGCTAAGTGAAGACCTGTGGGATGAGTATGCATTAACTGGGTGAGGGCAGGTGGAGACACGGAGCCGGAAGCTGCCTGGCAGCTGCTTCAGGCAGAAAGGCCAGGATGTGCCAAGCACCCAGGGCAGGAAGGAGCGGATGCTCCATGGAACTGGGAAGGGCTGGTGGGGCTGAAGCCGGGGAGGAAGGCGCCGTGTGCAATGAGCAGGGCCGAGACCCTGCGAGGCCCCATAGACCTGTTACAGGTTTTAATTTTATCCCAAAGACAGAGTGAGGCTGTCTCCCCCAACCAAAAAACAGTTCTGATTCTGCACACACGCTCCCATAACTTTATATTGCCACCAAGACAAAGTCTGAAGGCATTGCCTCGGCATTGGAGGTTGTGTAGTAACCTGGCCCTGCCCTCCTTCCTCAGCTCCGTGTCCTTCTAAGTGGAGCCTGCTGTGGAGCAGACCCATAGGCCAGCTGGAGTTGAGTGCACTGAGACAGAGGCACAGCACCCGGTGTGATTTGGAAAGTAGAGTCATGAGTGAGCCGGGACCCAGGGGAAGGTCTCACAGAGGAGTAGAAGAGGAGAGAGGCCTTTCCTGAGCAAGTGTCATCTGAGCTCAGCTCTAAGGACTGTGTGGGAGTTTCCTAGGTGCAGAACAGGTGGAAGGACCAGCCAGGGAGAGGTGACGGGTGTACGAGAGGCACAGGTGGAAGGACCTCCCAGGTGGAGGTGACGGGTGTATCAGAGGCACAGTGGCCGGCACACCCAGGCCGCGTCGTTCGGTGACTAGTACAACTGTGGCTCCCCTTAGAACGGGCTGTCTGCTCCCTTACGTATCCCGGCGCTTGCATTTGATCATGTGCCTGTATAGTATTTTTTTCTTCACATTTTTGGCCTCTTGAAGTAGACTGTGGCTGCCTTTCAGGGGCGATATCTTTTAGTTCTCAGAATATGGCATAGAGTTAGGGCAACCAAATTTTAAAGCCAAAAGCAGGATGCCGTCTCCTCCACGTATGAGCTCTTTTCTAGCAGGTGTTGGAGAAAATGGTTGCTGTGTCCTAATGCTTCTCCTAGGCTTGGGCTGGGGCAGTCACGTGGCCTCTGTGCAGGGTGAGTCTGACGTGTGTCACTTTGCGTGGGGCTGCAGTCCTCCTCAATGTCCATGCTGTGTGCAGCTAACGCTGGGTGGCCGTTAGGTACGCCTCGAATTGCATGACTCTGGTGGCTGGTAGATAGCTTTTTTATTATATCATTTTTCCAAAGTACGAGAAAATGGCAAAAGCGCAGCCTCATCGCGTGACTCACGACCTCCACGGCTCATTCTGAAACTGGTAGCTCTGGGACCACTTTACGTGCTCAATAGACAAAGTGGGGATATTTTCACTCACAAATGGCCAGTGAGTGTCCAAATCCACTTCATTCCCGTTGGAGATGCGCTGTCTGCGGTCGCTGTGCAACAGCAGTGGAGCCTGTTCTGACCGGGCCCGACCCTTCCGGGACCCTGCTGAGTGCAAGGCCGTCACTGAAGGCCTTGGTCAGCCTGGGCCATGCGTCCCTTCCCGAAGAGGCGAAACCCGTGGCCGGCGGCTTCCCAGAGAGAAAGGCAGTGCTGTGTGAGTTCACGTTTTCCAGGAGCCACCTTAGAAAAGTAAAAGGAAACAGATCAAATTCTTTTCCATAATGTATTTTATTTAACCTAATACATCCAAATTTTGATTATTTCAGCATTTCAACCCATCGGTTTCAACCTTTCAACTGCAGGAAAACTGACCCAAGAGAACATTCTGAACTAGACGACAGGCCGCTAAACCCGAGCAGCAAGCTCTCCTGACGGGAGGCCAGATGCTAAGTATCTTCGGTTGATACATCAACTGAAGGTTGAAAACCCATCAGTTTCAACCTTCAACCCTCACGCCCTGGGCGCCTGGGCCACTCGCACTCAGAAGCGGCCGCAGAAGCTCTGTTCCTCTCCTCACGCCCCCTCCGAGGACTAAATCCAAGCTCTGCCTCCACAGTCACTGTTTCCATTTCTCCTTCAGGGAGCTGGGAACAGCAGCTTAGTGGCCCTTGAAAAGGAGTTTCCCAGTTATGTCTCCTATGCCCAAAAACGACATGGGAGTCTCCACGAGACTCAGCATGGCTGGGGCCAAAGATACTTGAGTAAAGACGGCAGTGAACAGCCCTTGGAGGCAGCCCTTGGTGGGGTTCTGTGTGTGTGTGTGTGTGTGTGTGTCTGTGAACACACACAATCAATGGTAAGAAGGCAGAGCTTGGCTAAACACCGACATCTGACAACCCTCACTGAAAATAAATCTGGGCTGGGCGCAGTGGCTCACACCTGTAATCCCAACACTTTGGGAGGCTGAGGTGGGAGGATCACCTGAGCTCAGGAGTTCGAGACCAACCTGACCAACATGGTGAAACCCTGTCTCTACGAAATATACAAAAATTAGCCAGGCATGGTGGTGGGCACCTGTAATCCCAGCTACATGGGAGGCTGAGGCAGGAGAATCGCTTGAACCTGGGAGGTGGGGGTTGCAGTGAGCTGAGACTGCACCACTGCAATCCAGCCTGAGTGACAGAGAGAGACTCCATCTCAAACAAACAAACAAGCAAACAAACAAAACAAAGCAAAATAAATCCGGTCTGGCCCAGAGACTGGCCACTGAGAGAGAACATGGCCATTAAACACAGTCCATAAACCACTATCCCCTGCGTTGCTTTACAGCAGGATGGCACACTTCCGCCCAGGATGGCACACTTCCACCCAGGATGGCACACTTTTGCCCAGGATGGCACACTTCCGCCCGTGGGCTGAGTCCAGTCTGCTTTTGTAAATGAACGTTCACGCTGCAGCCACGCTCATCCTCCATGCACCCCTGGCTGCCTTCACTTTACAACAGCAGACTGAGCCGTGGTGACAGAGACCTGGAGGCCTGCAGAGCCGAAGATACTTAGCATCCAGCTCCCCATCAGGAGAGCTTGCTGCTCGGGTTTAGTGGCCTGTCGTCTAGTTCAGAATGTTCTCTCGGGTCAGTTTTCCTGCATCTCCTCATGCACGGCCTGGCAGGACCTCGGCTGGACCTTGGCACCCCTCCCACTGTGTGCAGCTGTGTCTTGCCCTCATCCAGATGGGTTCACATTCTTGACTCCCCAGCCCTTGGCCACCAGAGTGTTCCCGTGGCTCCCCAAGTAGCCTGTACCTCCTTGGAGGATTACTGGAGGCCTTGTCTATGGTGGCCTGGGTCAGAATTTGCACGTATGACTCAGCAAACAGTATGTCTTGTGAGTACAATAAAACCCTGTGTGTTGAGGTCAGGAATAAGGGCTCATTCCCCTAGCCTCAGGGAAGACTGCTGGCCTCCAGCCATCCCTTCGAGGACGGTCCCTCCAGCCACCGCCTGGGCTGCAGAGAGCTGCCAGCCCCACGCCTCAGCCCTTCGTCCCACCACGGATCTGGCTGGAAGCACTCGGCTCAGCCCTCTCGCCCCTCCTAAGGGACCACTCGGTGGCCTCCACCAGCACCCTGTCTGGCTGGCTCTCCCGCTGACTGTCCATCTTCCCTCCTGTCCCCTGTGGGCTGGTGACGGACCTGCTGTCTGTGTCAGGCTGCTCAGCCTAGGCTGTCCTCCTCTCTCTGTCCATGAGAGCCCTGCTGGGGTCTCCTGACGGCCGTGGGGCTCCATCCTCTGGGCTGCTAAAGGGAAGAGCTTACATGTGCAGGTGGCCGCAGGCACCCCAACCCTCCACAGAGATGGCTTCAGCCTGGAATTGAAGACAGACCCAGCCCAGGGTGATCTCTCCTCGGCTGGCCCTGGCCCAGGCCCACGGCCCCACACTTGCTCCCGCTGAGGGGCTGCACGTCATGCGGCGCTGGAGTCTGGGCAGAGGGAGCCACCCAGGTCCAGCTGCTCTCTGCACACGGTCGGCTCTCCCCGAGCGGATGGGAAATGGGGCCCAGCACACCAGGGAAGGGCCAGGAAGGGGAATTCTGTTCCCCCTTGTCCATTTTGCCTTGTGAGGGGCAGCCTGGGGTGAATTGAAAGCTGTGAGCAACTTTTGCTCCCTGGGACCTTGGACACATTTTCTATCAGGAAAAAAAAATGTGCCATTGATTTATCTGCCTTCTCCCTGCCCAGCCTCCACATTTATAGAGCAGCTGTATTAGGTGGGACCTGTCTGATTGCAGACAGAACTTGTTCAACCTAGTTTAAGAGGAATAAAGAGGTCGCAGTGGTGGCGTGCTGAGGCTAACCCAGGCAGGTGGCCACCGCATGGGATCGTGCCAGGACTACCCGCTCCTTCTCAGCCTTGTCACCTCCCCGCTCCAGATCCCCGCCCCACTCCCATTTCTGGCCTCCGGTGGTGTTTCCTTGGAGCTCTTTGTGGGTGGTCTTTCTGGTGGCTCCAGCAATTCCAGGGCCAGCCCGGGTGGTCATTGCTCCCTCCTGGCTGGCCGCTCCCTTGTCGTGGCTGCACTTTCCAGTCATAAGAAAGCCGCCGAGGGCTGGTCACACACCCACTCAGGAGGACTGGGAAGGTTGGGTGGTCGCACATCCACTTGGGAGCCCAGGAGCAGTAAGGAAGGTCGGGTTTCATGGATGAAAGTGACAGGAGTGCTGGCCAGGTCCCGCCCACTCCTGCTCAGAGGCTGCTGACCATGGGAGTGGCCATGGTCACATGCAGGGAGGGCCAGACTTCCTTCCTTCCTGATGAATCCAGATGAGGTCCTGTCCATCAGATGAGGCTTCCTTCAGCCTGGCTGTGTTCACCCTGAGCTAGGAGGGTGTGGGAGGGGCACAGACTGATAAGACGCAGCTAGCTGGCAGCAGCGCTGTCCCATAGAAATGCAATGCTTGCATGAGTTTATGTTTCCAGGAGCCACCCTAAAAAAGTAAAAGGAAACAGATACAACTCATTTCAATAATGTATTTTATTTAACCTACTACATCCAAAGTATCATTTCACATTTCAACCCATCAGTTTCAATATTTATCAACATAAACAATGGTTAATGGGCAGCTTTTCCCTTCCTGCTGAGTGTGGGCCTCCTAGCACAGTGCATCTCTGTTGGCACAAGCAGGTTTCCAGGGCTCCATGGCCATGTGTGGCCATGACCTCCAGCCACAGCTGGGCCGCTGTGAATCTGCAACAGGATGAGGGGCAGGCGGGTGGTCCTGCTGGTCTTGGCCTGCTTGAGAACTGGCTGTCCACAGTCTAGACCCCTCCCCATAGCCTCCAACCCCCTTGGCTGGTGATATGGTTTGGCTGTGTCTCTACCCAAATCTCGTCTTGAATTGTAACTCCCAGAATTCCCATGTGTTGTGGGAGGGATCCAGTGGGAGGTAATTGAATGATGGGGCAGGTCTTTCCTGCGCTGTTCTCATGATAGTGAATAAATCTCACACAATCTATTGGTTTTATCAAGAAGAGTTTTCCTGCACAAGCTCTCTCTTTACCTTCTACCATCCATGTAAGACATGACTTGATCCTCCTTGCTTTCTGCCATGATTGTGAGGCCTCCCCAGCCATGTGGAACCGTAAGTCCGTTAAACCTCTTTTTCTTTTCAGTCTCAAGTATGTCTTTATCAGCAGCATGAAAACCGACTAATCCAGCTGGTTCGTGGGGGCCATGGGCCCTGCAGTCATAGAAGCAGACAGGGCTCCCTGTAGCCTGGCCCTGGCTTGAGCACCCACACATCTGCTGCATTTCAGCCAAGCAGGTCCCCCTGTCTGCCCGCCATACTGAGCACCTGCCGTGCCTGCACACTGCCCACAGTTGGGGGTGGGGGTTCTATATGCCTTGGCTGACCTTGGATGGTAAGAGCATCGAAGGGCATGGAGACTTGAGGGTGCAGAGCTCAACCGCTGGGATGGCTCTACCTCAGGGACGCTCACTAGTTGAAACCCCATGGAACAGAGGGCACATGCCTGACTCTGCACCCAGCTCAGGCTGTCCTCCCATGTCACCTGTTCTTTGAGTATCTCACAGCCAAACGCCTGGTGAGGCAATGGCTGTGCAGTGCCCTCCCCAGGGTTTCTGTGCATGCACCCTTCCTCCCCAGCTCAGCACCATGCAGCCCTGGGTCCTGTGGGTGCATTTCCCCTCAGTCCTCCCTGCAAGGGTGGGTTGCTGTCCCTCTGGGCAGCTGTCCTCACCCCACACTGCAAAGCACCCTGCATGGACAGCCCCCACCACACCATCCCTCCCGGAACCACCAGTGCACATGGCTCTGCCAGGGACAAGGGAGAAGTGAAGCAAAGATGTGGAAAAGCTGGAAGTCGGAGAGCGTCCATTACTGCTGGTGGCCGGCACTGTCTGTCCCCGCCACGTGAGCACCTTTCACATGGGCACACCATCCTTGGGGTTTCATAGTGACATTTCTCTCTCTATCCACCCACGATCCACACACAGACACATACATATACATTGCATAGACCTGTATATAAAAATTGCATGTCTAAATCACACACACACACACACACACACACACACACACACACACACACACACGTATATACATATTTCTATTTTCATTATCTAAGCCTCTCTTTTCCAAGCCTGAGACTTTTCTTCTGTGTAACTAACTAAGGGTCTGTTTAAGTGTTTTGTCAAACTTAAGATCATTCTCTTTCTAGAAAATTCTGCTAGTAGAAATTCTCCTTTCTACTGTACCCACTCTGGTACCACAGAAATAAATACATCAAGTTTCCGACTAAATTGCATGTTTGAGTTTCCTTCAAGCATAACAGGAGTTGTTGCTGTGGCCTGGAGCAGTCACATGGACTGGAGCTTGACACTGAAGCTCCACGAGGGAGAGGCAGTCTTGGCATGAGGCCTGGCACCCGGCAGGGATGGGATGAAGAGCTGCAAAAAGAATGAGTGAATGCATGAATGAGGGAATGAGTGAATGTGTGAATGAGGGAATGAGGGAATCCATGGATGAGGGAATGAGGGAATCCATGGATGAGGGAATGAGGGAATCCATGGATGAGGGAATGAGGGAATCCATGGATGAGGGAATGAGGGAATGCATGGGTGAGGGAATGAGGGAATCCATGAATGAGGGAATGAGGGAATGCATGGATGAAGGAATGAGGGAATGCATGGGTGAGGGAATGGGGGAATCCATGGGTGAGGGAATGAGGGAATCCATGGGTGAGGAAATGAGGGAATGCATGGGTGAGGGAATGAGGGAATGCATGGGTGAGGGAATGAGGGAATCCAGGGGTGAGGGAATGCATGGGTGAGGAAATGAGGGAATGCATGGGTGAGGGAATGAGGGAATGCATAGGTGAGGGAATGAGGGAATCCATGGGTGAGGGAATGAGGGAATCCATGGGTGAGGGAATGAGGGAATCCATGGGTGAGGGAATGAGGGAATCCATGAATGAGGGAATGAAGGAATGCATGGATGAGGGAATGAGGGAATGCATGGGTGAGGGAATGAGGGAATCCAGGGGTGAGGGAATGAGGGAATGCATGGGTGAGGGAATGAGGGAATCCAGGGGTGAGGGAATGAGGGAATGCATGGGTGAGGGAATGAGGGAATGCATGGGTGAGGGAATGAGGGAATGCATGGGTGAGGGAATGAGGGAATGCATGGGTGAGGGAATGAGGGAATCCGTGGGTGAGGGAATGAGGGAATGCATGGGTGAGGGAATGAGGGAATCCGTGGGTGAGGGAATGAGGGAATCCGTGGGTGAGGGAATGAGGGAATCCGTGGGTGAGGGAATGAGGGAATCCATGGTTGAGGGAATGAGGGATCCATGGATGAGGGAATGAAGGAATCCATGGGTGAGGGAATGAGGGAATGCATGGGTGAGGGAATGAGGGAATTCGTGGATGAGGGAATGAGGGAATCCGTGGGTGAGGGAATGAGGGAATCCATGGATGAGGAAATGAGGGAATGTATGGGTGAGGGAATGAGGGAATCCATGGATGAGGGAATGAGGGAATCCATGGATGAGGGAATGAGGGAATGTATGGGTGAGGGAATGAGGGAATCCGTGGATGAGGGAATGAGGGAATCCATGGATGAGGGAATGAGGGAATCCGTGGATGAGGAATGAGGGAATCCGTGGATGAGGGAATGAGGGAATCCGTGGATGAGGGAATGAGGGAATCTGTGGGTGAGGGAATGAGGGAACGCATGGGTGAGGGAATGAGGGAACGCATGGGTGAGGGAATGAGGGAACGCATGGGTGAGGGAATGAGGGAACGCATGGGTGAGGGAATGAGGGAACGCATGGGTGAGGGAATGAGGGAACGTATGGGTGAGGGAATGAGGGAACGCATGGGTGAGGGAATGAGGGAACGCATGGGTGAGGGAATGAGGGAACGCATGGGTGAGGGAATGAGGGAACGCATGGGTGAGGGAATGAGGGAACGCATGGGTGAGGGAATGAGGGAACGCATGGGTGAGGGAATGAGGGAATCCATGGGTGAGGGAATGAGGGAAGGCATGGGTGAGGAAATGAGGGAACTCATGGGTGAGGGAATGAGGGAACGCATGGGTGAGGGAATGAGGGAACGCATGGGTGAGGGAATGAGGGAATCCATGGGTGAGGGAATGAGGGAATGCATGGGTGAGGGAATGAGGGAATGCATGGGTGAGGGAATGAGGGAATCCATGGGTGAGGAAAGGAGGGAATGCACGGGTGAGGGAATGAGGGAATCCATGAGTGAGGGAATGAGGGAATGCATGGGTGAGGGAATGAGGGAACGCATGGGTGAGGGAATGAGGGAACGCATGGGTGAGGTAATGAGGGAATGTATGGGTGAGGGAATATATGGGTGAGGGAATGAGCGATTCCATGGGTGAGGGAATGAGGGAATCCATGGATGAGGGAATGAGGGAATCCATGGATGAGGGAATGAGGGAATCCATGGATGAGGGAATGGGATCCAGAGTGCAGAGGGATGTGGAGCAGGGCAGGAGGGCAGAAGTGAGATTGTACGCATGCAGTTTTAGAGTGGCAGCTGCCGCCATCCACAGTCGCGGTCTACCAGGCCCCTGCATGCGGATGGTGCTCAGAGCACGCGAAATCTCCCCTTCATTTCCACACTTCCTTCACAGCCTTAGAAATCCTGCTGCTGCCTCGATGCCTCCCTGCTACGGACTCTTCTTGTGGGTTTTTTCCATCAGGTGATTAGTGGGTTGTTTTCTGGGTTGAATTGTATTTTGCCGCTACTGCCTTATATTTGCAGCCTCTCCAGAGCGTTAATTCATTATTCATGCAGTTTATGGGTGAACTTAAAATTAAATGAACGAATTTCAACTGTTCACCTCAGTCAGAAACTTTACAATGACAAGCAGAAATTGGAATGGCTGGTCCATGTGGGGCTGGCCCGGCTCTCCCTGGCCTGCATGCATGGGCCGGACTGCAACTTGCTCTGCCCCACCGGGTCCAGTCCTGCCTTGGGGAACCTGCAAGTAATGCTTGCTTATTCCCCTCTTCCACAGTGGTTTTAATGGTTGCAGTAAGTTCCTCATTCTGACTCTAATATTTTGGCCCAGGATATAGAAGCCCAATGAATCCAAAGTACTCCAGAAAGCGAGGACGGCAGGAACCACAGCTGACATCGTGGAATTCAGGCCACATGTCAGGCACTGGGCCACGCAAAATGTGCACTCCCTCATTGGGTTCTCACCACACTGTGGGGCAGGTGATGCTCACCCCTTGTGATGGATGAGGAAACTGAGGCACAGAGGGAGGAAGGAACTGGCTGTGGTTTGCACAGCTGGCACAGTCAGATCCAAACCAGGAAGTCTGATGTCAGAATCTTCTCTTCCAAGACGCTGATCTTGTTGGCATTTACATTGATCTGTGGTTTGTACTGTATGTGGACACCCAGAGCCTGTCCTCCTTTGAAATAGCTGGGATGTGACTATCGATGGGCCAGTGCTTGAACCCTCACTCGCCAGGAGTCTGAAGCAATGGCAGGAAGCTGTGGGGATGTGAGATCCTGGCCATGCTGCTTGAGGCCTGCTCTGCTCAGAGGATGACACCCACCTTAGTGCCACAGGGTCTCCATCTCTGAAACAGAGCCAACCTCAGCACCACCTTTGTGGAGTTGTGGTGAAGAGTACGTGGGTCTGTGTGGCTATCACTCTAATGACCAGGCTGGCTCTTTCTGGGGGTACATGGTGGGTTGGATGGGGAGGAGGTGAGGCAGCCTCTGGCTGACAGAGGCGAGGGCTGTAATATCTTTTGTGGACTGTTTAACTGATGGCCACAGTATAGAAATGTTGGTGCTAAAAATTTTAATTTCAAATGAAACCATATGAAAAATAGCTTCTCAAAACTTATACCTCTGTGGCTACTCTTAGTAAGACAGTGTGGTTTTATTAGTTTATGAGGCCATTTTCAATAGTGTTGTAAAGACCAATGTTGATCCGAACAAACTGGGATGGCCAGTTACATTGTGACTCCCGGGTCGATATCCTTTATCTCTGGACTTCCTCCTGTGGTGGAATTTCAGAGAACTGCCAGATGCTGCCCGTTGGGGATCAGGAAGCCGGGTCCAGGAGGACTAGAGAAAGCTGGCTGCACACGATGGGACCCAGGGCCTAAGGAACAGAAAAGGAGGAGCAGAAACTCTGGTAGAGACCACAGGAGAAGAGGGAGGGAGGGCAGCTGCAGAGATGCTGGGAGAAGGGCTGGGATGAAACTGCGGAGGGGTCAAGGGTCACTGTATGGAACACCAGAGCGCCTTCAGGAAGCAAAGCCGTGCTGAAAGGGAGAGGAAGCATCTGCTGGGTGACATGCTGCTGCCCCTGCCTGCACCGTGTGGGTTTAGATGTGAAACAGGTGCAGGGGTTTGGGAGAGCGGCACCGCCTGGCTCTGAGTTTCCACATTCATAGCAGGGGGACGGGAATCATGCCATGGAGTCTCGGGTTGGCAGGGACTTGGAGGTCTGTTTGTGTGCTTTTATCTGATCCCTTCAGCATCACCCCTGCCAAGTGGACTTTGACCATCAATGATGAAGTCCTGGTTACCGCTTGCATCAGACCATTCCATGCATGGATCCCTTTTTACCTGTGAGAAGATTCTTCTATCTCTGAATGGATGCTAAAGAGACACAATATTCTTGTCTCCTGGGAGGGGAACTGGATGGATGGGGATTTTACAAAAATGCTCTTTGTATTCTTTGAATTTTGAAATGTCAGGACATTATCAATAAAGACATGACAGTAAAATTTAGGGGGAAATGTTGCATTAAAAACTGCATGTTTCAGCCGGGTGTGGGGGCTCACACCTGTAATCCCAGCACTTTGGGAGGCCAAGGCTGGAGGATTGCCTGAGGCCAGGAGTTCGAGACCAGCCTGGCCAATATGGTGAAACCCCATCTTTACTAAAAATATATAAATTAGTGGGGCGTGGTGTCGGGCGCTTGTAATCCCAGCTTCTCAGGAGGCTGAGACAGGAGAATCACTTGAACCAGGGAGGTGGAGGTTGCAGTGAGCTGAGATCTTGCCATTGCACTCCAGTCTGGGATACAGATCGAGACTCCATCTCAAAAAACAAAACAAAACAAAACAAAACACCCTGCATGTTTCCACGCCAGCGCTCAAGTTCTGATCCTCAGGTCCACACAGGCCTTGCCCTCTGCCCTCAGTCCCTCCCTAGTTCCAGGAAGAGAGCAGCAGAGCCACTCATAACTCTTTCTTAGGTGGGAAAATCCCTTGTAAACATAGACTTCAGTCCCTTATCAATCCCAGACATACTCCCCTAGTTGCCTTTTATGGGTGGCTAAAAAAGTAGGCTCTAGTACTAAAAATAGGAGACCTCCTCTCATAGGGCCGGGGGAAGGGAGGCCGCAGCTGTCCTTGTCTGTGAACCTTGTTCCAAGTAAGACAAACCAAGAGTCAGGCGCATGCACCAGTGAGGCTGTAGGTTGATCCTGGGTTCAGGCCACACCTCAAGTCTTTCTTACGTTTGTTGCTATTAATTTTGCCTTCTTCATCCTACGATTATCTATTTTTGGAATTAATACTGCATTTTAGTCAGTTTCTCTTAAATTTTATCTCATCATTCATCCTGTCAAGATGATCAGTTCCTTAAAAGCAGAGACAATACTTAACTCGCCTTTTTCTCCCTGGAAGGAAGCCTTGCAAGTATCAGAAATTACTCATGGAAAGTATAAGAAGCAGTGCCGAATAATCACTTGTGAACCTCACTTGATTTTTGTTGACTTAGAAAGGGTGTAGACTTCGAAGACCACTTGGTATTTTAAATGAAGTGATTCATCTGTAGCTAAAGACTGACTTCTGCCCCTAGCTCTGCTGGTTTCTCCTGGGTGGCCTGGGGAAGTGAGCTCAGCTGCCCTTCCCTGAGCAAAGGGATTGTCTCGTGGCCTGTGAGGTTCCTCCCACCAGCAGTTATCTGTGTGCTGTGGTTCTGGGTCCCGTTTCTCCAGCACAGATGAGACCCCTGTGGCCGTGTGCTCCTGCCTGCCTGCTGCACTCGGAGTCCCGCTCACCTGGTCAGAGATCCTACAGAGCAGGGCACTGTCTGGAAATGAGCCCCAAATTCATGGTTTGTCCGATGGCCACAGAGCAACCCCTCCCTTATGAATGCTTCTGTGGATTTTCAGGCCTAAAAGTAAGCATTAAAATTCATGCAGAAAAAGAAAACATCCAGGGCTATCATTGGCCATTTACATTTTGGATTTTCTAAGTTAAGTCCTTAGCAAAGTAATATTTTGGTGATTTTTTTTAAAGAAAAGAAAGATAATACATACACACGTGTATCTATGCAGCCCACCCTGCAGGCTGCTGGGCTGCAGACGGGTACTGGGGAGGAGAGAACACTGGCTATTAAATCAAGTTCAGAGTTTGATGAATGTCTTAGGCTGGACATTCGCATGTCTGAATTGAGACAGTGTTGTGATTTAAAGCTATGGTAGGACCATCTATTACCTAGGAGGGAATAGAGAATTCATGAGCCTGTCTGAGTTTTCATCAGGAGCAGGAGACGATGATCTCTACTGCATAGTGTTTAAAGGAACAGCAGGATACCAAAGCCAAAGTTTTAATTGTTTCACAAATTCTTGTTAAACGTATTGTTTACGCATCTACTATATGCTAGACTATGATATATCTACCAAGAAACATCCCTACTCTTCATAGTAACTGTCTTAGTCTATTTCCTGTTGCTATAACTGAATATCTGAGACTGGGCAATTTATAAAGTAAAGAAATTTATTTCTTAACAGTTCTAGAGGTTGTGAAGTCCCAGGTCAAGGGACCACATCTGGTGAGAGCCATTGCGTGGGTGGGGACTCTCTACAAAGCCCTGAGGTGGCACAGGGCATCGCGTGGTGAGAAAGCCCCCGAGAGAATCAACCTGACTTTCATAACAGACCTACTCTCATGATAACAAACCCACTCTTGGGATAAGACACTAATCCATTAACCCCTTTCACCCATAAATGCATGAGTAGATTAATCCATTTATGTGGGTGGAGCCTTCATGACCCAATCACCTTCCAAAAGCCCTACCTCTCAAGATGGCTGCATTGGGGATCAAATTTCAACATGAGTTTCAGAGGAGACAAATATTTAAACCAGAGCCATAACTTATAAAGAAGCTATTATAATTTTCATTTCTGCAAATGAAAATGAAGCCCCAAAAGATTGTTTCTTTCACTAAAAAGGAAGCTGATACTTATTGAGTACCTACCGTTTGCTACTTGGAACCCCAGAATATATGTGGGTGACATGAAAATGCTATGGAGAAAAGACTATGCCAAGAGATTGGCCTTAGTTGTTATAGCAAAAAAGAATCTAAGATTTGGGATACGGGGTTATGAAAAGAACAAGTTTCTTTTTAAAACTATAATATCCAGGCTGAAAATAAAAAGCATTTATTTCAGATAAATTTAGGAGAAACTGAGCAACAGATTGTTCTTTATGTATATGTATTATATCATTGTTGTGTTTTTCTGATTTAAAACTAATATAATTTTGTTGGAAAATGAGCAAAGCGGAGAAGTTGACTTCCAGACATGTTGGAATAACTGGTACTGGACTTGTCCTTCCACAGTAAACAATGAAAAAACTTGAAAAAATATACGTTACAGCTGTTTTCAGACAGTAGGCAACAGGCAGCACAGGACTGTGGTCGATTCGGGAATAAAAATGAGGCGAGCATTAAGATTACTCTGGCTTTCTTAGATTGTGCCCCAGAGAGGAGAAGCCCAAGCAGAACATGGTGGTCTTGTTTAGTTGAGAAGACAGAGATGGGAATTGGTGAGGTTGGGGTGCCTGTAATTTTCAGAGAAGAGAGTAGGGAGCAATGAAAGAAAGAATCCTAGAAATCTACATAAGAATACCGTTGAGCCTGTTGTTGAACGCTAACTGTGCATGAGTAGGATGAATTTTTACCAGATGTGGCAAAGAACTAGCAGAAAGCTATGAAGTAAAAACTTCCCCGGAATCACACATTTGATTCCAGTCAAGCCAGAGTAAAAAGACCTCATTGAAAAACCTGAGACATTCACTAAAGATTTTTAAAGGGATCACCCCTTAGGAGAGAAGCTAAATTACACTTAGAAAAAAAGTGACCCTAAACCTTCCCTAGTACACCTTAAAAACTAGCCTCAAAAGAATAGATCTGGTAAGCAAGTTACTCAAATACTTACCAAACACAATACAACAACCTTCAAAAGAGGGCAATGAAATACAGATGCTTAACAACATACCACTGTAATGTCCAGCATCCAATAAAAAATTACTAGACATGAAGAAGCTGGAAAATGAGCCATAGCCAGGAGAAAAGTTAGTCAATACATACCTACCCAGAAATGAAAGAGAGAATGGAATTAGCAGGCAACAACTTTACAGACTATTACAAATATGCTTAAAGATTTGTTTTTAGTTTTGAACATAATAAGAAAAAGAATGATTATATAAAGAACCAAATAGAATTTTTAGAGTTATAAAATACATTATCTGAATGGAACAAGTCACTGGATGGGCTTCATAGGAGACTAAGCACTGCAGAAACAAAGATCATTCAATTTGAAGACATATTGATAGAATCTATTTAAAATGAAGCATCATTGGAAAAAAGATTTAAGAAAACGAACAGGGCCTCAGTGACCTAAGGAAAAATATCAGGCTAATATAAATAATTACATACTGTTTATGAAATTGGAGTCCCAGAGACAGGGCAGAATAATTTTTGAATGACCTCAAAATTTCCAAATTAATCAGTACTAGAAACCCTCAAGTCCAAGAAGTTCAAAATACCCAAACAGTAAAAAAACCCAAACCATAACAGAGCACATCACAATCAAATTGCTTCCTGGTTCATCTGTCCCTCACTGACATCTGTTAGAGTACGTAGTCAGGCATGAGCAGGGCAGGAGAGGGACTCCCAACCAGGAACTTCAGGCAGCCATCAGGGGATGGTCAGGTGGTTGCTAACTGCCTCTCTAAAATAATTGCTTGCAGCCAGTGCCAGAGAAAGGCAGTCTCCCTACAGATAGAAAAAACCTGAAGCTGGTGATCAGCAGCTTCCCAATAAGATCTTGGAGTTGGGCAAGTGGGTTCAAGCATGCACACTAAGAGGCAAAATGGCAGAGTTTAACTGGTATATGACGTTCCTGTAGGAGCACTTGACTGATAAGGGAAGAACGCTTCAAATGAGCATGCTCACAACGCCAGTAAACAGGTGCAGGGTGACCTCCCAAGCGCTAGCAGGCCACTGCGCATGCGGACAGCCCACCCCAAGGGAAGAACCAAGGAAGAAGGGAGGCAAGACGCCGGAAGCGTGCCAATGTATAAAACCCGAAGTCAGAGGCCAAACCCCGCACTGTCCTTCAAGATGCCTGCTTGGCCCTCTTCCAAGTGTACTTTTCTTTCTTTCCATTCCTGTTCTAAAGCTTTGTAATAAACTTCCACTCCTCCTGCTCCAAAACTTGCCTCTGTCTCTTCTTCTGCCTTAGGCCCCTCAATCGAATTCTTTCTTCTGAGGAGGCAAGAATCGAGGTTGCTGCAGACCTGTGCTGACCCACCCTCGGTAACACATCCACTCATCCCGCAGGTGCAGCCGAGTCTCCTGGCGGAGTTTTAAGAGCACACACACAACACAACCCCACACACACCATACACACCACCCTCTCACACACCACACACAGAGCACACACACACCACTCACACAACACAACCTCACACACACCACACACACACTACACACCATACACCAACACACCACTTCAAACACACACACGCATCATCCACCCCCCAACACACACTGTACACATACCACACACACACCACATGCACACAATACCCATACGCACCACACACATACCACACACAGACAAAACACACACTCACCATACACACGCCACATGCACACCACTCGCACACCCTACACATCACTCACACACACACCAAACACTTACACCCTGATGTTAGAGGTTGATTCTATCCTGAACTTTGAATTCAAAATTGTAAAAATATTTCTTTCTGAATTCCAACAACAGTTTACCCATTGGTGACTTTTCACAGTTTACCCATTGGTGATTTTTCCCAGTTTACCCATTGGTGACTTTTCCCATTATTGAGTGGAGAGTAGGATTTTAGCTGTGGCCAAGTGGAGCATCTGTGAGAGATCTTGGATTCAATGATGGCTTTGCTGGCAGCACGGAGCAGGTTCCCCTGAAAGTGGTGACAACGCATCCCACTCCTCCCCTTTCGGGCAAACAAGAGCAGGGCTTCATGCCAGAAAGACCCCTGCTCAGACAACGCATGCAGCCAAACAGAAACTATGCATTGTGTCGTCTCCAAACCATGCAAGCCACGCTGCAGCCTGGTGGTGAGGCCTCAGCACTCGGCCTCCTGTGGCCCCGGGAAGGACGTGAGGACACATTTCCATTTCAAGTAGGTGCAGATGTTTCTTAAGTTTGACAAGTGCTGCTCTAGTCCATAGTTGAGCACATTTTTGTGCTATAGCCTTTCAGTAAGGTAGAAGAATTGTGGTTTCCTTATCACCAGCTATGATTGGGAGCATGCACGCTTAGGGGTTCGGCCCCTCTCAGGCCCGGGGGTTGCAAGAAGGCTGTCAGGGAGCCTCAGCCCACTGCTCTGGTGGCCGTGGGAGCTGTGGCTGGAGACAGGCTCGGGTGGCAGAGTCACCTCACCTTGTCCTGGCCGCTGCCCACAGACTGGCGCCTGGGTGTTCTCTGCTGCACAGGCCGCCCCACCAGGGAGCAGTGGAGCCAACAGTCACCTCCCTGAAATGTGGAACTGGGGACCGGACAGGGTTGATTCTGCTGCTTTGGGTGACATATCTGTAACGGGAAGAACTCGGGGGTTCTTGGGGGCCCTCTCCACCCCAGAGCTGGGAGAGAGCCAGACTCTTGGGGCTGGACACAGGGGACAGCGTGAGGCAGATCCCGTGGGTTCTCCAACCCTGATCCCAGCAAACCTCCTATCTGGCCTTGGGATCCATCAGATTCCCTAATATTCTCCCAATAAATGCAACACCTCTTCCTTCCCCAGGCAGGTCCAGTGGTTTCACGTTACCGGCAACCACCAGGGCAATGCAAGCTTGGGAGGAGCCAAGCCAGCTCAAAAGCCCCGAGGATGAGCTAGGCCAGTCCAGGGGTCACGATCTGCTGGGCCGTGGTTCAGTGCCCTCCCCTCCTCTAGGAATAGAACGAGAGAGAGACAGAGAGACAGAGACAGAGAGAGAGACAGAGACAGAATCAGAGACAAAGAAAGTGAGAGACAGAGACAGAGAAAGAGATAGAGAGACAGAGACAGAGACAGTCAGAGACAGAGAAAGAGAGGGAGATAGAGAGACAGAGACAGAGAAAGAGAGAGAGAGGGAGAGAGATAGAGAGAGAGACAGAGACAGAGAGTTAGAGACAGAGAAAGAGAGAGAGGGAGAGAGATAGAGAGACAGAGACAGAGAGAGTCAGAGACAGAGAAAGAGAGAGAGAGAGAGGGACAGAGACAGAGAGAGAGACAGAGACAGAGAGCGCGATTGAAAGACGGAGAGAGGAGGAAACCTCAAGTCGTCCCTGGGCTGAGACCAGACCCACCCTGGGGTTCCCAGTTGCAAGAACTTTGCACACAAGCTGGCTCATGTGGTCTTGGGCTTGCCATCAAGAGGGTTCTATGCACTGAGCGTCCTCCTTCTGGCAGCCCCCTGAGACGCCATGTGGCTTGGGCACAGCATGGGACAGTGGGTGTGGGACAGTTCTTGGCCACACGGGCTCCAGCACCAGCACGGCCCCCTCCTTGGGTGCCAGCCTCGGGTTTGGATCCAGGAGACAGGTTCGGCAAGGCTCTGCAGGACCTACAGCTGTGCCGTAGTGGGCCCAGGAGGGAGCACCGATTTTGCAAAGGCAAGAAAGGCTCAGGCGCAGCTGCAGGATCGGGAGCAGCCCTACTGTGTGCCGTCCACCTGTGGGCCTTCCACGTGTGCGCAGGAGGGCTGCAAAGCCGAGTGTGCGTGAAGGCTGAGAAAGGCCGAGTGTGCATGAAGGCTGAGAAAGGCCGAGTGTGCGTGAAGGCTGAGAAAGGCCGAGTGTGCGTGAAGGCTGAGAAAGACCGTGTGTGGAAAGAAGCCAGAGTGCTCTGTGCAATGCGGTCCCAAGCACAGGCGACCGAGGGGGCCTCCCGGGCCAGAGCAGTGTGGAGCACCCCCACCACAGCACCTGCTTCCTGGGAGCCCTTGCTCAAGGGGGCCTCCTGTCCCCCCTTGTCCCGGTCCCCAGAGCTGTTCTGGGCTCCTGTCAGCCCCGTGTCTGCTACCATCTCTGTGGCCTCGCCCTTTGCCTCGGCCTGGCGGGAACAGAGCAGGCCCCTGGGTGGCCACCAGCTCCTATTATCAGTAGGGCCCCCTCCACCCTCCACGCAGTCCTCAGGTGCCCCGCACTGGCCAGAGGCTCTCGCCCCAGCTGGTCCTGGGGGACCCTCGAGGGGAGCGTGCCCGGGGGCTGGCACGGAGCCCGTCTCTCCCAGAGGCCTCTGCCTCTCACCAGCGTGGGCACCCCACAGGCCCTGGCTTCCTTCTTTGCCTCTTGCTGGCCGGGAGGAGAGGGTGGTGGAGGGGCTGGTAACCCACATCTCACCCCTCACTTCGGGGTCACCCCAGCTGCGTCTTTGTCAGCTTGGGGTGGAAAATGGAAGGGACTTTGTGAACACAGGGCCCTTGGAGGCTGACGGCCACGTGTCTGGAGCAAGGCCGGGGCATCCGGGGCCTGGGGCGCACAGGCCGTCCCACCATGGTGCAGGCCCCATGGGGAAGCTGCAGCCCTGCCCGTGTGCAACGCAGGGAGGAGACGTGGGGCTGGTCCGCCCCAGTGGCGTTTGAAGCAGGAAGCTCAGTATGGACTCAAGTTGTTGTTTATTATTACAAGAACAAACTTATTTTCTGAGAGATGGCTCTTAAGCAGGCAGTATGCTGAGGGCTTTACTATTTAATTTTTAGAGCCGTCTCATGAGGCAGGAACTATTTTTATATTTACGAAAGAGAGGGTTAAGGAACCTGTCCAGAGTGGGAGGGGACATCCCCTCGGTACGTGTGCAGGAGAGCCAAGGGGGCACCCTGGGGGACGGCGCAGAGCGGGAGGAGACCCAGGCACACAGTGGTGGAGATGGCTGGAGCCAGGCCAGGCTCTGAGGAGGCCCGGAGACAGGCGCGAGGCCAGGGCTGCTGCGGGAGCCACGCCAAGGACAGGGTGTGTATGGGGAGGCGGCCGTGCTCTGGACGACCCTTTAGAGTTGGCTCCAAAGCTCGCCCGCAAAGCTGTTTTGCCCTTTGAAGAGAAATAAGATCACTTAAGATTTCTGTTTGTTTTTTTTTAACAGAAAAAGAAAATAAATACAAATATTATTATTCCTATTATTTGCAGGAATGTGAGACCAGCCCGGTTCAACATTTGGAGTTTATTTGAGCAGAGACAACCTCTTGAAGATGGAGAATCCCTCTTTTTTTTAAAAGCAGTTGCTGAATTTTAGAAACACATAATGTGTGTTCTCTCTACATCCAATATAGTCAAAGGACGGCTTAGTGAGGACCCCTTGTCACACCCAGGGGAACCCAGAGAAGGCAGAATGTCTCAGCTTCCTGTCCCACAGCCAGGGGTTCTCAAACATTTGTCTGTGGACAGCGGCACTTGTGCCCGTGCAGGGCATGGGGGACAGAGATTGGTTGATCTGCGTGTCATCACCCTCATGGATCAGCACCGTCCCTCTCCAGCGACCTTTCTATCACCATCCATTCATTCGCTTATTTATTCATTCATTCTCTCATTTCACAAACACCCCATGAGCTCTCATCACGGTCAGTGGGACAGAGGTGGTCCCTGACTTTGGGGAGATGGTATCCCAGTGGCCCTTCCATTCCATCCAAGCCCTTTCTTTCCACGGAAGCACAGACACCCCTCTCTTACCTGCACTCTTTTCTTTAGGCAACTAAGCCTCAACATTTGAATCTATCTAAAAATAAAGAAGAAGAAATGGCATTTTATTAGAGATTTTTTAAAGATAAAAAGTAATCAAGCCTCTGAAGAAAAGACCATCCATCTCCCTGTGGCCTCGCCAGCCATCACGAAATGCTGTAATTTGGGGAGAGAAGATGCATTATACTGCATCTTAATATTAGAAAAACCCGCAGTCTTTGACTCAGCAGTCCCACTTTTAGGTTTCTATACTGCAGAATAAAAGCGTGAGTACATAGACACTAGAATACAAAGGTTTTCATTTTCAGAATTATAACACAAAAACGGAATTGACACGGATGTTCCTCAACAGCGGCAGAGGTGAAAAAATTATTGTAAGGTCCACTGTGGAATCTTTTGCATCTGTGAAAAGTAATGAATCAGTGACATCCAAATTAATATGGAGAGATGTTCATTATTCAGTGAAATAAAACAAGCTGCTGAGTAACATGTACTGTAGCATTTCATTTTTTTTTTTGTAAAAAGAACAATAATGGCACCCTGTACATCTGAGCAAAGATTAACCACGGAGGCTGCACCTCAGATTGGAAACATCGGTCACTACAGAGCTGGGATGTGAAGAAGGTTAGGAGGGACATTCCAAACGATTTTAGCACACAGACCTCTTTTTTTTTTTTTTTTTTTTTTTAACTTGTTCCAACCAACATGTATCACTTTCAAAAGGAAAAAAGAAAAGAAAAAAATCCAATGATTACCAGAAGTCAGTCACAATAGTAACAAGACAGAAAAAGACTCAAAGCACAGCCGCTCGTGGGACGTTTCAGTGGATGAGAGAGTCCCTGGCATGTTCTGTGCCGGGAGCTGGCAAATTTGCTGCATAATGGGCCGGAGAGCAGGCGTTCTGGGCTCTGTGGGCCACGTGGTCTCTGCCATACCACGAGAGCTGCCCTGTGTGATAGACCCATGAGCACAGCACGTGACAGGCAGTGGGGGCTGGGTTCAAATGAAACTATTTCTGGACACCAGAATTTAAATTTGGTATAATTTTTGTGTGTCACAAGATGCTATTTTTAAAAATTTTTTTCAATCTTTTAAACATGAGTCTATGGGCCATTCATGTTAGAAAGTCAAACAGAATCAGCACATTTCATTTTAGAAAAATACAACCCTCTCATCCCAATATGGATGGATGAAACCAGGAAAAAATATTTCATTAAGGGAAAAAAGTGCTTAACAAGGCCAGGAAATGCGGGAATAAAGAGATGCGGAATTCTGCACACGATGGGCTGTGTATGTCCCACTTTATAACATAGAAATAAAAACGTTTTTAAAAGTGTGAAAAAAAATTCTCAACTTGTGTCCGTTTAGAAAAACACCATGGGCTGGATGTGGCCGGGGGCTGTGGCTGCTGACCCTGGTTCCAGGGCCGCGTGGGTGAATGTGGGGGGTCCTTGCCCTCAGGAGCAGACAGGCAGTGGGGGGTTCTTGCCCTCAGGAGCAGACAGGCAGTGGCCTGGGGGAAGACAAACTCCTGCGGCCTCTCAGTCTTCATGGGCATCACCTCTGGCTACTCCCAGCCTGGGATTTGTGTCTAAAGCCAGGCTGCCCTGGCATGTGTGAAAGCTGACCAAGCCCAGAGGTTCCTCTCACCGGATGGCCGGCAGGAGGTTTCTGCAGGCCTGATGAGCCGCACAAACCAGGGTCAATTTTCTTGGGTGGGGGTGACTCACCGCCAGCATTCCTGGTTCCTGGACAACAGCAGGTCCACACAGCCACAACTTGGATAAGGACACACTTTCAAAGCAGTGGACTGACAAGCAATGCCAGGAAGAACTGGGCTTCCTTGCCACAATGTTGTATGTGGGGAGAAGAAAGATCCTAGCATCGTTTGAGGTTCAGAAAGATGGCTTGGTGGGCGTGGCAGCAGACTGGGCTGCAGGTGCAGACAACAGGGATGCCTGCAAACCACAGCTGAGCATTGGAAGGCCGCAGCCCTCCTTCCCCGCTAGAAGCAGGAGTCATGGAAAACTGACACAGCTGAAAGCCAAGTGCTTTCCTGGGCAGGCACCTGACCTGACTTTATTCAGACCCATGCTCTCTGATAACAGAGGGTCGAAAAATCATTCTTTTGCTCAGGACGTGTATTTTGCACAAATATCACTTTAAATAAATTTTTTACAACCTTTAATAGATCTCTGTTGACCCCACTCAAATTAAACATTATTAAAGATAAAGACAGCATTTGGGCCTTAACACGTGCCAGGCCACCAGGGACCAACAGGGAAGAAATGATCCACAAAAGCTACAAATGCCACAGAATCCACCAAAGCCACAGAAGCCACGAAAGCCACAAAAGCCTACCATCTGCTGCAGATGGAATCTGAAGTCACGTGGGCTTCGGAGGCACAGCTGTTTCCTGGCAATGCTGTTTCCTCAGGCGGTGGCCACATTCTTAAGGAAAACGTAGGCCTGCTTTCTCCCAAATCTACAGCTGCAGGCAACTTTAAGGCATTTTCGTTTGGACCAGAGCATTCTGTCTGTTGGGAACCTGTTTCAGTGAAATTTGTTCAGATTGTAATTTTTTAAACTGAAAAACAGAACAAAAACATAACAAAACAGAACTGCATAACTCAGATCTCATGAGCCATGGACTTGTCCTTTGGTTAAGAACCAGGTACAAGGAGTGACAAGGTGAGGAGGGAAGAGGGAGGAGAAGGGAGGGAGGAGAAATGGGATGAGGAGTAAGGAAGGAGGAGGGATGGGGTGAAGAAGGAGGAGAGATGGGGTGAAGAAGGAGGAGGGATGGGGTGAAGAGGGAGGAGGGAGAGAGACAAGGTGAGAAGGGAGGACAGGTAGTAGGGAGGGATGAAAGGAGAGAGGAAGGAGGAGAGAGGAGGAAGAGTGATGGGGTGAGGAGGGAGGAGGGACTGATTGAGGAGGGAGGAGGGGTGGGGTTGGGAGGGAGGGAGGAGGAAGAGGGATGGGGTAAGGAGGGAGGAGACAGGCAGGAGGAGGGAGGAGAGAGGTCGCATCGCTCCACTGCGCTGCTCATGTCCACCGACTCGGGGACTCCAGCCAGCCAGGCAGCTGCTGGGAAAGCCAGTGTGTCTGCCCTTTCACATGACTCAGAACACATCTGAAAACCAGCCAGCCGGTCTCTGACAGGGCATCAGAAAGTGCCACCTATGGAATCCCAGGTCGCCAGCTGCAGTTTGTCCCTCCGCTGCCAGCGCTTTGCAGTGTCCGTTTTCCCGCTCTCAGACGAGGACATGGTCGGGTCTGCCCCGCAGGCTGGGCGAATCCTCGCCGCCCGGCACACAACGCGTCCTGAGGGCTGTGGGTTCTTCTTGCGGCTTGCTTTGGTGCACCTGGCTAAATATTAACTGGGCTGGCATAGCGGAGAAGGGCTTGCGGTGTTTAATGAAGTGGACATTTATTCCTAAATTGTCAACCGGCTGCCTCCCGTCCTTCTGTTCCTGGCATGCTTGGGAGCTGAAAAGGAGAGCAGCTCTTGAGGTCGCTCCACCGGGCAGGGCTGGGCAGGACAGAGGCCCCGCCTGAAACTGAGCCACCATGAGGCCAGCTCTGGCAGGGGTGCGGGCCAAGGTAAGGGCTGGCCTGACCAGGGCGCCCAGCGGCTGGACCTGAGCCGGGGTCCCTTTCTCACCCATGCTCCATGTCCAGCCAGGGTCAGCAGGGGCTCTGCTCCAGGCAGTCACTCTGGGACCCAGGCTGTGGTGACTCAGTCTGGACTTGCTATTTATGGCATTATTTCTGTCCTGCCAGAGTTCAGTGTGAGCTTAGAAATTAGGGAGAAAGATTCATAGTAGGCAGCTGTTCAGCTCGGTGAGATTTTTCAGACACCTGCTTCCTCAGCTGTGCATCTAGTACCTTGAATCAGCAAATCAGCAACCAGCCTTCCCTATTAGAATCACATCATTCAACAGTTTGCTTTCAGTGGAGTCCATCCCAACTAAAGTAAGTGTTAGACAGGCCAGGTCCAGATGTGGGCCATGCAGACCTCAGGGCCTACAGGGCTGCCACCGGACTCCCGAGACTCCAAAGGATTTGTAAATGATTCCAAGCAACTTGTGCTTGGGGAAAGAAGAGGAGCTGCATGTCACATCTGGGCACCAACATTTAATTTTGGGATCCTTTAGATAGCAGGGAGAGTTGGTAAACTGATTTTTTTTTAAACAGGAAGCATTTGACAATCATTGGCAAACTTGGAGGAAAAGTTTGGGGCACATTGGATATGTCTTTAAAAAAAACCACCCTTTTAAACAGAAACATCTGCTATTCTAGTATTAAAGGCTTTGGAATTTGGGAGCTGGTGAGGGATGCACATGCTCGTGTCACCTCATATTCACACCTTAAGAACCAGAGACGTGACGGATTGCTTGACCTTATGCCCAATTCCAGAAGGCACTCAACATTGGCAGGTGTATTAAGAGAAAAAAAGTCCTCTTCCCATCTCTAGAAAGAAATTATCCGGGCATGCTGGGGCATACCAGCCATCTAGCTGCGTGACAGGTGGAAGCAGGAAGGTGGCTTGAGCCAGGAGTTCAGATCTGTAATAAGCGAGGATTGTGCCACTGCACTGCAGCCTGGGCAAACAAGACCTCTTCTCCAAAGACACGGTCCACTGACCAAAGACCCTCAGAGTGCCTGTGATGTCAGAATTAGTCAGGCACTAAAATTACCCGGCTTTTTTTCACTATTCTCAAGCAGGCGGTGGTGTTTCCACTGGTGCAAAATATGCACAAGGACATAGGAAGCTAAATGTCTTTATTTTATGTATTTATTTATTTTTGGGTTGGAGTCTCACTCAGTCGCCCAGGGTGGAGTGTAGTGGCCCGATCTCGGTTCACTGCAACCTCTGCCTCCCAGGTTCAAGCGATTCTCCTGCCTCAGGCTCCCAAGTAGCTGGGATTACAGGGGCCCACCACTGCACCCAGCTAATTTTTGTATTTTTAGTAGCGATGGGGTTGCACCATGTTGGCCAGGCTGGTCTTGAACTCCTGACCTCACGTGATCCACCCGCCTCGGCCTCCCAAAGTGCTGGGATTCCAGGCATGAGCCACCGCACCTGGCCTGCAGCTAAATGTCTTCAAAGAGTTCTATGTTTTGATTTCTAATGTATTTGTAATTCACCTAACCAATCATCTAGTCTAGTATATTAATGCATTTATGAATTGAAAGAAAGATGACAGTACAAAAAATTAAGCTTTTTGTCTTCTACAATCACCACTGCAGAAGAGAAGCAATGTAGTCAATGGTGTGCTAGATGTTAACGGTTTTCATCTTGAAGTGATACACACTTCTGCTCAAAGCACATCACACGGCCACATCAAACCTCATGAAGGGTGAAGTGCAGTCTCACGAGGGTGGAAGGAGAAGAAACGTTTGTTAACTGCCCTAATAACTTCCCACCAATTTTGTGAAGAAGAGAAACATGTTTGAAGCTGTCTTAACAAACATATGTAAGAAACATATCTATATCTTTACACTGCATGTCATTTTCATATTCTTTGTAATTATCTGTGTTTTACAGCTTTTTTGTTTTTTTTTTTTGAGACGGAGTCTCACTCTGTCACCCAGGCTGGTGTGCAGTGGCGTGATCTCAGCTCACTTCAAGCTCCGCCTCCCAGGTTCACGCCATTCTCCTGCCTCAGCCTCCCAACTAGCTGGGACTACAGGCCCCCGCCACCACGCCCGGCTAATTTAGATTTTCATAATAAATATTATTTTTATAATCTAAGCAATAGCAAATTAAACAATACATGTTTTTCTAAAGGAACTCACAGAGTGTCATAGACAGGAAGTCGGAGTAGCCAGAAGAAGTTTAGATGAAATCATCTCAAATATCTGTACAGCTGTTCCAACTTACAGCCTGCTGAGTCTTCCCTTAGGAAACCGTGTGCCTGTCAACGTTCCTGTGGGATTTGGCCAGATGTGGAGTGGGGTTCAGGCACGTGGTTCTGGCCTCATCGTGGGGTGTGTCTGGTGAGGCTCTGCCTGACGTCTCCAATCATACTGTTTATTTAAAAAACAGTAATGAGACAAGAAAAGAAACAACTTTGCAAGGTATTTATTTTCAGTTCTGGCGATAGGGAGGAAAGGCTGACGCAGTAGACAGGAATCTCACTCACTGAAATTAGGCCAATCTGAAATCTATGTTTTCTGCCAGGCAGAAAAAAGAAAAGGTGTGATTTTTGTTATTTTTAATTTTTATCTTATTGGGAACAGAGGAAATCATTTCGCCATCCTGTTTTTTTCTAGGAGGTTTATTTAAGTCCCTCTGTTTTCCCCTGTGGTAGAGGTAACGTTGATGAAGACAGCTGGTTGAGAGACTTATTAACGAAGTCATCTGCTTGTATTTGGATGCAGCTCGGCCATGAAGAGTGCTGAGAGAAAAAGAAAAGCAGTTTTCCATGAGATGAGAATGGTGCTAAGACACCGTTTGTTCTGCTGGAAGCCCCAGGGGGATTTTGCCTCTCCCCAGGCTGGCCCCCGTTCAAGCTCACTTTCTGACTAACGAGACTGTCCGACAGGCCTGCAGATGAGCTCCTGTGATTCCCACCTTGTCTCTGCAATAGAAACTCCAGAGTGTCAAACTCACTTTGTGGAGCTGTGCTGTTCTCCTCTTTCATTTTCCTGTGTAAGGTGTGACCTGGGAAAGCCTTGGAAAATCTAGCTCAGCCCAAGGGGGGATCCTTAAAGGCAAATGCCCATAAGGGAGCTGACCCAGGAGCCCCTGACAAGCAGTTCCATTGCTCCGCGCAACAGCATCCCCAGCTTGGGCCCGTGGTTCACGCCACCTAACAGGTGGGGTTGAAGCCACGGTGAAAATACTAGTTTCCTAGTTGTGCCATCGCCTCTTGGTGTGAGGACCACACTGCACTGTAAAGGCCAAACATCCCTCTATGTGGAATGCTTTCGCCAGTTTGCTTTTTCAAGCAATGATTATTTTATTATGAGATATTTTAAGCTTGTAGAAAACAATAAAAAGAAAAACTGTCTACATTTTCATTCAGTTCATAATGCTGTCTGTCATTGTTTTGTTTGGTTTTGTTTTTGAGACAGAATCTTGCTCTGTTGCCCAGGCTGGAGTGCAGCGATCTCAGCTCACTGCAACCTTCCCCTCCCAGGTTCAAGTAATTCTCCTGCCTCAGCCTCCCAAGTAGCTAGGATTACAGGCACCCACCACCATGCCCAGCTATTTTTTTTTTTTTTTGTATTTTCAATAGAGACAAAGTTTCACCATGTTGGCTGGTCTCGAACTCCTAACCTCATGTGATCCACCAGCCTTGGCCTTCCAAAGTGCTGGGATTACAGGCATGAGTCACTGTGCCTGGCCCCATATTTGTCTTCTAATTGAGTGATTACCCTATTTACATGTAATGTAATTTTTTTTTTTAGATGGAGTCTCGTTCCCGTCGTGCAGGCTGGAGTACAGTAGCACAATCTCGGCTCACTGCAACTCCACCTCCCAGGTTCAAGAGATTCTCCTGCCTCAGCCACCTGAGTAGCTGATATTACAGGTGTGTGCCACCAAGCCCGGCTAATTTTTGTATTTTTAGTAGAGACAGGGTTTCGCCATGTTGGCCAGGCTGGTCTCAAACTCCTGACCTCAGGTGAACCACCCGCTTTGGCCTCCCAAAGTGCTGGGATGACAGGTGTGAGCCACTGCACCCAGCCTGATGTGATTATTAATATTGTTAGCTTTAGTTCTATCATTTTACTATTTGTTTCATGTTATCTCGTTTGTTTATTGTTGCCTTTTCCTATTTTTTGCCTTGTTTTAAATAAATTGTGTACTTTTCATTTTATTTAATTTTTTGTTGAATTATTAGCTATAACTATTTTTTTCCAATTCTAGTGATTGCTTTAGGGTTAATTGTACACATCATATCACAGCCTGCTTTCCTGTTATTCTACCACTTCCTGTATAATTTATAAACCTTACAATAGTATATTTCCATTTCTTCCCTCCCAGTTTTCATGCTGTTGCTGTCATATGTTTTACTGTTTTACATATAAATTATAAACCCTATTATACTGTGCTGTATTTCTCATTAAACACTCATTTATGTTTTAAAGATATTTTAAAATAAGGAAATTATTTTATATATTTATATATAAAATATATATTTGTATTATATTACATAAATATATATATTTATATATAAAATATATATTTGTATTATATTACATAAATATATATATTTATATATATTTACAAAATGTATATTAAAAATGTAGTTACAAATTCCAGTATTCTTCATTCTTTATTGATACCATCTGGTGTCAATTTCAATCTACCTAAAGGACTTCCTTTTAGCATTTTTTATAACACAGTTACGTTGATAATGAATTCTTTCAACTTTGGTATTTCTGAAGAAGTCTTCATGCTGCCTTTGGTTTTGAAAGCTCTTTTCCCTGGGTATAGAACTCTAGGATGGCAGGGTCGTTTTTCTTTTCCGTTTCGTACCTTCAAGACATTGCTCAACTGTCTTCTTGCTTGCATTCTTTCCAAAGAGAAATCTGCTGTCATTCTTATTTTTGTTCCTCTGCACGTAGCGCATAACAAAAATTCAGTGTTTGTTCTCTGGCTGCTTTTAAGATTGATTCTTTATCACTGGTTTTGGGCAATTTATTATAATGTATTCTGGTGTAGTGTTACTCATATCTCTTGTGCGGGGAGTGATTGAGTTTCTCAGAACTGTGAGTATGTAGTTTAAAAAATCAAATTTGAAGACTTTTAACCATTATATCCTCAAATATCTCTTCTGTACCCTTCTCTCTTCTCTTCTTCATGGATTCCAATTACATGTATGTTAATATGCTTGAAGCCATCCTGTAGCTCCCTGACACTATTTTCTAACATATTACGTTTTCCTCAGTATGTTTCATTTCGGATATTACTATTGCTGTATCTGTCAGTTCACTAACAATTTTCTATTAATTCCATTGTCTGTGTATTCCATCCATGCATTTTTTAATCTAACCCTCTGTAGTTTAGTCTCCAGACGTTTGATTTAGGTTTTCCTTCTTATATCCTACACGTCTCCCCTTAGATTTCTGCATAGGTGGATTACAGTCACTGGTTAGGGCCCTTGCCTGCCGTTCTGACGCCCATGTCATCAGTGTGAAGTCCCCTTAGATTGACTGATTTTTCACCTCATTAGGGGTTGTATTTTCCTGCTTTTGTACATGACTTTTACATGCCTGATAATCTCTGATTGGATCCCAGACATTGCGAATTTTAGCTTACTGGGTGCTGGGTATTTTTACATTCCTAAAAATATTCTTGAGCTTTTTCCCTGGCACATAGTTATGTTACTTGGAAACAGTTCGATCCTTTCCATTTTGCTTTTCAACATTTGTCAGGCGGGTCCACAGCCATGTATAGTTTAGGGCAAATTCTTCCCTGTGACAGAGCCAGGGCCCTTCTGAGTGCCCCGTCCAGTGTCCTGTGGAATGCGAGGTGTTCTCTCAGGCACTGTTCCAGCCTCTCTGTGAGCACAGCCTCTCTTCCCTCTTTCCCTCTCTTTTCTTTTCTTTTTTTTTTTTTTTGAGATGGATTTTCACTCTTGTTGCCCAGGCTGGAGTGCAATGATGCAATCTCGGCTCACCACAACCTCTGCCTCCTGGGTTCAAGCGATTCTCCTGTCTCAACCTCCCGAGTAGCTGGAATCACAGGCATGCACCACCACGCCCGGCTAATTTTAGATTTTTAGTAGAGACGCAGTTTCTCCATGTTGGTCAGGCTGTTCTGAAACTCCCAACCTCAGGTGATCCACCCACCTCGGCCTCCCAGAGCGCTGGGATTACAGGCATGAGCCACCACGCCCAGCCCCCTCTCTTCTTTTCACAGGATTCTTTCCTGGCCTTGTGCAGTCTCCTCACACAATCAGGACCCTGCTGAACGTGTGTGGGGGACCCTTCGCTGTCTCTGGGCTTCTGTGGAGGTGCCACTCCCTCCTCTGGGGTGCTCATTCTCGCCTTGAATTCCAGCTGCTTTGTTCTCTCCCCTCTATATCCTTTCACTCGGGAACCCGCAGAGATCCACTCGGGCCCTCCCTTCCTGCACTGAGTCCTGTAAAGCTCTCTGGTCAGGAAGCCGGAGGAAGCGAGGGCTTTCATCACCTGCTTCTGGCTCTCGGGGATCATTGTCTTTATGGCCTGTGCCCACCTTTGGAAGCTGCTGTTTTAAATATTTTGTATCTTTTTAACTACACTTTGGTTTTAGCAAACAAGACAGTAAATTTGGTTCCTCTCACCCCATATTTTCTGGAATCGGATATCCTTAAATTTTTTTTGTTTATTAATTTTGTATCCAAATATCTCACTGATGTCTTTTAATAATTCTAACAAAAGTATTTTAAAATTTCTGTGTGGACAAACATACTGACTGTAACAAAGTATCGTTTTGGTTTGTTCTTTCCCCTTTCCAAGACAATCTTTTATTTCTTTGTTTTTGTTTTTTCTGTTCTGCCCACAACATGTGGTTCAGGCACACCTTGCTTTATTGTACTTCACTTTAGTGCCCTTTGCAGATATTGTGGGTTTTGTAAATGGCAACCGTGCATTGAGCAAGTCTATCGATGCCATTTTTCCAATAGCACGTGCTCCCTTTGCATCTCTGTGTGCATTTTTAGTAATTCTTGGAATATTTCTAACTTTTTCATTGTTATATCTGTGATGATGATCTGTGATCAGTGTCTGTGATGTTAGTATTGTAATTTTTGGAAGATGCCATGAGCCACACCCATGTAAGACAGGGAACTTAATCATAAATGTGCGGTTTTTTTTTTTTTTTTCAGCTTTTATTTTAGGTTCCTAGGGTACACGTGCAGGTTTGTTGCCGGGGTATATTGTGTAATGCTGAGGTTTGGGATACAAATGATCCTGTCACCCAGGTGCTGAGCGTAACACCCAACAGTTAGTTTCTCACTCTTGCCCCTCTGCCCTCCTCCCTCTAGTGTCCCCAGCGTCCCATCTGTATCTCATGAGCTCCCAATGTTTAGCTCCCACTTATAAGTGAGAACGTGCAGTATTTGGTTTTCTGTTCCTGCATTAATTTGCTTAGGGTGATGGTCTCCCCCTGCGTCTATGTTTCTGCAAAGGCCATGATTTTATTCTTTGTTATGGCTGCATGGTATTCAATGGTGGATATGTACCACATTTTCTTTATTCAGTTCACTGGTGATGGGCACCTTCGGTTGACTGCATGTGTTTGCTATTGTGAATAGTGCTACGATGAACGTGTGAGTGCATGTCTTTTGGTAGAATAATTTGTTTTCTTTTGGATGTCTACCCAGTAATGGGATGGCTGGATGAATGGTATTTCTGTTTTAAGTTCTTTGAGAAATGTCCAAACTGCTTTCCACGGTGGCTGAACTAATTTACATTCCCACTCACAGTGTATAATTGCTCCCTTTTCTCAGCAGCCTTGCTAACATCTTTTTTTTTTTTTGACTTTTTAATAATAGTTGTTCTGACTGGTGTGAGATGATATCTCACTGTGGTTTTGATTTGCATTTCTCTGATGATTAGTGATGTTTGGCATCTTTTCATGTGTTCATTGGCTCCTCATATGTCTTCTTTTGAGAAGTATCCATTCATGACTTTTGCCCATTTTTTAATGTTTTTTTTTTTTGCTTGTTCAATTGTTTAAGTTCCCTATAGATTCTGGATATTGGACCTTTGTCAGATGCAGAGTTTGTGAATATTTTCTCCCATTGTGTAGGTTGTTTACTGTGTGATAGGTTCTTTTGCGTGCAGAAGCTCTTTAGTTTAATTGGGTCCCACTTGTCAATTTTTGTTTTTATTGCAACTGCTTTTGAGGACTTAGTCAGAAATTCTTTCCCAAGGCCTATGTCCAGAATCATGTTTCTGAGGTTTTCTTCTAGGATTCTCATAGTTCGAGGTCTTACAATAAATGTGTGTTCTCTCGGCTCCTCTGGCTGGCTATTCCATCGTCTCTCTTCCTCTACTCAGGCAGGCCCCCTATTCCCCGAGACACAACAGGATTGAAGTCACTCCAGTTCATGATCCCACAGTGGCCTCAAAGTGTTCATGTGAAAGAAAGACTTGCCCGTCTCTCACTCTAAAACAAAAGCTAGAAATGATTAAGCTTAGTGTGAAAGGCTGTCAACAGCAGAGGTAGGCTGAAAACTAGGCCTCTTTCTTCAAACAATTAGCCAATTACATTTGTGAATGTGAAAGTAAAGGTCTTGAAAGACTTTAAAAGTGTTACTCCAGTGGACACATGAAGAGATAGAGCATTATTGCTGATACGGAGAAAGTTTTAGTGGTCTGGGATAGAAGATCAAACCAGCCAAACATTTCCTTAGGCCAAAGCCTAAGTCAGAGCAAGGTCCTAACTCTTCAATTCTGTGAAGGCTGAGAGAGGTGAGAAGGATGCAGAAGCTAGCAGAGGTTGATTTGTGAGGTTTAAGAAATGAAGCCATCTCCATAAAATAAAAGTGCAAGGTGAGGCAGCTGATGGAGAAGCTGCAGCAAGTTCTCCAGAAGATCTAGCTAAGACTGTTGACGACGATCACTACACTAAACAACCGATTTTCTTTTTTTTTTTGAGTGAATTTCCATTTTATTCATAAGTTAAAATTTTAATTTATGATATGTTAAAAATTGTATAAATTCAAAACTATTTTACAAAATCTATCAGAAAGGGGTCAGATTTCATGGTGATGCACAGTTGTTTTTTAAAATAAAAATTCAACATAAGTTTTCTTTTTCCTTCCCCAAACCGAAATACAGCTTCCTTTTCTCCCTCTTTTTTTCTCTTCTTTCCTCCCTTCTTACCTTCCCTTCTCCCTTTCCTTTGAGTCCTGTAGGGCATAGCTAAATTTTATATAGGGGCCATGTTGAATGTGAAAGACAACGTGTTCAACAACAGATTTTCAACGAAGATGAAACAGGCTTCTATTGGAAGAGATGCTATCTGGGCCTTTCATAATTAGAGAGAAGAAGGCAATGCCTGGCTTCAAATCCTCAAAGGACAGACTGACTCTCTTGTTAACGGCTAATGCTGCTGGTGACTTTAAGTTGATGTCAAAGCTCATTGACCATTCCAAAATTCCTACGGCCCTTAAAAATGATGCTAAATCTACCCTACCTGAGCTCCAGAAATGCAACAATAAAGGCTGGAGGGCAGCACATCTGTTTACAGCAGGGTTTACTGAATATTTTAAGCCCAATGTTGATATCTACTGCTTAAAAAAAAAGACTTCTTTCAAAATATTACTGCTCATTGACAATGCACCTGGTCATCCAAGAGCTCTGATGGAGATGTACAAAGAGATTAATGTTGTTTTCATGCCTGCTAGCACATCTATTCTGCACCCCATGGATCAAGGAGCCATTTTAGCTTTCAAGTTTTATTATTTAAAAAATACATTTTGTAAGGTTGAAGATACCATAGAAAATAATTCCTCTGATGGATCTGGGCAAAGTCAATTAAAAACCTTCTTGAAAAGATTCACTATTCTAGGTGCCATTAAGAACATTCATGATTCATGAGAGGAGCAAAAATATCAACAATGACAGGACTTTGGAAGAAGCTGATTCCAGCTCTCATGGGTGACTCTGACAGGTTCATGATTTCAGGGGAGGAAGTAATTGTAGATGAGGAGGAAAAAGCAAGCAAACTAAAATTAGAAGTGGAGCCTGAAATGTGACTGGATTGCTGCCATCTCAGGATAAAACTTAAACGGATGAGGAGTGGCTTCTTTCAGGTGAATAAAGAAAGTGTTTTCTGGAGATGGAATCTACCCTGGTGAAGATGCTGTGAACACTGTTGAAATGAAAACAAAGTGTTTTTTGTTTGTTTGTTTGTTTTTTGACAGAGTGTCACTCTGTCACCCAGGCTGGAGTGCAGTGGCACAATCTCAGCTCACTGCAACCTCCGCCTGCTGGGTTCAAGCAATTCTCCTGCCTCAGCCTCCTGAGTAGCTGGGACTACAGGTGCAAGCCACCATACCCTGCTATTTTTTTGTATTTTAGTAGAGATGGGGTTTCTCTGTGCTGCCCAGGCTGCTCTTGAACTCCTGAGCTCAGGCAATCCTCCTGCCTCAGCCTCCCAAAGTGCTAGAATTACAGGCATGAAGGATTTCTAATATTCCGTAAACTTAGTTAATATAGCAGGGGCTGGATTTGAGAGGATAGCCTCCAATTTTGAAATAAGTTCTACTGAGGGTAAAATTCTATCAAAAAGCATCACATGCTATAGAGAAGTCCTTCCTGAAAGGAAGATTCCATTGATGCAGCAAACTTCATCATTGTCTTATTTGAAGACACTGCCACAGCCATCCCAGCCTTCAGCAACCACCACTGTGATCAGTCAGCAGGCATCAACATCCAGGCAAGACCCTTTACCAATAAAAAAGATTTCAACTTGCTGAAAGCTCAGGTGATCATTAGTATTTTTAGCAATCAGGTATTTTTAAATTAAGGCAGGTACACTGTTTTTTAGACACAATACAATTGCACCCTCATTTACTGCATTATAGTGTAAACATAACTTGTAAACGCACTGAAAAACCAAAACCATTTGTGTGACTTGCTTTATTGTGATAGTTGCTTCATTAGGGTCATGTGGAGCTGAACCTGCAGTGTCTCTGAGGTGTGTTTGTGGACAAGGTGTCCATTTACTTTGCAGTCTCAGTATCCCAAAAAGAAGGGTTTCCCAAGCTGTAAGGACTTCTTCACCTGGGAAATGCTTTCTTAAATTTTTTGAAACATCGTCATTTTTTTTACTCTCACATTTGTATTATTTTGAATTAAATCCATTGTTATTGAGAATGTATCTGCAGAAAAACTGCAAATTTTGTGAGGATGTGTCTACCTAGAAAATTTTGCAATTGTTTTTGACCTGAGACCTAGAGTTATAATACATCATTAGATTGCTTTTATAAAATTTTCAGCTTAAAGCTATTTCAGCTACCCAAATAGTATCATTTTTTGCTTTAGTTTGTCATTTTAAAAGCATTTATTATTGCAAAGCAGTAAATGTGTATTTAGAAACTAGAAAACAGAAAAAAATAAAAATGTTGAGGTCACCATTGTTAACACCATAGTGTACGTATTCTAGGTCTTTTTCTTTCTTCCTTTCTCTATCCATATTTTTAATATTCATTCTTTTTTTTTTTTACTAAATTGACATTCTATTATAATCGTATTTTGTCATCAATGTTTCTTCATTAATTATCTCCACCTTTTCATGTAATTACATTTTATTTTATCTATACACTGTCCATTTCAAATTTTTCCAATTGTCCTGAAATGTTATTTAAAGCTGGCTTGTCTAAACCAGGACCTGACCCAAAGCCGCAAACTGCATCTGGTCATTACATCCTTAAATATTTATTAATCTGTCCCCCCCCTTTTTTTTTTTTTTTTTTTTTTGAGACAGAGTCTCACTCTGTCGCCAGGCTGGAGTGCAGTGGCACAATCTCAGCTCACTGCAGCCTCTGCCTCCTGGGTTCAAGTGAGTCCCCTGCTTCAGCCCCTCTGAGTAGCTGAGACTATAGGCACACGACACCACACCCAGCTAACGTTTGTATTTTTGGTAGAGATGGGGTTTCACCATGTTGGTCAGGATGGTCTTGATCTCCTGACCTCATGATCCACAAGCCTCAGCCTCCCAAAGTGCTGGGATTACAGGCGTGAGCCACCACACCTGGCTGTCACTTTTAACACCTTGATAGATTAAAGTTAAGAATATTTGCTTGAATACATCAGGGTGTTGTGAGCTTCATACGCATCAAATCAGGAGACACATACTATGGGATGCTAAGAATGACAACATGAATTAAGATGACGATTGTCTGATGTTTCCAATGTAAAATTATGCTTTGTCAAATATAATTTTTCAAAAGCCAAAAAGATGATTCTTACAAATAGGAAGTGAGTACATGACAAAGACTTATTTAACCCATGACTGGGGGAACAAGGAGCATGGCAATTTTGGTTCAAAGAATTACAGGAAATACAGAAGTATTTATAGCCCCTGAAAAAAATAATGTTATGATAAGATTTCTAAATTAGCTACAAGAAAGGTTAATGTTTTATACGATGTTGAAACTGTAAACGTGGGGTTATCTTTTACATCAGAGTGACAACATTTGCACCTCTATCAGACATGGGTTCGTTTGTATAAGAAAAGAATCATTTGCATGGAATCAATTTTCTACAGCTTAACACCTGCCCTTACAGAGTTGCTAAATATCCTAATCAATAGTAAACTGTGAGTCAACAAAGACGTACAGCCCTAGAGAATTAGATAATCCTGAGGCGGGCATGATAGACTGGCTCAGTACTTCTTTGAAAGGACATGCAGCCTTTTCTATGTTTGGGTCTGGTTTTCTTTTTCCTTTTTCTTTCTTTTTTTTTTTTTGGAGATGGAGTCTTGTTCTGTTGCCCAGGCTAGAATGCAGTGGTGCGATCTCGGCTCACTGCAACCTCCATCTCCCGGGTTCAAGTGATTCTCCTGCCTCAGCATCCTGAGTAGCTGGGATTACGGGTGCCCGCCATTGTGCCTGACTCATTTTTGTATTTTTAGTGGAGACGGGATTTCACCATCTTGGCCAGGCTGATCTTGAACTCCTGACCTCGTGATCCACCCACCTGGGCCTCCCAAAGTGCTGGGATTACAGGCGTGAGCCACCGCGTCCGGCTGGGGTCGGGCTTTCTTAACCTCCCTCCCCATCTCTCGTTTGACTAGAGAGCAATGTGTGCTGTGTTAGTCTGGCACTCCATAGAGTACTTGTTCCTTAAATCTTAAACCTAATGATTGTATCAGCAGTTGATAATCCTCGCCTGAATCAATAATTTCAACAGTGTTATGGACGGTGGACTTTCTAATTCCCTCTTTTTTTTTTTTTACATTATTAGCTGATTTTTTTCCAATAAAAAATAACCTAGTCTCAATAAGTGTGGTGGTTGGTTATTACATCAAATAATAAAAATCTGAACCCCAATCCCAGATGAGAACAGGTCTGCAATAATGAATTTTAAGGGAACACTTTTTTCCCCCATTTTGGAGCCCACGGAAAGTGGGATAAGCTTGCTTGCCATCTGTGTTTGCCAAAGGGATTTTTCTTAGTGTGCTCTTCTACTGAGGAGGGCCCCATCTTTCTGTTAGGGTTTCAGATTTAATTTCCAACTCCCTAGGGACCTAATGTCACGTGGATACTTAGAGACCAAGTTGCAGATGTTCCCGCCCCTCCTGTGGGGCTGCTGCAGCCCAGACTCCCTCTCTGGCATTTGGTCCCTTTATTCCTGGCCTCTGTGGATTTTGCTTGCTTGTGAGCTAAGCTATATATTTGAAAAGATGATTGATGCTTTTCATTCAGCATTTCTAGTTGTAAAGATGTAGAATGTTCAGCTTATTTGATCCACAATATTGTTTTTCTAAAAAAGTCACTACTTCAACTTTTCTGATTGTTTTTCTGTCTTTCAGGTCTGCTGAATAAACGGCCTCTCTGTCAGTGGAGAATAGCTCAATAGTCAGATGACTGCATTCTCTCATCTTCCTTGAGAGGTTAGGCCTGTCACATGGTATTCGTCACATAATATTGCGGTTTTGCGGGGAGAAGACTTCCCGGCCATCCTACAATCGCAGCAAGTATTTACTGAGCTCTGTGCTTTGGTAGATGCCACGCTACAGCTTTGCTTTCATTATTATCCTCATAAAACAGGAAAGGTTTCCTTGTCCCCTCGCAGGGCGTGTGAGAGCCGGAGTGGCTCACTTCTTCAGTGCCCCGCTGCCCAGATCTCTAGGGGTGCATACAGATGGGCAGGTTGTGGGGCTCTGACCCCACGACAGTGGCTAGGGTGGATGTCGACAGCTTCTGAAGCCCCAGTGGGCGTGTGTTACCGTGTGCTCTTTCAGTTTTGCCGTCTCTAGGCGGCTTGTGTTAACCAGCTCAATTAGACCCTCTACCTTGTTACAAGGACACAAGACTTCTGTATACCGGGCTCTTGCCTTGGTGTACTGGAAGAATCGGATCACACCTGGGCTTGGAGAATGGGTGCAAGGTTTGATTGAGTGGAGGTAGCTCTCAGCAGATGGGGGAGCTAGAAGGGAGATGGAGCGGGAAGGTTTTCCCCTGGAGTCAGGCTGCTGAGCAGCCGGCCTCCTCTCCCACCACCCTGGCCAAACTCCGCGTGGTTCCGCAGGAACAGCCTGCGGCGTGCCAGTGTCTCAGTGCCTGCCGCGGGCTCTCCAATCAATGTGCGCCTCTGGCCGTCCAGCTGCCTGGGTGTTCTTCCGCTCACGGTCTCCTCTTGCTGTCTTGCCGCTTGGGTCTTGGGGTTTTTACAGGCACAGGCTGGGGGCGTGCTGGGCCAGGGTGGTTTTGGGAAATGCAACATACGGGTGTGAAGGCAGGAGTGCCTGTCCTCACCTAGCTCTGTGGACACAGGCCCGAGGGTGGAGCTCTAGCCAGGGACCCACCTTTCTCTACCCAGCACTTCCCTGCCTCCTTCCCATATCACTTAGTCCTCCCAACAACCCACGACGGCAGGTGTCAATGTTCTTCTTTCCTGCGGGGAGAAAACGAGGCATGAGAAAGTTACTTTGCTTCCCCAAGAGCACGTGTGTAATGAATGACAGAGCGGGCCTGTAGCCAGGTCTGTCGAACCCCAAATCTGTGCTTCAATCTGCTACACCAAGACAGGCTCTCATAGGAGAGCTCACAACAGGAACTGACTGGGTTTTGCCCTGCACTTTACCCATCCTACAGGGACTCTGCTTCATTCTAGAGAACTTTCACAAGCCCTGGAGCACAGAAGGAGTCCTGCTGTCCAGATGAGGAAGCTGAGCTCAGAGAGATTCACTAACTTACCTGCAGCCACACAGGTAAGAAATCACTTCCTTCACCATCTCACGTTGCAAACCTACTTTTTACTGAAAAACAGACCCCACGTGATATGCAGGCTGCACTTGCGACGGCGCCTTCCCTCTGCGCAGGGTGGAGTCACTTCACACCCAGAATGCGGGTTCTGGGCTCAGGTGTGCTGGTTGCTCCTGCCCCATGACGCTCCCGGGAGAGGGGACTGTGGCAGTGCCTCTGCCTAACGTGGGCCACCGTCAGAGCACCTGCGGCCCCGATGGTTGCCACGGCTCCCCGGCTTTAGGCAGTACAGAAACGGCTTGGCAGCCAGCTATTGTGAGGTAAACCCTGTGGATGAAGAGGTCCAGCTGCTGGCTGCGTCCGCTGTCTGAGTTCTGCATGCACTGAAGGACCTAGAAGAGATTCTTTCACAGGCAAAGGCAGTTTACAGGTCTCACTTTCCCTTTTTCCCTTGGAGTGGGGGAGAAAATCAGGTGGAATTAGTGATAAGTGCTTGGTTTACAATATTGGGTTGATTTTGAAATCATGGATTTTTCAGTTCAGATAAAGACTGAAGTGGAATCTAGCTCTCCTTTGGTCTATCTGAGACTTTTTTTTTTCATCCTAGAAAATAAGATTGGGAAATGAGGTAGACCAGATGTGGAGGCGATGGGCGATCCATGAAAAGGGTAAGAGCCACAGAAAAAAGCTCACAGAAGAGATTAGTTAAAAGAAAACTCTTCAATTTAAAGAGGTAAATAAGGAATATCAAGTGCTTTAAAAAGATTTCTCACTCCAGAAATTACCTCTGCAACCACAGAGTGTATTTCGGCAGTACCTTCCTTAAGGATTTCTCACCCCAGAAATTACCTTTACAACCACAGAGTGTATTTTGGCAATACCTTCCTTTTTATCTGAAAGTGGCAGGCACTGGCCTTTCTTCACGAGACCTCTGCTTATCCATAAGGCAGAAACTCTGATGCCATTTCCACATTGTCTCTCTCCAAGAACACGCAAGCCTGGTGGCAGGTTTGATTTTCAAGCAGCTTATGTGTGTAAGACAGATGCTTCTCCATTCCTCGAAGGTCCTTCTAGTTCTCTTTAAATTACTGTTTTCTCTGTCGCCGTGTCATGTGGAGGAAGGATGACAGAGGGCAAAAGGATGCATCCGAGTGAGAGCCAAGGGGCCAGGCATGCGGGGCGCTTTTGGTACCAGCTCAGGAGATTGACAGTTTGCTTCCACAGCTCCAGATTCCTGGGTCTGGGTCTCTCTTAGCAACCACAGCTTCCAGGTGGACCAGCAGGATGAAAAGGACTTTGATCTTGCAAACTCAAGCTTAACTTCCCGCTGAAAGCAATGGCATGTGAAAACAGGCCAAATGATTCACGACTGTTTCTTGTTCCCAGATTTCATTCTAAGGGGATGCTTCTGGGTGCTCTAGCTCAGCTCCTGGTTTTTCTTTTAGTAGTAAGAGCCTCAGACAAAAAGCTCACTGGCTAACTCTCTGCAGAAAGATGAATTTGCATGGGAAGGTACAAGCAGAACATGCACAGTGTCCTAGTCTAAGAGAACCACTGCCCTCAAATGACCTCCTTATAGTCAATCAGTTAACAGTGTTTCATGAACACCAGCAAGATAGCGAAAGGTAAATCCCATTAAGTTTTCAAAACAATGACCTAAGTATTTTTGCATATTGAGGTATCATTTGCACACAGTACAATGCACACTTTTCTAGTATATAATTTGATGAGTGTGGTGTGTACTCATGTAACCAGGTTAGAATATTCCACCCTTTACAAAGTTTCCTCAGGCCCTTTGCATTGGATCAACATCCTCCTGTTCCCAGCCCCTGACAAACACTGATCTGAGTTCTGCCTCTGTGGTTTTGTCTTTTTCACAAGGGCATGAAAATGGAATCATGTAGCGTGTGTTCCTCTGTGTCTAGTGTCCTGGCACACTGCCGCTGAGAGCACCCGTGCTACTGTGTGCAAGAGTAGCTGCTCCTTTTTACTACAGAATAGCACTCCACAGCAGAGAGACTGCAATTTGTTTTTCCACTCCCAGTGGATGGACATTGGCATTGTTTTCAGTTTTTGTTTTTATTGTGAATAAATCTGCTTTTAGATGTTCATATACAGGACTTGCATGAACATATGTTTTCATTCCTCCTGAGTAAATGCCTAGAATAGTATGCTGTGTTCTATGTAAAGATGGCATCTAACTGTCCAGGGCACTGCCCAGCTGTCTTCTAAAGTAGGTTTCCGACAGGCGGTGTATGGGTGGGTCTCGTGTTTTTAATCTGCTCTGATGATCTCTGCCTTTTCATTGGAATATTCAGACCGCTTATGTTTTGTGTGATCATTGTTGTGGCAGTGTCCTATTTGTCCTTTGTTCTTTTTTTCTCTTTTTCTGCCTTCTTTTGGATTCATCGAGCATATTTTTATAATTCCGTTGTATGTAACCTGTGAGCTCACCAGTCATCCCTTCCAGAGCTTCTGCATTGATTGCTCAGAGGCAGAGGGTGGATGCTTTCCCCTCACTAGGATGCACAGGTCTCTGCTTGGGATCTGGGGCTGAGGAGGGTTTCCTGCCCTCTCAGCAGTTTGCAGCTTCCATTTTACGTTGGAGAAGGTGAAGGAGTTAGGCTGGGTCCTGCCGTGTCCTCCGGGGTCATTCCTGGGTCTCCTGCTCTTTCCTTCCCCTCTAGTGAGAACAAGCAGTTGTTGCAGGCACGTGGAGAGAGCTGGAGAGTGAGACAGGCTCCCCTTGTGTCTGGGGTCTGCAGGGAGTCCAAGCCAGCACCCTAGCCTCTCTTCTGCCTTTAGGAACTCATAAAACCTTTGGCTGCATTCTTCTTATCCACTTCTAGGGCCACATTGCTTTCGTCTAGAATCGTCTGAGACTCTGTGTTGCTTTGTTTTGTTTAATGCAAGAAGCAAGGGGCAGATGGTATGATGTTAACAGATGGAGAAGAAGCTGGAATGACTCAATTTCTACTTTCTTTTCCATCTCCTTTATGTAAATATGGTCTTCAAACAGAAAGGGCAGAGCAAACTTGAGAGAACTGAAATCTCAAATAGAAAGTAATATGTGGCATCTGCTGTCTATAAGGAAGTTTAAGCTGTGAGACCCAGAAGATCTAAAAGATCTTAGAAATGAGATGGCCAAGCCCTTGGAGGTAATCCCTGTGGAATCTTGAGGAATGAGAGAAGACAGCAGAACAAAAGAGATGGACAGATGGTGTGGCCTTCGAGATGGGAATAAGGTTGCATGGAGACCACAGATGAGTGAACGCTGTCTATCTGTGGACAATTTTAGTTTAGATGTAAAAAGATGTCTTGGAAAATTCTAGAAACGAAAGCAACAAGCATTGGCTCACTTAAACAGCCATGCCAAGGTGACCTCATTTCCTGTGCGAACAGGCTTGGGAGGTGTGGGAGCTTCACTGCCTCTTAACTCCAGCCAGGCTCTCAGTCTCCCTGAGGACAAGATGGAGAAATGTAGGTTAGAAATAATTCACACACCTGAATATTCACACACCTGAGTAACTGTTCAGAGCTGGCTGAACAGTTATATCTGATAGGGGTATGTCGACTCTGAAGATTTCTGGCTTGTCCTGGGGCTTAATCCTTGGACCTATTTTATTCAACATTGATTGTCAATGCTCTGAATCATGATGCCCATCACTATCCCCCTGAAGAACTCACCAGCTCTTTCCCCAGGTGTGTGGGGATCCGAACTGAAGAGCGCTTTCCAGGAGACACACTTCGCTGTCCACACAGAGACCAGGACGCATTCGTGGACTCACTTGCCCTAACTTCTGTCATGCTGCTTGCAACGCACGGCCAATCCCAGCATGAATGAAGCCAGCAAGACTTTTCTTGGTGTTTGTTGAGTGGGATTCTGGTGCCTCCTGTGCAGATCCACTTTTTACAAAATTATGTTGACATCTTGCTTATAGGCCTCAAAAAACTCTGAGTGAGATGCGCTGGTTTGCCTTTGGAACATAGGATAGGCACTGTTATCAGAATCTGCTGCAATCTCATACCAAATTGGAATGTTTTCCCTTTATAGCATTTTTAAAACTTTTCCCACAAAATAACAGCATTGCACCGTGTCACGTTATATTTAATTGCATAATGTCAGCCTCCCTTAAAAGAAAGTTGAAAAGATTATACTTTGAAATAGTAATCGTGGGGAAATGCCTGACTTGAGGAGTTCAGCAGTTGTAAATATTCCTGCAACATTAATTGGTCAATAAATATATGCTGACTGGGCCTGTGACATGTAACTCAATGGGAACCTTGGAGAAAACCCTGATTTGCAAGATTTCTGGCCCCAGAAAGCACCCAACAGAGCGTGGCATTTAAAGCCTGCTCATCCAGAAGAAGCCACAATTCCTACATCAGATGTTCACATTGTTATTTTAAAATTCTGGGCTCCAGCTGTACGTGTAGGCACGTACTATGCACCCTACGTACGGGATCCCAGTCACTCCCACTCCCACGAAGGATTTTTCACAGATGTCTGAATTCACGCTGAATTGTATTGTGTCCTATGTGTTTAATGACAGTCTGAGAATTTGGTGGTGAAGGAAATCACACGGCCTATTCTAGTTACTGTTCAATTGCACCGGCATTCTTTTGTGATCTGGAAATAACTCATGTCTTGCCGTGATGTGATTTAATGTGCAATGTTGTAGGGTTGCATGGTATGGTGAAGACGAGGTGTGCGTCCCTCCCGGCTCCAGCAGGCACTGCTTCCTTCTGCTCGGCTCCGTCGGACTCTACCATGCCCTCGATGCGTGGTGTGGGCTGTGACAGGGCCTCCCAGGAAACAAGACTCATCCTGCTCCTCTCAGGAGCTCACAGTGTGTTTGGGAAGAAAAGGCTTATGCAAGAGGCCATTCAGTTGCCATAGGACAGGGTGGGATCCACTGTCACAATGGAACGTTACAGACAATAAATTTGTAATGAGACGAAGGATATTATTTACTAGAAATTCACATGGGGGCTTCTCATGAGATGACAGGAAAAAATACAGTTTCCAGGGAGCTCCCAGCTTCATTCCAGTGGAGTGAGACCCCAAGAGGGATCGTGGAGGTTTGGGATCTTCCAGCCGTCTTGGGGGATCTGGCGCAGGCTCAGGGGTGAGGTGTGGGGCAGGAAGGAGGAAGAGACCCCTGTATGGGAAATCCCGGGGGTGACCCGGGACATTGTTGAGAGTAAGTTCAGAGAGTGGAAGGGTCTGGGGACTCCAGGAGGAAAGGGGATTGGGAAGGAGAGAAATAGGAATTGTTTAGAAGGTTTGTAGCTATGAACTGGATTCCCTTTAATGCTCTTTGAGAGCTGCTAATAAATATAGGAACTTAATTTTTAAAATTAAATAAAAAATGTTTTAGCTTTACTGAGGTATAATTGACAAATAACACTGCATGTATTTAAAGTGTATGATGCGTGTGTATTTAAAGTATATGATGTGCTGATGTGACACATTGTGGAAGGATCACCACGGTGAGCGCATGGACGCTGTCAGCAGCAGCAGGCCTGGTGCTGCGCAGTAGGTCTCCACACAGCTGCAGCTCTGTGCCTTTTCACCAACATCTCCCCATCTCCCACCTCCAAGCTCTGGTCGCCACCTTCTCTCTGCTTCTGTGTCTTCAGCCTCTTTGCATTTCACATATAAGTGGGGTCAGGTAGCATTTTTCTTCCTGTGTTTTTGTTTATATTTTCTTCACTTCCTATATATTTCACTTAGCAAAATAAATTGTCACACACAGACACACACACACACACACGATGGCGTATTACTCAGCCTTAAAAAAGGAGATTCTGCCATTTTTGACCACACAGATGGACTCGGAGGAGCTGAATGTTAATTTGAATACTGGCCCATTGGTTTGGAGGCCTCCCTGTTCTGAAATACGGCTTATGAGGCCTCAAGGATACACATATGAAGGAGTCAGGCCAGAGGGTATCAGTGAGAATGCAGGAGGCACAACCTGAGCTGATTCCAGGAGGCAAGATGTTTGGATATGAGGCAGGGAGGGCATTTCTGGGAGAGGGGTTGGCCTGAGCAGAGGTGTGGTGCTGGGATTCCCCGGACACAGGCAGGAGGGAGCAGGAGGTGGTGCAGTTAGTGCTTAGTGGTATCAGGGAGGAAGGGAGGTGACGCCGGTCTATAAGGTAGAATCAGATCATGGATATTCTTGAAAGCCTGGTTGGGAAGCTGGTTTTTAACCACTAGGTAACGAGGAGCCACTTGAAAATGCATAATGATTGAGGAGGTGTGATGAAAATGGAGTGTCTTGAAGCCAGGGACAGAGCTATTCTTTGGCATAAAAATGGAAAACCAGGAACTGGATGATTGAGGCAGCAGGGACAATGGAGAACAAGGGAATGAGTGGACAGCAAGGGGGAGGCTGGTAAGACCCAGGGACGCTGCAGGGGAAGGAGGGGGCAGCAGGAAAGATAACACTGACGAAGTGTCTGTGATTGCTGCGTGGCATGTGGCGGGCACTTGGCGGATATCTGTGGAGTGTGTCCAAACACGGATACCATGAACATGGTTTTATTCATTCCTTTCTGTAGCTGAGGAAGCTGCTGTCCAGTGAAGCTGGGTGACTTGACAGTGCTTACAGAGCCAATAAGCAGTGCAGCCAAGCTTCAAAATCCGTCTTCTGATTCTAAACCAGGCTCTTCACTTCTACACAACACTTCTTCCAGAAGCTTCTGTGGATCCCGACTCGAGGAGAGTGGACGAGAGACACAGGAAGCTCAGGGGGAGGAGCTCATTCAGGAAGGGAAAAATGATTACTTTCTGATTGTGTTGGTTTTGAAGTTCTGTCCAAATGTCTGCCCGTTATAGTGACGGCTTGGATCCATTTCAGAAATGGAGGGGACAGGGAATCTCCCATGTAGCTGTGGGCCGGCACGTGCTCTCCCTCTGGCGGGAGGCTCTCTCGGGGTGGTGTATCAGGCTAGTTTAGTCCCTGCGGGCATTGGCTCACCACTGCTAGAGAGCTGGTGTCGCCTCCCAACCAGCAGTGTCGCCTCCCAACCAGGCTGCTTACGGAGCCTCAGGCTCTTCATCCTGTCGTTGGGGCCTGATCACTGCTTCTCAGGTGATGCTCCCTAAAGCCGGAGCCAGGGAGCCCCTCTCAACTGCCAGATGCTCCCCAAAGCCAGGGCCAGGGAGCCCCTCCCGACTGCCAGGGAGTGTGGGAGGCGTGGCCCCATCCCTGCTCTTCTCTCTCTTTCTTCCACCAACCTGCCAACCGCCACTTTCAAGGTGCTTTTGTGAGTTTTATTTATTTATACTGCAGAGAAAATTGTACTTGAACACAGGACTTTGTGGTCTCTTCTCCCCACATTTGAAGTAAACCATCCTGGGTATGTTCCAAGGACCCTTCCCAACCTCACACTCCATGACGCTGTGTTAACTGCATCCTCCTGAACCGGAAGAGGTGCATCCATAGGAGGCAGGGTTAAGGCTTCTGTCTTTGGGGGTGATTTTGCAGACAACCAGCACCATCACCACCGGAAGCCCTGGTGGAAAGTGAAGATTCCAGGCCCACCTCTGATCTCTTGAACAGGAGGCCTAGGAATGTGCATTCGTAGCAGGCTCTCCTGTTATTTATAAATCACTCCTGGGTCAGGAGCGCAATATTCTTAGTGAACGGTGAGATGAACTGGACAGGTGATTCCTGCGCTCAGGCGACAGCGTTCTCTGTTGCTCTGTCCCAGCCACGGAGTCTGTGTCTGCTCTCCATGATCCTTGCGGTGCAAAAACATCTGTCACGATGGATTCCTGTATGAACTCAGACTGATTCGAAGCTGATCTGTGGATGCCGGCCATGTGCTGGCAACTGGCCATTGCTGTCCCACCATTTGGTTGGGAAGTAGCTCTTCGGGAAATGTCAGCCCAGCCCACCTCTGTCCTGGGTTCCCAGGACAGCTGAGCAGGACAAACGGGAGCTCGTCTACCACAGTCCAGGTGTGCAATGGGATGGCCAGCCCAGAGCCTGCTGGGGAGACAAGACCCAGCACCCTTCAGCCACCTTCAATTGCCTTGTCTGTATTTGACAAGCTGAAGTCAGGCTGTCACATGTTCACCTTCAGGGTCTGATCAACCCCGAAGGTGCCCCAGACAAGCATCTTGCAAACAAATAACACCACCTTGAGAAGCCTTTGTCTTGAATGCTATGTGCTTGCTTGCTTTGTCTTGGGTGCTATGTGCTTGCTTGCTTTGTCTTGAATGCTATGTGCTTGCTTGCTTTGTCTTGGGTGCTATGTGCTTGCTTGAATATGCTCACAATTACTCTGGGCCTTTGCTGCCGGGTCGCCGTGCCCTGATTCATTACCTCCAGTGCAATGCGGCTTGTTTTCCTGAGAGATGTTTGCAGGGACTGAAAACAGCAGGATGAAGTGTGTCATGTCTGGTGGAGGTGAGGGACAGGAGAGAGCAGCCATCAGGCCGTCTGAAGACAGCCCCGGGGGCCACTGTGCCCTGCTCTAAATAAAGCAACAGAACCGTTCATTTGTTCTGGGGCATTGAACATTGAAAATCATAACTTTTAGGGAAAGTTTTATTACAAAGTGCATTTATGTCTTCCCCAGGTAGCTTAGTCCCTGCAGGCATTTGCTCACCAGTGCTAGAGAGCTGGCGTTGCCTCCCAACCAGCAGTGTGACCTTGCGCTGGTTACGGGGCCTCGGGCGCTTCATCTTCTCTTTGGGGCCTGATCTTTGCTTCTCATATGATGCTCCCCAAAGCCGGGGCCAGGGAGCCCATCTCATCTGCCAGGGATAGGTAATGTTATCCCTATTCTATAGATAAGCAAATTAAAGGCCAAAGAGGGAAGTAGATTCACTCTATACCATCCAGCCGAGCTGTGTTTGTCAAGGTTCTCCAGAGGAACAGAGTAGAGAGGGCGTGGGTAGGGGTGTGTTCGTACATAAAGAGCAAGACCCACAGAGAGAGGTGGACTTTAAGGGCTTAGTTTATGGAATCATGGGACCAGCAAGTCTGAAATTTGTAGGGCAGGTGGGCAGGCTGGCAGTTCCAGCAGGAGCTGATATTGCAGTCTGGAGTCTGAAGGTGGCCTGGAGACAGAATTCCTTCCACTCCGGGGGACTGTGGACTTTCCCTCTTAAGGCCTTCAACAGACTGAATGAGGCTCATCTGCACCATGGACGGTCCTCTGCTTTATTCCAAGTAGACTGACTTCCATTTCAATCTCATCTAAAACACACCTTCACGGCGACACCTAGCCCGGGGCTTGACCAGACAACAGGACACCATGACCTGGCCCCGTGAACACATAAAATTTAACATTAAAGAGATGCCGAGGGAATTAAAACAAACCAGGAAGGCGCATGTTCCCAGGTACCACTGGTTGTCGCCGTGAACACATAAAATTTAACATTAAAGAGATGCCGAGGGAATTAAAACAAACCAGGAAGGCGCATGTTCCCAGGTACCACTGGTTGTCGCCGTGAACACATAAAATTTAACATTAAAGAGATGCTGAGGGAATTAAAACAAACCAGGAAGGCGCACGTTCCCGGGTACCACTGGTTGTAATGTTGCCACTCAATGGACAGTTGGCTTAGGGATGAATGGGAATGATCAGCTCTTGTGGCTCCTTGAGGGGCAGGGAACCTGAGAGAGGGATCCCAGCTGTTAGCATCCAGCATCGCTGAAAAAGCAAACTTTTCTACTCAGGGAATGTTGTTGAGTTGGCTGTGGACGGGGAAGAACAGGTAGAAGGGGTTCCAGGAAGCATTCTGCAGCAGGAGACGACTGCCCTCGGCATTTCCTTCTTCTTTGTTGGTGTTTCCTGAGCCTGTGATCTCTGGGAGGCACCCCATCCCTGCATCCTCCTGCAGTCCTAAGAAGTCACCTGCTGTGTGCTGCATGCCAGGGAGCCCTGTGGGTGTCTTCTGAGCCTGTGATCTCAGGACGCACCCCATCCCTGCATCCTTCTGCAGTCCTAAGTCACCTGCTGTGTGCTGAATGCCAGGGAGCCCTGCGGGTGTCTTCTGAGCCTGTGATGTCTGGGACGCACCCCATCCCTGCATCCTTCTGCAGTCCTAAATCACCTGCTCTGTGCTGCAGGCCCCAGAGCCCTGTGGGTCTGCATGAAAGTGCTTGGACAAGCTCACTGGTGTGAGTGGCCTGTTGGTAATGGGAATCACATTGTCTTTAGTTTGCTATCACGCACGCATCATTATGGACTTCAAGGAACGAGGCTCATGAGCGTATTTCAGTCACTAAGACCCATTCTTAGGGGAGAGATTTAGATTAAAGGGGCATTTGACTGCTTCTCAGGAAATGTGAGTTTGTGCTGTTATTCTGTGTGGTGTGGTCAAATCACCTGCCAGTGCTCCAGGTTCCTCCTCAGAACACCCCCCACGCTTCTGCAGAACCCCTGCCCTTCCAGAGTTCCTCTTGTATAATTGTGGATGGTGTGTGTGTGTCTTCATCTTTGGGTTGTAAACACCCCTCAAAGTGGATTCTAAACACATTTTGAAGGGGAAAAAATCCTTATCTTTACATTTCTTCCCGCATCTAGCACACGACAGGCACTTAGGTAAATGTTGAAGATACAGATGCGACATTCCTAGGGAGAATTGTGACTGTTATGGTCATTTTGGAGTCTGTTCCGGGAAAGACCACAGATACTAAGGAAGCACAGTGTGCACCTGAATTCAGTATTGATGACGACGGGCTGATCAGCGAGACAGCAGTGAAGCTCCCTGGGCTCCTGTGACCTAAGGAGTGTTCCTGCATAGCATAGAGCTTGACAGAAAATTTTAAAAATTCACTGAATGCAACGATGCTTGCTCCTTCGGACAGAGCTGTGACAGTATACAATCCCTTGTAAGTGCAGAATAAGAAACTGAAATGGGTGCATGGATAAAGAACACAGGGTCCATATACACAACGGAGTCCATTTCAGTCGTAAACAGGAACGAGAGCCTGTCCTTCACAGCAACACAGACACTCCTGGAGGACGTTAGGTTACGTGAAGTAACTGAGGCACAGAAAGATCAATGCTGCATGTTCTCATTCACACACGTGAGCTCCTAGAAGCAGAGAGTAGAACCATGAATATTGGAGGCTGGGAAAGGGGGAAGGATAGGGCGATGTTAGCTAATAGATACAAAATTACAGCCAGATCACGACAGCTAGAGAAACGGGTTCTAGTGTTTTACAGCACTGTAGGCCAAATATAGTTAACAGTGATCTATTATACATGTTCGAAAAGCTAGAGTTGAGGTCTTTGAATGTTTCAAACACAAAGAAATTATAAATGTTTGAGGTAATGGATATGCTAATTTCCCTGATTTGATCATTGTACATTGTATACATGTATCAAATATGGCCGGGTGCGGTGCCACGTGCCTGCAATCCCAGCACTTTAGGAGGCTGAGGCAGGTGGATCACCTGAGGTCAGGAGTTCGAGACCAGCCTGGCCAATATGGCGAAACCCCATCTCTACTAAAAATACAAAAATTAGCCGGGCATGGTGGTGGGCGCCTGTAATCCCAGTTACTTGGGAGGCTGAGGCAGGAGAATCACTTGAACCCGGGAGGCAGAGGTTGTGGTGAGCCGAGATTGCGCCACTGCACTCCAGCCTGGGCGACAGAGCGAGACTGTGTCTCAAAACAACTAAGTAACTAACTAACTAACTAACTAACTAAATAAGTAAATAACTCATAAATATGTACAATTATTATGTGTCAACTAAAAATAAAAAAAAAAGAAATGGGGGTGTCCCCTGAACAATATTGCACTCTCTGGGTTCTCCTTTCACAGAACTCCCTTTCCTCTGAAGGCTGAGCCTTCCTGGCCACTCCACCCTCTGCTTTGGCTTCAGTAACTGGTTGGGTTGGATCCCCTTTGACAGAACATGGGTGGTGTTGGTAGGTGGATGGGAGACAGAGGAAAGGAAGGTGATTGGGAAGAGGCCCCTGCTGATGACATGTGCATATTGAAACTTTAACTATTTTATAAATAGATGAGTAATACAGTTGGAGCTCCAAACCTGCAGGATCCACAACCAACCTTGGATCCAAAATATTCAGAAAACACAACAATACAACAATAAAAAATAATACAAATAAAAAGACAGCATAGCAACTATTTACACAGCGTTTACATTGTATTGGGTGTTACAAGATCGTCTAGGGATGATGTAAAGTCTGTGGGAGGCTGTGAGCGGATCATCCACACACACAATGTCATCTTGAGCATCTGCAGGTTGTGGTATTTGCTGGGGTCCTGGAACCAATCTCCTGTGCATACTAAGGGATGACTGTATTTTATTTCTCATTTGCTTGTTTATCCACTCATTTATTTATTCAACTAATAAAACATCTACCATGGCCAGATGCTGTGCTGTAAATACTACAAGTAGATGGGGACCCCTGAAAGGATATTGTAAAATGCTTGAGAGGCTAATTGCCAGGGAGTTGATGGCTTTGGACAGGAAGTTAGAAGAAGACGATGAGGGACATGTAGGTGAAAAATACTTGCCTACAAGGAGAAGAGGTTCAAGAATGAGCTGCAGGGACAGTGGGTCTTTCTCAAGCAGCACTGGGCATGGTGTGTGGGCAAGGGAGAGGACTGCAAGGGCCCAGTCATGTCTCTGAGTCTGGCTGTCACCCGCCGGCAGGGGCCAGGCTCACCAGATTCCATGTGAAGCAGCTGGGGACTCTGGGCTGATTGAGGTTGACTCGTGCCAGGGCAAACTCTCATGCTTGGCTTTCAGTTGTGTGATGGATTCCCGGGGCTGCTGCACTGCCGTGCTGTAAACAACAGAAATGCATTCTCTCACAGGTCTGGAGACCAGAAGGCTGAAGTCAAGGGGGGTCAGGGTGGGTTCCTTTTGGGGCCTCCGAGGGAGAACCTGTTCCATGTGTCTCCCGGTTTACGGTGGTGGCATCTACCCTTGGTGCTCCTGGCTTGTGGCCGCACCCCCCCAGTCTCTGCCTTCATCTTCCCGCTGCCTTCACGTGTGTTCATGCTCTTCCTCCCTCTCACAAGGACACCAGGTGCACGGGTCACCCAACTCCAGTGTGACCCTATGTTAACTGACTACATCCGTAACAACACCTTTTGAATAAGGTGAAATCTGGGGGACACCATTCAGCCAGTACCTACATACATGGTTTCACCCAAGCTCAAGAACACACTAGTAAATGGAGGCTCCACTTTCTGAAGATCTGGCTGAGACAGGGATGAGCTGATAAATTACTGGAGAGTGGGAGGGAGTCAGAGAAAGCTCAGGCCAGGGTCCCACGAGAAGAAAAGACTCGCCCTGTCCTCTGGGCTGAGGCTGTGGGAGGAACTAGGTGCAAATGCAGGCTGCCTATTGCTGAGCACTTCTGAGCACCTCACCTCCAAGATGGGCAGCCTGCGTCCCTCTCCCAGCTGACCTTTAGAAGGCACCGTGGGGATCTGTAAGGACATTCAAGCACATCTCAAGAATGCCCAAGACCTTGAATGAGTGATTGTGATAACTAAACAATAACCTCCCTAAGCTACCAACCAAACAGTTCTTCAAAGGATCCTGACCGCCCAGCACATGGAAAACGGAGGCTGGGAGACAGAGGTCCTGTGGCATTGTGCCCAGGTTGGCCAGTCTTCGGTAGCCGTGCAGGATGCGCCTTGACATGAACCTGAACTACCACCGCCATACTGTGCTTTGGGCTTGAGAAGTTCCCCTTGCTTATCACATGTGCTCATGCCAATGCCTCCTTTCCTCTAGAAAGTGATTTTTAGGAAACTCAAAGGTTACTTTGCAGCTGGCTGGGAAGGCTGTCTCCCACCCCGCCTCAGGCTCAGCGTTTGGGATTGGCTTTGTCTGGGCACCACTCTTTTCAGAAATAAACTGCACAATCTTTTGTTTTCTTCCTGTTATTATAACTAATAGCTGTGACCTGAATTTTGTCACCAGCTCAATGGGGTCTGCAGGAAATTGGCATTGTATTCTCCTTGTAACTCAGAGACCCCTCCTTCTGACCTACAGATTAGAAGGTTAATTGAGATTTCTGTGTTCACATTCTAATCTGCTTGTATAATGCATTCTAAATCTTTATCTCTTTTATCTGGGCAGTGCTTAATTACTTTTTTGAAACTAAAGCATGATGGTTCAGGGTGAATTACAGGGCAAGAACGTCCCTGATAAACTCAGGGTGGCAGAGAACAAGGATGATTTATGGAGCGTGGGATTCTGAGGGCAACCCAGTCAAATGTATCTTCAGTTCCAGCCTTGTCACCACTGATTGCTTCAGTTTTTCCCAAAGATTTTATGAACTGATTTCCATTGACTTTAGTTTCAACTTTGTGTATGCCACTTATTAAATCAGAATAGGTGATGGTTTACTTTTAAAAACAAGTTGCTTAGATGAAATGGGTTGTTTTTCAAAAAGTAAACCATCGGCAGGATAAAAGACAGCACAGATGTGCACTGTACAACATATTTAGAGGATAAGTTTTTTCTATCATTTTCATTTTTGCCATCTCTGAGCACTTTTGGCACTGCCTGCTATAGAGCAGGGAAGCACAGTGGTTAGGAATACAGGTGTTGGAATCAGTCACCCCTGGCTCACGTCCCATAACTACATTGGCCAGCTGGTGATCCTGGTCCAGTTAGTTGCTTCCTGAATCTATATGACTTTATCTATAAAAGGTCAGGTTAAAGCTATAAGAGTTTTGTGAAGCCCATATGAAACAGTGTGTGAAAGCACTTGGCACAGTGCCTGACACCCAGGAGGCTTACTTGAATGTGGGGTGCTCCTGATGCCGATGGTGATGGTGATGACTGTGATGGTGGTGGTGATGATGGTGATGATGATGATGGTGGTGATGATGATGGTGATGATAATGATGGTGATGAGGTGATAATGACAGTGATAGTGATGATGATGATGACGATGATGGGCTTTTTTTGTTCCCATTCTGATGATGGTGGTGATCAAGATGCTGATGACGATGATGGTGATGATGTGATAATGACTGTGATAGTGTTGACGAGTGATGACAGTGATGATGGTGATGGTGATGACTGTGATGGTGGTGGTGATGATGGTGATGGTGATGATGGTGGTGATAATGATGGTGATGAGGTGATAATGACAGTGGTAGTGATGATGACGGTGATGATGGTGATGGTGGTGATGATGGTGATGATGGTGATGGTGGTGATGATGGTGATGATGATGGTGATGATAATGATGGTGATGATGATGATGGTGATGAGGTGATGATGATGATGGTGATGAGGTGATAATGACAGTGGTAGTGGTGATGATGGTGATAATGACAGTGATGGTGATGATAGTGATGTTGGTGACAATGACGATGGTGATGATAATAATGATGGTGATAATGATAATGGTAATGGAGATGATGATGACAGTGATGATGGCAATGGTGGTGATGATGGTGATGATGATGATGGTGGTGATAAGGATGGTGATGAGGTGATAATGACAGTGATGGTGATGATAGTGATGGTGGTGCTGACAATGATGATGGTGATGGTGGCAGTGATGATGGTGATGATGATGATGCATTAGCATCTGTACAAGGTCTTGAGTTAGGACAATATGTTGCTATTTTTATTTATAATCTTCTATTAGCATACATTTTTCTTTCTAACTAGTTATTTAAGGAAAGAGACCACCTTTAACAAGTTTGTTTTTATGCTTTCCACTCTATATAGCGTGTATCTTGCATATAATATCTGCCATTTGCTTAAGACTTTGGTGCTCTTGACTATAATCCTCTTTTCCTTGGATCACTTGTTTTTATCAACCCTAATTTGTCAGAATTTCTAAACATAACTCTAAGCTTGGGCCTTTTGGGGGTATTTATACATATTGAGTGGCTCCATGTAGGAGGTAGAAAAAGAGAGTCCCTTCTGAGAGAGTTCAAATGGCCCATATTTGACTCATCATTTTCTGAAGATAACCCCCTCCAGCCAAATGGTGAAAGCTTTTTGACCCCTTCAGTGCCTGGGTCTCCTGGGGCCCTGCAAACGCTGCCTGACTGGGTCTTCTTACTACCGGATGACTGAGGTTCTTTAAAAAGCATTCTATGTTAATGGAGTGTGAAACTGTTCCATCATGAACATCATGGTGGTTACTGGTGGACAGGTGGATCACTCCTCCTTCCTGAGTCCACAGGTACCCCAGGCCATGCAGCTCTTTCCCCTTCTCCCACTCTATGTCCCCCTCTCTGCCATCTTCTCATCAGCACAGAGCCCGAGAGCAGCTCCACTGCTTAGAGGCAGCCGGGCTGCCAGGACATGGTGTTCACATCAGCTACATCTTGGGAAATCTTTTTTTTTCAAGAAAAATGATTTATCAGTACAAGTTGAGTATCCCTTATCCAAAATGCTTGGGACCGGAAGCATTCTGGAGTTTGGATTTTTCTGGACTTTGGAATTTTGCATTATACTTAGCAGCTGAGTATCCCTAATCCGTAAATCTGAAATCAGAAATGCTCCAATGAGCATTTCCTTTGAGCTTCATGTCGGCACTCACAGGTTTCAAATTATGGATTTTTGGATTTGAAATGCTCAACCTGTATATATTGAAGGAAATGTGAAGAGGAGAAAATCAGTATTAGACAGCCTATTTTAATTTTTAAAATGTTCACCTAATTCTAGCTCACCACCCTCACATGGTCTCACGTGGTGGATGACAAACATGATCCATGACCCCAGAGCTTTGCTACCCCTCGACTGACAGGCGGGCTCGCTTCGCCTTGGAGTTTCTTCCATCATAGAATGTAGCAAAAGGATGTCATGTGTGTCTTGGAGCTGGGGTTGCAGAGCTTTGAGCTTTGTTCTTACTCTCTTGGACCCCTGAGTCTTCTGTGCTGTGAAGAAGCCTGAAAAGAAAGGACTTGGGACAGAGGTGCAGCCTTGTCTGCTAGCCCCCAGACCCCCAGTCCCCCAGCCCTGCCAGCTCCCAGCCCTCCAGGCCCCCAGTCCCCCAGCCCTGTCAGCCCCCAGTATCCCAGCTCTGCCAGCCCCCAGCCCCCAGGCCCCCAGTCCCCCAGCCCTGCCAGCTCCCAGCCCTCCAGGCCCCCAGGCCCCCAGCCCTGCCAGCCCCCAGCTCCCCCAGCACCCCCCGTCCCCAAGTCCTGCCAGTCCCCAGGCCTGTCAGCTCCCAGGCCCCTGAGACCCCAGCCCTGCTAGCACCCCAGCCCCACCAGCCCCCCATCTCCGCCAGGCCTCCATTCCCCCAGCCCTGCCAGCTCCCAGCCCCCGAGTCCCCCAGCCCCACCACCCCCCACCCCCCAGTCACACTGAGGAGCCAGGTGAGATAGTGGAAGCTGTCCAGCCAACCAGAGTGGTGGGAAATGATCCACTGTTGCTTCACCGCTGAGCTTTGGGGCGGTTAGTTACGGGGCAATAAATAATTGAAACATGCAAAGCGTTTCCTGCTCCCTGTCTCTGCATACTCTTAATAATTTTATGCGGAATAGCTGAATAACACGCTTTTCTGCTGTTTTACTGAAGTACAATGAAGCACAGCCCTGTCGCGTCCTCTTCTTTCCTTTCCTCTCCCTCCCACCCCTGCTCTTAAAAATAGAAATGGAAGGAATACAGGGAGACATTTTTCAACCTTAGAAGAAAGCATTGTGATACATGTTATTTTGTTTTGCTTATGTATCGCCTCACCACATTGTCCTAGGAAATATTTAAAGAGGCTTACAAAAATACATCAGCTATACTCAGATAAAAGTAAGTAATTGGGGGATCTGGGGCAAAAGATAAATAAGGATAAAGAAATAAGATGATGCAGGAGGCAGTGCTACCATCTTTCAAACCAGAGGGCTATTTTCTGTTGCCTATCCTACTATCTCATGTCCAGCCTCCCCCTCTGATTATGTTCAAAGACGCTGTTCAGCCGGGCACCGTCGTCCGCTGCCCCCAGGTCCTGGCAGAGTGATTCACCCCAACAACCCCAGTGCTGTCTCACCCATCTCAACACACACACTTTTCTCACATTCCACTAGCTCCAAAATTGGGATATGTCTTATAGTTGATGGAGTGTCTTTTCATTTCCAGCATTTTCTTTCCTTAACAGCACCCAAATAATGGTGTGTTATGTAAATGACGGCTGCCAAGATTCAATGCAGTGCTGTCGTTGCTAACATCTATACATCAGGCATCGTGCCAAGTGTTCTGACTGATTTAGTCCTCGTCATGAATCTACATAGCAGGTTTCATGACTCCCCCTATTTTACAAACGATGAAACCCCAGGCTGGGAGAGTAAGAGGAACTTCTCTGCTGGGTCACCAAGTGAGGAAGTGTCAGAGCTGAGGTTTGAACTTAGGACATCTGTCGTCAAACCTCAGGCCATCAACAGTTGTTTTGATAAAAATGACTGCATCCTGAGCGATTGCTGTGGCCAGGGCCTGTCCTGTCTCACCAGAGCCAAGCGTGGGCTCAGTGGTGCGGAGATAAATACAGTGCAGTAGCATTTGGAAGTGATGCGATACTTTGCCAGCATTGTGAAGCTAGATCATGCCCTGTGGAGCAGCAGAATTTACCAAATCAGAATTTGATGTTAGGCAATTATGACGTGCATGGGCTCTTTATAAAGTAAGAAAGGAGGCCCTGTGTAATGAGGAGAAGCTGCCTCTCTGCACCATCTTTCCCCACTCAAAACTGTGGCCTAGGCCCACCCCATGTGCCAGCTGGGACAGTCAGATTTCAGGGGGCACAAACCATAAGGACGGAGGAAGGCCAGGAGTCATGTTTATTCAGGACTCACTGTTGTCGTGGTAGCCTTTGCATTGCCTAATTTTGTGTTCCATCTTAGGATAGGCAGAAAGACCTTAGGTTCGCTGGTGGATAAGTGCCTGGACATCTGAACTCAAACTTCTAACGTGCCATTTGCTAGCATGCCCTTTCAATGGGGCACTCAGCCCCTGTGCCCAGGTCTTCCTGTCTGTGAACAGGAATGTGATGGCACCTACTACAAGGCCACGGTGAGGACTCAATGAGTAAATGCACCCCACCCCCTCAAACGGTGCCTGGCACGTAGGGAAGTGACTTGGTGTGAGTTATTACTGCACAAATTGGAATTGTGATTCCTGCCAGTTCTCAAACTTGGACCTACATGTGTGCTCTGGCCTAGACAAGCTTCCCTGAAATCTTCCCATTTCATTTCTTTTCAGTTATTGGGCCAGCTGTCTCTCCCACCCACTCTCCCTGCCTCCCAACAATGACCCACCAGTGCCATGTGGGTGATTCTGCATGTTGCTGGTCGCATTGGATTGTGTGGATTAATATACATCTGTGTAAATTTCTCAGATCCCAGCCAGTCATCAAACTCTTTAACTCCCAAAGGATGGTTTAGTCTGAAAGGGAAGAGGAGGCTCTTTTTTGTTGTTGTTACTCCGGACGGGTGGGAAGGAACAGCAGCACAGCCAGACGTGAGAATACGGCTGCTGTGAACAAAAGTGACAACAGCTCTGTACAAGCCATGTTTTTTTGCAATGTGTCACATCTTTGAATAATGACTGTATTAGTTCTCACACTGCTATAAAGAAATACCTGGCCAGGCATGGTGGCTCACGCCTTTAATCCCAGCACTTTGGGATTTAGATAAAGTACTAATACATGTAATGACATAAAAAGAGAAACCTCAAAAAATGGTACTAAATGAAAGAAGCCAGACCACATGACGTATGGTTCCATTCACATGCAACCGCTGAAAAGGGCACCACTCCAGAAATGACAGATCAGCAGTTGCCAAGGACGGGGATTCCCTAGGAATGGCATGAGGGGTCTTTACTGGAGGGATCAAAAGGTGCTAAAATCAATGGATGCTGGTAGTTGCACAACTTGGTAAATTGTTTGAAAAATAATTGAATTGGGGGCTGGGCGTGGTGGATCACACCTGTAATCCCAGCACTTTGGGAGGCTGAGGCAGGCAGATCCCCTGAGGTCAAGAGTTCAAGACCAGCCTGGCCAACATGGTGAAACCCCGTCTCTACTAAAAATACAAAAAAATTAGCCAGGCGTGGTGGCAGGTGCCGGTAATCCCAGCTACAGGGGGAGCTACAGGAGGCAGGAGGATCACTTGTACCTGGGAGGCGGAGGTTGCAGTGAGCCAAGACTGCGCCATTGCACGCCAGCCTGGGCAACAAGAGCGAAACTCCATCTCAAAAACAAAAACAAACGAACAAAATAAATAATAATTGAATTGGGCGAATTATATGATATGCAAAACATGCCTCCATACAATTAATTTTTTTAAATCTATACCAAAATGTATTGTAGTACACGTTGTTATACTGATTGTATTTTCCCCACCAAAAAAGTGTAGCATGTCATCTGATAATTTCTTTATTTGTGAATATATTATGTGATATATAATTAATCATTAAAAATAGGCATTAAAAAAAGGCTTTCATGCCCAGTAAGCACACGGTAACACCAGGAAGCGTGAGTGTTTCCCTGGGGATTAGCGAGCCTCCAGCTGTTAAACTCCCTGGGCCACGCTCAGCTGTGGCTTATCCCGTGGCCGCACTGCCGCCGCTCCATTGCTGCTGCTGTTTGACCCGCTAGGAATCATAAATGCAGATGCTCTCACCTTCCCAGGACCTCCTTTGCCAGGAACTACAGCGCCAAGGAGGGGAGGGGCCCTGGTGGGAAGCAGGACCTCCTGTGGAGGATGCCTCTGCTAGGAGGACAAAGTGCTGCCTGGGAGGGAACCTTTGTTAGTGAGCGCTTTCCCTTCCCTGCAGTATTTTGCTTCAAGTGATTCTATCATGTTACAAACCAAAGGCTTACCAAAAGAGACACAGATGCACTTTTGCTACAATTAGTGTAGTGTTAAAGAAATAAAGGGCACTTTGGGAGGCCGAGGTGGGCAGATCACGAGGTCAGGAGATCGAGACCATCCTGGCTAACACGGTGAAACCCCATCTCTATTAAAAATACAAAAAATTAGCCAGACGTGGTGGTGGGCGCCTGTAGTCCCAGCTACTCAGGAGGCTGAGGCAGGAGAATGGCGTGAACCCGGGAGGCGGAGCTTGCAGTGAGCCGAGATCGCGCCACCGCACTCCAGCCTGGGTGACAGAGTGAGACTCCGTCTCAAAAGAAAAAGAAAAAGAAATAAAGAGATCGTTTGGGGCTGGTTAAATCAAAAGCATTCTCAATTTCATGGGGGACTGAGCGAGGAGGAAAACCAGGGACTTGGAACCTGCTCGCACCTCATTTCGTAAAATTCCAATCACAGGCCCCTTAGACAGCCATTCTACCTTTGCTAAACATCAGACCACAGAAAGCGTGGGGCGTCTTTGCCAGGCTCATGTTGGGGGCCCTGTGTCCCTGTGAGATGGGGTGGACGTTGTGCGTGTCCAAGTCTCTTGCACCCAACCTCTTTCTTCAAAGGCCTTTTCATTTGGTGGCTCTCCTGCGTACTCAGGGGTCTTCCAGCTCGCAAAACAATGTGTGTGTGTTGGGGGCCTGGGCTCAGGAAAGAGGGGGCATGCAGCGTCTCCCTCCTGACTTCTTCTGTGGCTGCCAAGGGTGTGTTGCTGCTGTGACCCACGGCAGGGCACCTGCAGGCCACTGTCCGCAACCCAGCACCTGAGTCCTGCTGGCTGCGCCTCTGCCAGGCCTGACCCAGTGGTGAGAACTGGGCCAGGCTGCGCCTCCCCGCACCTCACTTGGGACCTGAGAAGAGGCATGGAGCCGAGCGCACCGTTCCCCAGAAATGTTCCCGGAGACAGACGTGCTCGGAGGCTCTCTTCCCAATCCAGCACCAGAACCCCCATCTGCAGCTTCCTCTCCACAGAGCAGCCCTTCTCCTCTCCGCGTGGAACTGACAGTCACCTCCAAGCAGGGGACAGCTCCACACTGTACAGGACGTCTGGTCACACCTGTGGACAGAAAAGCCCCACACGTCTCTGAACATGAATGGAGTCGCTGCATCAGTGGGTTCCCATGATAGACGTGGGGTGGCAGCTGGACGTGTGTGCGCATGTGTGTGAGTGTGAGTGCGTGTGCAGGCGGCGGGATGTGTCTGCAGAGTGCTGTGATGGGTGAGTGCCTGGCTGTGGGTGAGTTGGTGGGTGTGTGAGTGCCTGTGGCTGTGGGAGAGTTGGTGTGTGTGTGAGCACCTGACTGTGGGATAGTCGATGAGCGAGTAGGTGGGAGTGCGTGAGTGTGTGAAGGAGGTGAGGGGGAGGGAGGTGACAGGAAGGAGAGGTGATGGGGGAGGTGAGGTGACAGGGAGGAGAGGCAATGGAGAGGGAGGTGACAGGGGGATGGAGGTGACAGGGAGGAGAGGTGATGGGGAAGAGAGGCGACGGGTGGGGGAGGAGAGGCGACGAGAAGGTAGGTGATGTGACGGGGAGGAGAGGTGACAGGGTAAAAGAGGTGATAGGAAGGAGAGAGGATGAGGAGGAGAGTTGACAGGGGAAGGGAGAGGATGGGGAGGAGATGGGATGGGAAGGGAGGGGACAGAGAGGAGAGGTGACAGGGGAAGGGAGGGGATGTGGAGGAGATGGGATGGGAAGGGAGGGGACGGAGAGGAGAGGTGATGGGGAAGGGAGGGGACAGGAAGGAGACGGGATGGGGAGGAGAGAGTATGGGGAGGAGAGGTGACAGGGAGAAGAGAAGATGGGGAGGAGAGGGGATGGGGAGGAAAGGAGGGACAGGGAGGAGAGGGGATGGGGAGGAGAGGGGACAGGGGAAGGAAGGGAACAGGGAGGAGAGGGGACGGGGAAGGGAGGGGACAGGGAGGAGAAGGGACAGGGGAAGGGAGGGGACAGGGCAGGAGAGGGGACAGGGGAAGGGAAGGGGCGAGGAGGAGAGGGAATGGGGAGGAGAAGGGATGGGGAGGAGAGCTGACAGGGGAAGGGAGGAGATGGGAAGGAGAGGGGACAGGGAAAGGGAGGGGACAGGGGAGGAGAGGGGACGGGGAGGAGAGGGGATGGGAAGAGGAGGTGACAGGGGAAGAGGGGACAGGGAGGAGAGGGGATGAGGAAGAGAGGGGATGGGGAGGAGAGCTGACAGGGGAAGGGAGGGAACAGGGAGGAGAGGGGACAGGGAAGGGAGGGGACAGGGAGGAGAAGGGACAGGGGAAGGGAGGGGACAGGGCAGGAGAGGGGACAGGGGAAGGGAGGGGAAGGGGAGGAGAGGGGACAGGAAGGAGAGGGGATGGGGAGGAGAGGGGATGGGAGGAGGGGGATGGGGAGGAGGGGGATGGGGAGGAGAGGGGACAGGAGGAGAGGGGACGGGAAAAGGGAGGGGACGGGGAAGAGACGGGAGAGGGAGGAGAGGTGGCAGGGGAAGGGAGGGGTGGGGAGAAGAGGGGACAGGGGAAGGGAGGGGATGGGGAGGGGAGGGGACAGGGAGGAGAGGGGAAGGGGACGGGGAGGGGATGGGGAGGAGAGGGGATCGGGAGAAGAGCTGACAGGGGAAGGGAGGGGATGGGAAGGAGAGGGGACAGGGAAAGGGAGGGGACAGGGCAGGAGAGGGGACGGGGGAAGGGAGGGGAAGGGGAGGAGAGGGGATGGGGAGGAGAGGTGATAGAGGAAGGGAGGGGTGGGTAGAAGAGGGAACAGGGGAAGGGAGGGAATGGGGAGGGAAGGGGACGGAGAGGGGAGGTTGGGGCTCCACACGCTTGGTCATTCATCTCGTCAGGGTTTCTTTGGTTTGGTGTGGCTCCCTGGCAGCTGTTGTTTCTTTGGGATGCTAAGAGGAGGGGAGACCGCTTTCTTCAGATGTGTGCATTCCGCTATGTTGAGGAAGCTGGCTTCTCAGAGGACGCAGGTGCAACTCCAGGATCACCGGAGGCCGAGTGTAAGGCCTGGCCCTTGGTGACATGGCTCCAGTGCTTCCTGGCAGAGGCCCCACCCTCCACAGCCCAAGGAGAAGGCTCAGTCCTAAAGTGACCACCAACTCGGGGTGGGATCTGATGTCACGGGGGTGCAGGGGGGTCAGACAGAGGACGGCCTAAGGAACCAAGCATAGTCACGCACCTTTCACGCTGTTGCCTCCAACTTTGAGATTGGGCCGGATCTGACAAGAAATGCTTTCAACTCCATGGGACCAAGTCCTTGGATCAAAAGCAAAGGACGCAGACTTATATGTGTTTACGCAGAGTAATTCACTTTGAGGAAGCACCTTTGTTTACCCTTCATTTAAAGAGTGCAGGACCACCCCATCCGCCTCTGGCCCAGGACCATGCTAGGGACCACAGCTCACATCCTGCAGGTGTGGGGCGTGGAGAGCAACTCCGGGAGGCTCTGCGGGACCCTGGCGGCCAGTTACATGCCCACCAAGAGAGATGGCCACACTGAGAACCAAAGGGGCTGTTTTTCTCCCAGGCTGATGAAACCTCTGCTTCAGTTCCTGACTGGAGAGAGGGGAGCCGTTATCTCATGAACAAGGGCTTCCTTTCTCTGTTGGAGAGGAGTTTACGAGGAGAGAGGGGCGGAGGTCTCAAGGAAATCGTGTGTGACACACAAATGCGGAATGACGGGCTCCACAAGCAGTTCAGGGGGACCTGGGAGAAGCCTGGGTCCCTGTGTCCCCAGAAGCCGCAGCCCCTCCCCAGCCAGCCCAATGTGTAGGCAGAAGCTGGGACCGGCCAATCCAAAGTCCACCGGGGGCGAGTTCCTTTCCTCTTGTTTAGAGAGTTGGTTTCCCTGTGATTCCTGGAGGTGCCCTGCTGAACTCAAGCAGGCAGGTGCCATGCACGTAAGCAGGGTTCTTTATGCCATGCGGGGCTGCTCAAATCTCGAGAGTCTTAAGATGAAAGGGAAAATAATGAAAACATGGAAACTCGTGGTCCGGAGGGAACACAGGCCCGCCGTGTTCCCACACTCGAGGTCAGCGGGTGTGCCCTCACACTGGAGTGCCCCTGCATGCCTAGAGGCCCAGTGCTCTCCTCCAGCAGCCCATCTCAGGTTTTGTGTCCTAACCAGGCTGGGTCACCAGGCACAGCAGCCCGCCTGTTCTAGAGCTTTCTGAAGATCCATTGCTGTCTCGCGCTCTCATAAATGCAAAGCTGTGCTTGCCCCAACCATATCTCCCCCATAACCAACCATATTTCCCCCATAACCAACCATATCTCCCCCATAACCAACCACATCTCCCCCATAACCAACCATATCTCCCCCATAACCAACCCGGGAGATGGAGCAGCAATCGGGATGGTCCCACGTGGTCTGTGCCATGGTGACAGCAGGTGCCCAGAAAGGAGACTCAGGATGGAGTCTCCCCAGGCAGCTCCCAGGCCGAGCAGGAGCCTCCGGACCCGGCAGGGAGAGGCTGTACAGCCTGAGCTGGTGCCTGCACCCCCAGAGCTCCCCTGGGCTCCCGGGCTTCCGTTCAGCAGCTGCCTGATGTGGGGCGGCGAGGACGGATTAGACCCCGTCCCTGCCTTGTGGAATAATGCACCCAGCCCTGAGCACCTGGCAAAATGCCCTGAGAGTCAGAAAGAGGAAGTGGAGTGGATTCAGGGGACCTCTCCAGACCCCTGCCTGGGAACTGCCCCTGTGTGCGCCACCCCCTGCGGGAGGGACAAACCCTTCCCTGATCAATGGCAACCTGGAGGATGAAGGGGCTCAGAAGGCTGCCTTTTCCGCGGGGAGTCCCCCCAGGAGAAAGCTGCACAGGTGGCATATCAGGGGTGTTTGTGTTCAGAGAAGCAGTAGGGGCTGGGCCGTGGAAGAGCACGTGAGAAAGAGAGGATATCAGAGGCCCAGACACACTGAAAGATCTCTGCAAGGGCAGAGACATAGGCCAGACATTTCTAGTTTGAGGAGCTCATGGGGCTGACAGGAGCAAGCTGGAAATGCCAAATGCTAATGTGAATTCTTATGAGTTATTTTTGGATGTGGCCATGCCAATTTTCAAACTGTGGAAGGAATCCGGTATTGATGGTTTGAGTTCCAGGTGAGCCCATCTCAGCCTGTGGGCACCACCGTGCCAGCAGTACCCAGGGGGCCTCCTGCCATCCATGGATCTGTGCACCTCAGGCCCTGTGAAGTCGGAGGCTCTTGCACAATCTGCCGAGCCCTGTGATGGGCTTGCCATTGCAGGCAGGCCTGCTGGTGGGAGTGTGGGCTGAGCCATGCCTGTGGTCCTTATCTTCTCCCCAGCAAATTATCTGGGCTGCATGCTACACCGAGTTCTGCCTGGTCCCTGAGGACCCCAAACCCACTGCAGTCCAACCCTCTGACATTGGCCGACACCGTCTGACTCGCCCCATATCCGAGATCCTCAGACCCACCAGCATTGTCAGCATCACCTGGGCCTCACTCCAGACCCACAGAACCAGAAGCTCTGGGGGTGAGACTGAGCCTCTGTTGGGTAACGGCCTTCCCAGTGCTCTGACGCACTGCAGTGTGAGAAGCTTGGCTCTAATTTTACCTAATTTCTCACCTACCAACCACTTCTATTTTTTTTTTTTAGATCTTCAATGATGATTTCCAATATTCTCAATATCTTCTCTGAAGGCCTTTTCTCTTTTTTTTCCTCCCTGGGTGATCTCATCTGGTCTATGGCTGTAAATGCCATTTACAGGTTGCTCATTTAGAACCCAGGCCCAACCTTTCTCCTGAGCTTCTACCTCCAACCATTTGCTTCTGTACCACCTGTCTAGGCGGCAGCCCAAGCCATCTGCAATGGCAGATGGAAGTTGTTCCCAAATGTTCACTTCCTCTGAGTCATAAGATTATGGTTCCCCACCCCTGCCTTGTGTCTTGGCCCCAACATCTCCATGAGAGAAGCATGGACCCTGCCTTGTTGATTCAACTTGGCTGTACGACCAGCTCTGCTTAATGAGACAAGAGTGGATGTGACCTTGGCCTTCTGAGCAGTCCTGACTCCCTGACCCTCTAAAGGCCTTTATTCTCTTCCTCTTCCTGAAACACGCTTCCTCCAGATGTTTTCACGGCCTGCTTCTCCAATTCCTTTGGGTCTTTACTGGACCGTCACCTCAAAAATGCCACACTGCTGCTCTTCAAGCCAAGCCCCCACCCCCACCCCTCCCGCCACCTGGCTCCCATCATCCTCTGCTCATCTTCGTGCTGCTGGGATGAGCAATTCTCCTGATTGTCTGCTACTGAGGTCCACTACTTCTAAAGGAGCCTCCCAGCTGTTTGTTTCCATGTCTCCAAACATAGCACAGCGTTTCCTGTTTTGTTTTCTTCCATGAGAGGCTGCCTATGTCATTGCTTCTGTCCACTTGGTTGGAAGGTCCTGGAATCAGCTTCCTCCTGAAAGTAGACCCTGTATATCCAAGATTAGACCCTGCCCCACGGTGAACTTTCTGCAGGCAGGAGCTATCATCTAGATCTCTCTGCCTCCATCACCAAACCAAGCACCTGGTTCAGTGCTGAGGCCCAAAGATATCCGTGTGATAGAATCTTTCAAGAAAGGGAGATTTATGACATGGCCAAACCAATGTCTCAGAAAAGTCAATTCAACCCTGAGCAAACCAAGATATGTCTGTGGTAGGATGGCACAAGGAATTCCCATCTAGCTTGAGGCAGCCGCTCCTGGGTTTTTGTGCTTTGCATTCAGAAATAAGGCACTAGAGTAGAGGGTGGCTCAGGGAGCAGAGGGGGTTGGAAGAGAAGTGCCAAAAGCAGCAACATAAATGACATTGGAAGATGCGAGTTCACAGAGATAAGCCGGGAGAGAAGGGATGGAGGGAGGCAGTGGCTGGAGATGGGTGGCATGGTGAGGTCCAGGCTGTGCTGTGCTGCATCCCCTGCTCGGCCCCCACCCCAGGGAGGGATTGGTGCTTATAGGCTTCATGTGTGGTACAAGGAGATGGATGATGCTGATTGTTTTCAGCCCACCTCTTCTCTTAGCAGGGCATACGCCCACCTGACAATTACTTAGTCTGAGTTTAAATTCTTCATCTCAAAGTAAAGAATATGAGAGCATCCCTTTACCCTTAACTAGCACAACTATCAAGAGCCTTCTGGGGCCTCCTTGGGGTAAACTTGGAAACTGCTCAGGCAGGTGGCCACCAATCCTTGGGAGTATAGTTTTTATCAACAACACATTCTTTTCTTGGTGACAAATCTTGCTTCTAAGAAGTTGTCCTTCAGAAGCTGTAATTTTCAGAACATGAGGTGGTAACTCATTGTAAGAAGCCTGTGGGTTATACAAAAGAAAAGGGGGAACGAGACGTATCTTCATGGACAGGGAGCAAAGCTGGTGGGCTTGTCACTCACATTGATGCGACTGATCAATCCAGGGGATGCTGGAATTAAACCAGCTCCTGTGCAGCCCGGGCCGACAGCCCCCATATTTATTTGTAGAGCAGTTTGGTGATAAGAATTGAAGAAGTACTTACTTATGATATTTGAGTTTTCCCAATAAGGCTGGCCATCCTCATTTTGTAGGTGAGGAAAGAGACTTGGAGGAAGTGGGGCTCCGAGGTTGACGCCAGCCATCCTCTGGCTCTCCCTCCTGTACTGTTCCTACTGCTCTCAGAACACCTGCATCTTGAATCACTTGTTTCTCCAACCAGTTCTTTAAGCACCACCCAGGAGTTAAACATTCTAAAACATTTGCCAAATCTTTGTCAAAGCAGGAGCTGGAGGCCAGCGCTTGCCCTGGACAATGGCAGAGTCTGTAAATCCACTTTTTAACACCTGTGGCACCTGTGGGCTCCAGATGGCAGAGGACTCTGATTAGCTCCGTGAACACCATGCTCCAGCAAACAGTGGGAGGCTGAAAGGGAGGCAGCGCTCGTGCATCCACATGGACTCGAATGAAGCCTCCGGTGCTGCTTCCCAGTGTGGACACATTTCCTGGCTGCTTGAAATATCCTCTTGGGCTTGTTAGTGGCTTCGAGCAGGAGCATGGGAGTTGGGTCAGGGCAGGCCCAGGGTGGAGGGGAGTGGGGGCAAAGGGGTGACTATTTGGGAGTTCTGCCCAGGGGGACACTTATTTGTAGGACACTTCCAGATAGTTGAAAGGATATAAAGACTAAAGAAAAAAAAACAGCAATTATCTTGCATGGAGCACAGAAGAATGCCCAAGAAGCACGTACGTGTCAGTCGACGTGAGCGGGGCCTCACTGCTTGGTGACTGCTAGAGAGATGGGGACCGGCTGGTTGAAATCATGGAGACGTTCTCTTCTGCCTTCCCTCCAGTCTGTGGCCCTCCCTCACCCATTGGCAGATGTGCAGATGAGAATCTGGGCACCTGGATTCTGTTCTCTGCTGCCTCCTGCTGCACTCCTGCGAAGGTGCTGGGAACCCCGGCGTGTGGCAGTAACTGTTTCTGAGTCAACGCTAGACGAATTGATTGCGTAGTCTGGGTTCTGATTGTGAGATCCCAGTGTCACTTCAGACGTGTGCCTGACGAAATTTCCCACGCTGCCTTCCCTGTTCACAGCAAACATCACCAATGTGTCTCGGTGCCTTGTCCTAGATCTCTTCCCAACACAATGCTCCCTGCAGCTGCATCCAATGCAGGGAGTTGGCTCATGACGAGGAGCCTGTGGACCTGCGGGCTACAGAGTCATGTGGATTTGGAACCAACCCATGCGCTGGGTCAAATGTGCTGGCTGACAACCACACCTCAGGGGGCTTTGCTGAGATGCAACTTCCAGACCAAGCCACAGGCACTGCGGAAAGCTCCTTCCTCCCGGTGGGGCCAACAGAAGGTCACTTCCGAGGTTCCAGTCTTATCAAACCCCCCATGGCTTGTCTCTTCCCGAATTCTCTCCTCCATGGGTCAGATGTCTGCGGTGCACGTGGCCTTCTCTCCCTCAACATAGTGAGCTCTGCTCAGCCAGCACATCTAACTCAATGCATGGGTTGGTTCCCACATGGGAGGTCTCGTTCATGTTGCTCCCGAGCTTGGGGGGACAACGCCTGCTCTCTCCAAAGCCTAAGCACTGGTGGTGCCCAAGGTGTGAGCACACAGGAGCCCAGAAGGAGGGCAGGATGAGCCACTAAAGGGACCCAGCCAGCTCAGCTGAATGTAGCCCTCCTCTCGTTGCTTTATTCCACCCACCACTGCCCACCGACAGGAATCACTGGAGACACATTTTTGGCTTATATGAGGTCTCAAATTTGTGTTCTTTGAATTAAAAAAGAGGATTGTGTTCTGTCTTGGATCTCCCTTAGATAGCACCGCACTGTCTGGGAGGAGAGCACCAGTGCCAGCTGGGGCAAGAGGGCTGGGGCTGGAGTCAGCACCCAGGGCAGGAGGGCTGTGGCCGGAGTCCAGCAGCTGAGTACTTCGGCCCCCAGGCTCTGTGGTGACCATGGGCCTGGCCGTGGAGGCCGTGGGAGGTGGTGTCGGCCTCATCCTCAGTCTCAGCTGTGAGACTGAGGTTTGCCATGGGCGGGGGCTGTGCGGGCCCAGGGCTAGTGTGGGTGACTCTGGAGACTGGGGAGGGGCAGGGCTTTGAGGAGGGGCATCCTGTATCTCAGTTTCCCCACCCCACTCCCTTCTCCTATTGTGCCACCCTGCAGCTCTGAGAACTGGTTCTTCTCCAACTTCTGTTTCCACTTGAAAGCCCAGGCTCTAGGGGTGAGCTGGGCGGCCTCCTCCCTCTTCTTGGGACGCCTTCCATGCGCCTGTGTGCCGGCAGCACCTCCTTCCATTGCAGACCTCAGCTCAGAGCTCCTCTCCTCTGGGAAGGCCTCCTGGGTTGCTTCGGCTGATGTGGGCACATTTCTCATTGCTCAGTGCCCATAGATGCAGGTGCCAACTGGGTCACTACTGTCTTTCAATTCTGTGGGTCTTGGCTTGTTGGAAACAGAAACTGGGCTTCACGATATTTGTATTTGCAGGCTTACCGTTGTACCGTTGTACCTGACACTCATTAGGTGCTCAATAAACCCTTAGAGAATTCGTAAATCAAGTGGTCTTCAGTTGCTGGTGATGAGGGAGGGGCCCTCTGAAAGGAGAATTACCTGCATTGTAAGGTGAGGCTGGAAGTCTTTGGAAAAACATCATGGGATAATTCAAAAATAAAACCAGGCCTCTGTGACTATTAAATAACCTTGGGCTTTTTGCTTCTGTCTGCCATGCCTGTGTCTGCCTTTGACATAATGGCCACCAACACCAACACCAACACCACTGGGCACAAGATTCAAGATATAGCACTTTAAAATAAGCAACAGATTATTATCCCGGCCTTGAATAAAAGTGTTGGTGTGAGTCTTTTATTTCCAAATTCTATGCTTTCCCATCACAGAGAATCTGATAGGAGAATTCGAGTGGTCGTGACTGCCATGAGCTGCCAGAACATCCTCCAGCAGGGGCACGGCACCCCTGTAGCACCCGTGACATTGCCAGCCCTTTCCTCAGGGCCTCTGGGCCCCTTGTGGGCAGGGCCATCTTTATACCTCCCTCTCTTCCCAGCCCATAACTGGTACTAAGTAAAATTCAAGAATATTTGCTGACTTGCTTGGCAGTGATGTAAGAGAGGCTGTTTACGATCTTGTCCGTGATGCTAACCTGATCTTTGGGAGGGATGCTTAGCGCAAGGTGCAATCTTTCCATTCGATGGTCTGTAAGCAGTTTCTGGAGGAAAACTCCCAGAAATAATCTGAAGAATCAGGAGCACCCCTTCCCACTGCCTGTCAGTGTGCAGTAAAGAGCCGCCGTCATATCAGCAGAGGAGTGAGTTTGCTTCACTCTGGGGGAATGGGGTGTAAAGCAGGAAATAGGAAAGCCAGGATGTCTGGTAATATCTTTGGGAGCACATATGATTACAGGTCTGGGTGACACTCAGAAGTGAGAAGGTTTTGTCCCACCTATGGCAGCTGGAGGCCTCTGTGGCCTGTGTCACCTGCTGTGACTGGGGTTTGTCTCCTCCTCTGCTGTGGGAAATGATAACCACTCCCTAGGTAATCCAGGGTCCAGTTTGGCAATGGCTGTGACAGCTGAGGCTTGCAGAACCCGGAAGGAGGAAGCCAACCTAAGACAGCACTGCCCTTCCCTGTGCCAGGAAGGCTCAACACAGACAGATAGATGCCTGCAGGAAAGGGCGGCTGCAGTGGGAATGTGGACTGAAGCTTAGATGAAATAAGTGCACAAAGAACGCTCAGAATTTGGCTCATTATATTATACAAATAATATCCCAGATACCTGCTGAAATTGGAAGGCCGTACACAGCGACCATGAAAAGGATAAAGTGCAGACTGGTGATTGACTGGTCAATGTGTATGCAACGTGGGCAGCTTGGACTCTGATACTTTGTGCAGGAGACGATAGTCCAAGGATCACCATTATGACACATTATTTCTTAGTGACAGATAATGGAATAAAATCATCTTTATAAATGTTTACCTATTTTTTTAACTTACACATTTTCTATAAAAGTATTATTATTATTATTATTAACAAAGAAGTCTTAGCATTGGATCTCACTTGTTGCTTCTGTGAGGTGCTCGTTCGCGTGTTCCTGGGAGCGCCCTGCCCAGGACCTGCTGGCCGGGTGCAAGCTCTTCTCTTGGACCAGGAACAGACGGGGGGCCTGGTGCTGCCCTGTCTCCTCAGCAGGAGCTTCGGAGAGAACAGTGAATGTGCACAGCACCTGCAGCCAGAGGTGGGAGGGCCAGGAGAGTGCTGGGAGGGGAGGTCAGTGGGGAGGGTGGATGGGCTGCAGGGGTGTCCCCAGGATGCTTAACAGAGAGCCGCAGGCTGATCTAACAAAAGGAATTCTCTCTCTTGGTCCCAAATCCAAGAGCGGAGGGCTGGCCCCCTCAGAGGCTTGGAGGCAGGGTCTGCTCCAGGCTCCCCACTGGGCTGTGGCTTCTCCCTGGCCCCTTTCACGTCACCTTCCCTCTGCACCTGTCTCTGCGTCCAAACTCCCCCTTCTCATGAGGCCTTTGATGGTATTAGATTAGGGCCTGCCTGAATGACCTCATTTTTAACTTGATTTCCTCATTAAGGCCAGGTTTTCACACACAGTCACATTCTGGGGTAACTTAGGACTCCAACATGCCTTTTTAGGGAGACACAGTTTAACTCCTAACAGGGCCAGTGCACGGGTGCTTGGTATTTGGTCACTGGTCTCCAGCCCAGCCGTCGTGGGAGGATCTTGTGAGGGGCTCTGCCGTGCAGGTGAGGAGGGGGAAGGGGCAGAACCACCATAAGGAGCTGGGTGGGAATTTGTGCGGCTGTGCCAGGCTGCGGAGATGATTGGGGGGCACATTCATCATTTAGTGGATGGAGGCTGGGGTGCTTGTCCCACAGAGTGGGGACATCTCCTAATAGAGAAGAGCTGTGTATTAGTCTATTCCACACTGCTATAAAGGACTGCCTGAAACTGGGTAATTTTTACAGGAAAGAGGTTTAATTGACTCACAGTTCAGCATGGCTGGGGAGGGCTCAGCAAACTGACAATCATGGCGGAAGGGGAAGCAAACTCGTCCTTCTTCACATGATGGCAGGAAGGAGAAGTGCCGAGCAAAGGGGAAAAAGCCTCTTATAAAACCACCAGATGTCGTGAGAACTCACTCACTATCACGACAACAGCAGCATGGGGGAAACCACCCCCATGATTCAATTCCTTCCCACCAGGCTCCCCCCACGACATGGGACTATGGGAACTATAATCAAGATGAGATTTGGGTGGGGACACAGATAAATCATATCAAGCTGGCTCTGACTTATATCCTTCATACCTTCCAGATGTCTCACCGGGTCCCTAGGGAGCTAGAAGTTGGCTTGTAATTCTTTGCACTGGAACCTGACTCCATTTTGTATGTAAACATCAAGAATTTTTTGCATGGCTTTAGCGTACACTGAATGTTCCGAGAATGTAACTAGAATAAAGATTGAACTTTGTTTTGTTTGAGGATTTTCTGGGAATTATTTACCATCTTGGGAAATCACGCCGCTGATGTCAATGGCCCTGCAGTCCTCAGGTGCCGGTACCCTGTACTCACGCCGCTGATGTCAATGGCCCTGCAGTCCTCAGGTGCCGGTACCCTGTACTCTCACACTTGTAATTCTCACACTTACAAGATGGTGTACACAAATAAAAGCTTGTGTCTATTGATCTATAATTCCTTACCTGTAGCTCAGAATTCTAAACAGCCTTGAAAACCCAAAGTGCTTTTCTTCATCCATTTAGTGGCAAAATCTGACCTGAAACAACAGGACACGACTGGGGTGTGCAAGGCCCCAGGCAAAGCCTCTTCTGAAGAGCCCTGATTATTTAAACTATTTGAATCACCTACAACCAGCACGTCAGCCCCATTCTGGCAGCCCAGTCTCACACGATTGTGTAGGAGACATGCTGTGCCTACCAGTGGGAGCCATCCTGGGCCAGGCTGTCAGCCTGGAACAGGGCTCGGCCATTGGCCCCAGAACAACCCCCAGGGGCAAGTCCCAGAGTTGGTCAGCCCCATACATGGACTACAGGGTCGGAGGGGCCACCCAGAAGAGAAATGGGAACAGGGCCTATGTGGGCTTAGGTGGGGCTCCAGGTGCTACTCCACCCAGGTGGCACTGCTGTGTGGGCCAGCCCTGTCACTCCGAGGCACGGCAGGTCAGAGCACGTGCTTCCATGAGGTGGTGGTCGGGGGCTTGGGGCCAGGTCCCAGGGCCGGGGGCTGCATGCCCAACCCAAGGGGAGTCTGTGCTATACTCGTGTGAGGCTATTAATAGCCAATTTCTAAAATCCTGCTCTGTGTGATTACACATTGTGCTTGGGAACCATTAATGTGTTTGATTAGAAGATGCTGCTCCAGGTCCTAACAGAGTTGATCGAATGTGCAATGTAAGGAGGCCATTTCCATGAAAAAGTCCTTGGAAACAGGAATTCTGAAACACATCTTCACTCAGGGGTTTCGGATAAAATTAGAGCCCTTTCCTCTAGGGTAATCATGCTTGAGAATTTACATACTAAACACATAAACACAGGATTTTTTTCATTAGTTATTTTCATTTTATTTTTCCTTCATGTCATGGTAGGGGCATCTGTAGATTTATTTGTAAAATTCTGTATGTAGCTGGGTGCTGTTTTCTATGGATTAGATTCATTGTGGAGAGTGTCACACTATAAACAATGGCAAGACAGTGGCGGCAGGAGATGGGAGGTGGCCAGAGACTGAACGCAGCTGCCCCGGCTGGATGGTCTCATTGTTGAGTTCAGGGGCAGGGTGGGTGACTGAGAACCTCTCTGCAAATTCTGCCTGGCTCCCTGGCCCAGAGCTGGCTCAAAGACAGACGGCGTGGGAATCTATCTAGCTGGGGAAAATCAGAATCAGGGGTGCTCTGCTCTCAAAGGTTTTCATATGATAATTATTCAAGGCGTGGAGGACATTGACAGAGGGATGAAATGAGCTATATTAGGACTTGCCTTGGAGATGTCCCCAGGGTCCCTGTGGCTAGAAAAGCCTGGAGACTGAAATGTACCCAGGAAGGCAGCAGCCGCCGGGAGGCGGCTCACCAGATGCCAGGGCAGAAATAAATCCTGCTGGCTCAAGAAGTCAGACCAGAGAAAGAATTCAAATGCAAATAGAAAGGGCGAACTGTGTCCTTATCAGCGTTTGGCACATCTGATAAAACAATGCCTGGCCACTGATGAATTCATGAAACCCAGAGAAAAAACTAAGAAAGCTCCGGGTATGGAAAACAGAAGAGAATCCAGGAAATGGTAGCCTGGCTCTAAACAGCTAATGCTGGAGTGCCTGATTGTAGGTGAGCCCGCTGAAGGGCTGCGTTTCATTTCCAACGCCAGGTGATGTTTTCCTGGGAAAGATCTGGACTCCGCCTCGCCTTCTGCTCACCCAGGTCCACTGTTCCTGCAGCCTCGGGCTCAGCAGTGGATGTGACTTTGGGTCCAAATGACAAGTGTTCCAAGCTAATGCCACGGTCCCCATCAGCTTCTTAGCACCCTTGAAGAATTTCTCAACTCTTCCTGGTGGACCCAGATGTGTGTGTGTGTGTGTATAAGTGTATGTGTGTGTGTGTGTATGTATCAGTGTGTGTATGTGTGTATAAATGTGTTTGTGTATAAGTGTGTGTGTATAAGCATGTGTGTAGGTGTATTTGTGTGTGTAAATCTCTGTATAACTGTGTGTGTGTACATGTGTATGCGTGTCTCTGTGTGAGTGTGTATGTGTATGTGTGTATCGTGTGTGTATGTATATGTGTGTGTATAAACGTATGTGTGTATATGTATAAGTGTGTGTATGTGTGTATAGTGTTTGTGTGTAAGTGTGTACGTATAAGCATGTGTGTATGTGTGTATAAATGTGTGTAAGTGTACGCGTGTGAGTGTGTAAATCTGGGTATAAGCGTGTTTGTGTGTGTGAGTGTGTATATGTGTATGTGTGTCTCTCTGTGTGCGTGTGTATGTGTATGTAAGTGTGTATGCGTGTGTGTATGTATGTGTGTGTGTGAGTGTGTGTGTGTGACACATTCCGGCCCAGTCACCTCTGTTTCCCATGAAACTGCATGATGGGACCTCACTGCTGTACTGGTCAGGGTTCTCCAGAGCGACAGAACCACTGGGAGAGGCAGATACACACTGATTGGGAGGAACGGCTTCCACTATCCCCGTAGCTGGTGCGTCGCAGGATCTGTTGCGTGAGGTTCAGCTGGTGACCCGAAGAGGCGCGGGGGTCCTTCAGTCTGGAGGAGCAGCTTGAGATCCAGAAGAACTTAAGATTCTGCTCGAGTTCAAAAGCAGGAAAAAAGCCGAGGTCCCACTTCGAAGGCTATGAGGCAGGAAGAACTCCCCTCTCCTCCGGGGGTCAGGGGGTTCCTGGTGCGTGTTCTGTTGAGGTTTCTGCTGCTGGATGAGCCCTCACACACACACACATCAGGGAGGACACCCACTTTACTTAGTGCAGCGAGTCAAATGCTGATCTCGCCCAAAACACCCTCTGGACACACCCGGGATAATGTTTCACCCGCAGCCCAGTCAGGTTGGCACAAAATCCAGCACCGCGGCCCATCACGTGAAAAAGCTGCTGCTTCTGTTCTTCGCCACCCCTACTCCATCATGTGAAAAGCTGCTTCTACTGTTCTTAGCTCCCCCCATCATGTGAAAAAGCCGCTTCTTCTGTTCTTCGCCCCGCCACTCCACCATGTGAAAAGCTGCTTCTCCTGTTCTTAGCTCCCGCTCCATCATGAGAAAAAGCTGCTTCTTCTCCTGTTCTTAGCCTCCCCCACCCCCTCAGGCCTCCTCCCAGGCAGCTCCACACCCGACTGGGTCTCGGGGGAGCCCTGCGTCAGCACCAGCCCTCACACTTGCTATCAGGGCTCAGACCCGCGCCTGCAGCTCGATGGAGGCAGATCCCACACATTCCCCTCAACCCTTCTCCCGCCTTCCCCGCCCCTGTTACGCTCATGTCCCATTCACTCCAGAGAACACAAGCGGTTCTGGTCAGGCGGGGTGACCTCTGCCTTGGAGGGAGCCACAGCCATCTGCTCTGTGAGAGGCGGACGGGCCGCACCCAAGGCCTAGTGCGGGGGGTGTGGAGGGGCGTGTTCCCTCTGAGCTGGCTTGCAGGGGCAGCATTCAAAGGGACTTGCATGGAACATGTTGTCTTTTCCAAAATATCAAAGATGAGTAAAAATGCATATATCTAAAGCAGTAGGGGAGGTTAGCTGGGGACCCCCGAGCTCTTGGTCACAGAAGAGGGTAAGTATAGGCTGCACAACTGACCCCCAGCCTTCCTGTTGCCCTTTTAAAGGAGAGCACCCTAAGGAACTGGTCACGTTTCTAAAATGTGTGTGCATGGGAGGGTGTGTGCGAGGATGTTTGTGTGCATGGATGTTTGTGTGCATGAGAGTGTGTGCATGGGAGTGTGTGCATGGGACTGTGTGTGCATGGGACTGTGTGCATGTGAGTGTGTGTGCATGGGACTGTGTGTGCATGGGAGTGTGTGCATGGGACTGTGTGCATAGGAGTGTGTGTGCATGGGAGTGTGTGTGCGTGGGAGTGTGTGCATGGGACTGTGTGCATGGAGTGTGTGTGCATGTGAGTGTGTGCATGGAGTGTGTGTGCATGGGAGTGTGTGTGCATGGGAGTGTGTGCATGGAGTGTGTGTGCATGGGAGTGCGTGCATGGGACTGTGTGCATGGGAATGTGTGTGCATGGGACTGTGTGCATGGAGTGTGTGTGCATGGAGTGTGTGTGCATGGGAGTGCATGCATGGGACTTTGTGCATGGAGTGTGTGTGCATGGGACTGTGTGCATGGAGTGTGTGTGCATGGGACTGTGTGCATGGAGTGTGTGCATGGGACTGTGTGCATGGAGTGTGTGCATGGGAGTGTGTGTGCATGGGAGTGCGTGCATGGGAGTGTGTGCATGGGAGTGTGTGTGCATGGGAGTGTGTGCGCATGGGAGTGTGTGTGGATTCTATTCTTTACTGAGAACATGTAGGAAAGTCATTTTTTCAAAAAGCAAACACTAGTCCTGTGGGCTTTGAAGCAGCATGGGGTCATTTAAAGGCCACTCAATGCCTATCAGAGGCTCCTCCATCCTGACCTGAGATTCTGCCAACATGGTATCCAAAGGTGACTACTCGGGGACTCCCAGAGCTGTCCCAGCAAGCCGATCCCCCGGGGGGAGAAGGGACACCTCAATGCTGTAGTCAATCAATATGCGAATTAATATCCTCCCTCTTCATGCCTTATCAGAAAAACAGGCTTTCTAGAGGACATTATGTTTTTACAAACAGTGAATAAAAAGCCTTTTAAATAACCCGAGTTCAGGTTTTCAGGGGCGGGCAGTCTGCTCCCTTTAGGCACATTTAGTAACATCTACTGGGGTGCCTCAGTTTTTGCAATAGTCTGGTGCTGCCGGCACCTGAGAGGCCCCAGCGAGACCAGGCTTCCTGCAGTACAAGCACAGGGTCTGCAGATGACCTGTCCTGCCGAAAACGCCCGTTGTGCTCCTGATGAAAAACACTGATGTTTTCATTTAAAAAGAGCAAGAAAAAACAAAATCCTGTTTTCTGTTTTTTAAAAAATTACACCAAAGTTTTCCCATCAGGCAAGGTCCCCAAGCCTCCCAGGCGGATCTAGGGACTTTAATTCCCCATTATCCTCCCTCGTGGGGGCTTCCTCTTCCTGCTGCAAGGCTTGGTGACGGCGCCACCATCCTCCCACTGCCTGAGAGACACACCCAGGAACAAAACCTCGGAAGTCCCTCGGCCAGATCTACCCATGACCTGGCCTCAGTTACTCAACCCAGCCAGCCCTGAGTTAATCCTGGAAAAACCAACGAAACTTGCTTTCTTCCCACTCCACCCGCCCGGCTGTCTTCTCGGCTGCTGTGTCTTTGTTTGAGATGGGGCAAGGGGAGGCAGCCGCCCAAGGAGGGCTGGTCTCAGAGAGAGGCGGCAAACGCTGGCACCCGCTTGGCAAGTGCCAGGGATAAGGAGGAAGAATGAAGAGAGAAGAGGCAAAGACAAATATTCTTTTGTAAAGAAGACGAACTGCTGACTTCAGCCAACATAAAGCGTGTATCTATAAAGCACGGCTTTGGAAGCCAAGGGCGTCCAGAGGACAGGAGGAGAGAGCTCTTTATCTCCTGTCTGCCTGGTCTGTCTCGTCATGAGTCAGGAGGGAGCATTCTGGGGTGACGAGCATTTGCTTTGTGGTTGTACCTGTGGAAAACCCATCCCTTGACTTTTCTAAAGCCAAAATTCAAATACGCCTTACCAGGATCCCCATGAATCTGCTGGTATACATCAGAGCAACTATCATCAGTCCTCTGCTCAGGAGAAACTAATCACTGTACCTATGCAGAACACCAGAACAGGCTCACAGTTTCCCAAGGCTGATAAGGAGGGAATATGGACTCAGCCGCCCATTCTGCTGGTCAGCAGCTATTTGCTGAGCCCGTTCTGTGTGCTGGCTACTCGGTTAGATGTTGGGAACATGATGAGGAATAAATAGCAAAGGATAAGTAAACAGACAATTATAACACAGTGTGTGATGGGCAGATAATGCCTCCAAAGAGATCAACACCCTAATACCTGAGCCTGTGATTGTATTACAGTTCATGGTAAAAGGACTTTGCCCATGTGATTAAGATAAAGGTCTTGAGATGGATATCTGGGTTATCCGGGGAGGGCAAATGAATGAAAGAAACAGATGTGACAGTGGATCAAGGGGCTGGGGTGATGTGAGGAAGGCTCTTGAGCCAAGGCATGTGGGGAGCTTCTAGAAGCTGGAAAAAGCAAGGAAGTGTATTCTCCCCTAGAGCCTCTGGAAGGAACGCAACCCTGCTATCTTCTTGATTTCAGATTTTGGATCTCTAGAACTGTCAGAGTATAAATTTGTTGTTTAACGCTGTACCTTTGTGGTGATTTGTTACACAGCAATAAGAAACTCATACAGTGCATAAAATATTACATGGAACCTACTGCTAACACCATGCCTAAAGGTGAAGATCTGAACACATCGCCTTAAGACCAGGAAAAAGGCAATGACGGCCTTCCTTACCGTGTTATTTAAGGTAGCACTGGGAGTCATAGCGAAGTCAATTCGGCAAGAAAAAAAGACATACACATGAAAAAGAAAGAAAGAAATCAATCTCTATTTACAAATAAAATAATTCTAGAAGTAGAAAATCCCAAGAAATCTACAAAAAACTTCTGAGAGCAAGGTCATAGACATAAGATCAACATATAAAAACAAATTACGTTTGTATATGTGGAAATAAAAGTTAAAAACATAGTATGATTTACAATGGCTCCAAAGGAAATGTATACTTAGGCAAAATCTAACAAAACATCTATAGTATTTATATGCAGAAATTATGAAATGTTGATGAAAGAATGTCAAAGAAGACCTAAATAAATGGAAAGACTTACCATATTCATGGGCCCAAAGAGTCAATATAGTAAAGATGTTGGTTTCCAATGTGATCTAGCAAAATTTCAGCAAGGTTTTTTTTATAAGCATGAACAAGCTTATGGTAAAATTTGTAGGAAATGACAAAGAACTTAGAATAGCTGAAACAATTTTTTTTTAAAAAAGAAATTAAATAGCAGGAATCTACCTGATGTTGAAGCTTATTATATAGGCATGGCAATCAAAATCTTGTGTTAGTAAGAAGGGTTAGATCAACGTAATGAAATAAAGAGCCCAAAAATGTACCCATACCAACATGGCCAGCTGATTTTTTTTTTTTTTTTTTTTGAGACAGAGTCTTGCTCTGTCACCCAGGCTGGAGTGCAATGGCTTGATCTCGGCTCACTGCTACCTCTGTCTCTCAGGTTCAAGCAAATCTCGTGCCTCAGCCTGCCAAGAATCTGGGATTACAGGCATGTGCCACCACACCTGGCTAATTTTTGAATTTTTAGTACAGACGGGGTTTTATCATGTTGGTCAGGCTGGTCTCAAACTCCTGAGCTCAAGCAATCCACTTGCCTTGGCCTCCCAAAGTTCTGGTATTACAGGCATGAGCCACCGCACTTGGCCACCAGTTGATTTTTGACAAAGTTGCAAAAGCAATTCAATGGGTGGATGATGGCCTTTTGAACAGTGGTGCTGGAACAAGTGGACAGCTATAGGGAAAACAGTGACCCTCAACGCAAACCTTATGCCTCATACAAAAGAAAACTGAAAGTGGATCACAGATGTAAATGCTAAGTGTAAAACTATAAAACTTTTAGAATAAAATATAAGATAAAATTTATAGAACCTAAGGCTAGGCTGAGTTTTTACACTAGAAACCAAAAGCACAATTCATAAAAAGACAAATTGATAAATTGGCTTTATCAAAATTAAAAAGTTTTGTTCTGGAAAAGGCCCTGTGAAGAGGATGAAAAGACAAGCTACAGACTGGGAGGAAATCCTGGCAAACCTCATATCCAACAAACACTTTTTATCTAGAATATATAAAGAGGGCTAAAAATTCAATAGTAAATAAAAACAAACCAAAAAAATCCAATTAAAAAATGGGTAAAACATTTCACTAAAGAACGAACATTTCACTAAAGAAGATAGAAATGGAAAGTAAGCACATGAAAAGATATTCAACATCATTAAATATTAAGAAAGAGCAAATTAAAACTATAATGAAGGCTGAGCACAGTGGCTCATGCCTGTAATCCCAGCAGTTTGGGAGGCCAAGGTGGGAGAATCACTTTAGTCCAGGAGTTCAAGACCAGCCTGGGCAACATACTGAGAACTTGTCTTTAAAAAAGTAAATGAAAAGAAAATTAGCCCAGCATAATGGCATGTATCTATAGTCCCAGCTACTCAGGAGACTGTGTTGGCAGGATCACTTGAGCTCGGGCGGTGGAGGCTATCGCGTGCTGAGATTGTACCCCTGCACTCCAGCCTAGGAGACAGAGCAAGACCTTGTCTCAAAAACCAAAACCAAAACCCAGAAAACCAAAAACCGTAATGAGACATCACTACAAACCTATCAGAATCCCCACAGTTTTAAATGTTGGTGGGAATGTGGCGAAATTGGATTACTCTTCATTGCTGGTGGAAGCGTAGAATGGTACAGCCACTCAGAAAATAGTTTGGCAGTTTGATTTTTTTTTTAAAGAAACAAACATTCACTTAACTTGCTTTAAAGAGATAAGCTTTCTCCCCTAATTGACTAGCCTGCCTCGCATATTGGAAGGTTCTGAGCACCCCATGCTGAATGTGGAGGCAATGCTGAAACTGCAGTTCTCCTCCTCAGGAACCACGACCCTGTTGGGGAGAGAGACATGGCACTGGGTATTGTTTCTGCACCAGGCCCAGTGCTGTGCACCCCACTTTCACTGCCTCGTGAAATCCTCAAAATAACGTCATGTGGCCGTGACTTTTTCCCCCACCTCACATCTAAGGAAACTGAAGCTTGGAGGGGTGAATCCTCGAAGCAGAATACTGGGAACCAGGCCTGCCTGATGCTGAAGTCCATGGAAACAGGCCTGTTGGCAAAATGAAATATGCAGAAGAGGCTCTGCAGAGCAAAAGTGAAAGGAGCATAGGGGCACTAAGAATGAATCATTGACTCTGGGGTGTTTGGGGAGGACTTTCCAGCAGGGTTTTGAAGAGTGCATAGGAATACCACAGATGAACAAGAACAAAGAGCTTTCAAGGTATAGTTAGATGTTTGCCTGAAATCTCAGTTCTCTGATGAGAAGTCATTAATTTACAGTTTCCTCACTTTTTCCTTCCTGTAATGGTGAGAGCGACACCTTTTCCAGCTCTCGACCTCCCAGAGCCGCACCTGCCGGGGGGATGTGGGGTAAAACTGACACAGCTTGCTCATTAGCTGGGGTGGAGGGCTGAGAGGCAGGGAAGAGTCAAGGGCACAACCTCTGGTTTCATTAACTGGCCAGTTAGTCACACACACACGTGCATATGTCCACATGCTCACACGCACATGCCACATGTATGCAGGACAGGGATGGAGGAATATGAGCTGAGATTTGATCATGTTGTCAGGAGCTTGTGAGGCATTAGCCAGCGTGTGCAGCTGAATGCAGAGGTTTGGCTCCTGTGAACGGGACAGACCTGAGAATCCATAGCACACAAGAGACTGTTAAACCACAGGAGGTGATGACGTCATGTAAAACGCTGATGGAGTAAGAATAGACGCCGCTGAAAAAAGGGAGCATTCATCAGGGGCAGAGGAATCGGCACCTGCGGCGGGAGGAGAAGGGAGAACTGAGAAGGAAAGCAGGAGCACCCGTGTGGGCAGGGAGGAGCAGCTAAGGAGGAGGACAGCGGATGACCAGGACTGCAGCAGGGGAAGAAGGAGCCTGGAGCATAGTGAGCGGCCTGAATGGAAAGAAAAGGAACGCAATCAATGCTTTTTCAGGGAAGATGCCGTTCACTGAGGCTGGTTCGTGAATGCATTTGAGAACATGATCCTGTATAAATATATCTTCCTGTACAGGAATCTTATTAACTTAAGTTGGGCAGGTGCTCTTAACTTATACACTGATACCTTGGGGGAAAATATCCATTTTTTCATCCAAAAACTATGTGCCAGGTGCCTCCTATGTGGCAGGCCCTGTTCTAGGCCCTTAGAACGCACCAGCGAACAAAGCGAACATCCCCACCTCACAGAGCTGCACCTGAGCAGCAAGACAGCACCGAACCTCAGGAGGCGGGATGTGCACATCCGTAAGCGGACTCGCACCAAGGGGAAAAGTCAGCAGGTCAGGGAGGATCAGAAGGTGTTTGGGGGATGTTGCCATTTTCAATAGAGTGATTAGAATGGACCACACTGAGAAGGGAATGTCTCCACCACACTTGAGATAGGCGAGTGAATTTGTTTCCTATGGCCGCTGTAACCAAGCAGCACAAGCTAAGTGGCTTCAAACGACAGAAATTGTTCTTTCACAGCCCTGGAGGCCAGAAATCCCATCTCAAGGTGCCTCCTCTAGCTTCTGACGCCCCAGTGCTCCCTGGCTCACAGCTGCTTCTCCAGCCTCCGACCTGTCTCCATGCAGCATCTTCCCTGTGTGTCTCTGTCTTCTCCTCTTCTGAGGGACACCGATCCTCTTGGGTTAGGTCCTACCCTAATGGCCTCATCTCAATTTGATGACATCTGCAAAGACTCTATTTCTAAATAAGCTCTCATTCACAGGCAGGGGAGCCAGGACTTTAACCCATCTTTACTGAGACACAATTCAATCCACAACAGTGAGGAGATCAGACTTCCAGATCACTGAGGGACAAGCAGCCCAGAGAGCTGGAGCCCCCGGCATGCCCATGGCCAGCGAGGAGTCCACTGTGGCTGGAGGAGAGGCAGGAGAGGAGGAGCTGTTAGGAAATGAGGAGGTCTGAAAACAAGGAGGAGGAGCAGTGGCACACATTTAGGCTTTGCTGATGGTTGGACTTGGTGGATATCACAGATGGAGCTCCCTTTTTCAGAGCTTGACGTCAACTCTGAAGCCGGGTGAGGAGTGAAGATACAGGCGCAGTGCCCCTCATGCCTCCCACACCTGCTGCTGAGCATCCTGACAGATTCCGCTTGTTTCTGATCCTGTTTGCATCTTCTCGGCAATGATTCCACTCCTTATTAAAGAGGCAGGGAACATCTGATGTTCAAGTTTTGAATTACATGAAAAGTTCCATCGAGGTAGTTTTGATAAATAGTTTTTTTTTTCTTTTTTTGGTCGGGGGGATGGAGTCTCACTCTTGTCACCCAGGCTGGAGTGCAGTGGCGTGATCTGGGCTCACTGCAAACTCCACCTCCTGGGTTCAAGCAATTCTCCTGCCTCGGCATCCTGAGTAGCTGGAATTACAGGTGCCCACCACCACGCCTAGCTAATTTTTATAGTTTTGGTAGAGATGAGGTTTCACCATGTTGGCCAGGCTGGTCTTGAACTCCTGACCTCAAGGGATCCACCCGCCTCAGCTTCCCAAAGTGCTGGGATTACAGACATGAGCCACCGTGCCCGGCCAATAGTTTTGTTTTAAGTACAGACATGATGAAAGCCAATGAGATGCCATGTAGTGTTTTACAATCCTTAACACAGAAATGGCTTATTGTCTCAAATGCAGTCTTAGAGTTTATAGGAGAAAAGAATACAAATCCATGTTAATATCTAAATTTCCATGCCATTTTCCCACCCCCGTTATTAGACGATGTTATAACATCTTCCAGATCTGTTTTCACTTTTTCCTTTGGAAATAGTTGAGCTAATGGAGGAATTTATAAAGCAACCCACTCATATCCATGAATCAGTGTGAAATACTGCACCCTGGTGGAAATATCCCTCCTGTCCGGGGTCTGTGATGACATCCCACTCCTTCCTCAACCAGCATCCATGTCCTGTGTGCTCAGTTAGCAAAGAACTCGGGGTATAAAGAGTAGAAGAAAACGTGCCTGCCTCAGGTCTAATGGGCGGATGAGAACTAGAGCAGAGTGAGGGTCAAGTCACCTCTTGAGGATGACTAAAATGTTCAGGTTGAGCGAGGCAGGAAGCCCAGCGAAGAGGACAGTGTGGGCCCTAAGCAGGCACAAGGAGCTCGTCTACGGGGCACAGGAGAGGAAGCAGCAGAGGTCTTCTGTGCCTGGCTCCACTCCCATGCTGGATGGGAATGGGCGGATGAAAAGGAGCTGTGAAAAGAGGTTATAGGCATGAGGAGAGGACAGCTCGTGGGGCCTCCGTGGGGCTGCACACTCCTGTACTGGGGTTGGCAGGGGGTGGTTGTAAGAAAACAGGACTCTGTTTCTCATGCCAGTGCAAGACCACCCAACTTAGGACGGTGCTTCTCAGACTTCCGTGTACACAGTACTCACCTAGGGAGCTTGTGAAAATTCTGTGATTCGGGAGTCCTGGAGTGGGTTCTGGAGTCTGCATTTTCAATAAGCACCTGGTGCCAAGAGACCTGGTCCATAAAACACAGAGCAGGGCTGGGAGAGAGGTGGGAAGTTACACAGGCTAGCCTGTTAGCAGTGGCAAATTCATATGGGTCTGCAGGATTATGAGTGGGGCCTGAACTCTGCTAAGATGCAGGCGTAGTTTGATGATCACCAGCCATTGTTCTAGAGGTCACGAGATTTGTAACTTCCCCAATGACTTCTGTAAATAATACCATTTTTGTAGAACCTAAGGTTGGCCTTTTGAGATTACTTTTCAGACTTTTGCATTTCTGCCTACGAGCCAACTCCACTTGGACTCATGACTCATGACTCAACTGGTCCTGGGGCCTCATCCAGAGACAGATGCAGCTCAGGAGGACCATTTTCCACACCCCTGTGATGGCAGCCCCAACCAGCCGGCAGCCCCAACCAGCCAGCAGCACCCATTCCGTAGCCCCCTGCCCAACAAACTATCCTTGAAAATCCCTAGCCCCAAGCCTATGGGAAGATTGACATGAGTGATGGGAACTCCAGCTGTCCCACATGCCCAGCCTCATGTCAATCACACGCTTTCTTTTAATTTTTAATTTTTTTTTTCAGTCTCACTCTTTGACCTAGGCTGGAGTGCAGTGGTGCAATCTTGGCTCAACATAACCTCCGCCTCCCAGGCTCAAGATTTTCCTGTGTCAGCCTCCAAAGTAGCTGGGATTACAGGCATGCACCACTACTGCTCGGCTAATTTTTGTGTTTTTGCTAGAGACAGGATTTCACCACGTTGGCCAGGCTGGTCTCGAACTTCTGACCCTAGGTGACCCACCCACCTTGGCCTCCCAAAGTGCTGATATTACAGGTGTGAGCCACCACGCCCGGCCTCTTACTATTTTCTATAAAATTACATTTTATTTCATTGTGCTCAGTAATGGGGCTTATACAATTTCTGTGTTTTAAAAGTTACATGGTTTTTGTGGCCTATCATATAACTAATTAAATCGTTTATTTACATTTATACAATATGTATTTGTTTTCTTTGTATTATATACAGTATAATAGCTCTGAAATTAAACTTTTAACTTTTTATTGTTAGGGTCTGTATTTTATTATTCTAAAGTCAATGAACAGCTTAGAAAATAATTTTATTTATTTATTTTTGAGACAGAGTCTCTCTCTGTCATCCAGGCTGGAGTGCAGTGGCATGATCTAGCATGATCTTGGCTCACTGCAACCTCCGCCTCCCAGGTTCAAGTGATTCTCCCACTTCCACCTCCCGAGTAGCTGGGATTACAGGTGCACGCCACCGTGCCTGGCTAATTTTTGTATTTTTAGTAGAGACGGGGTTTCTCCCTGTTGGTCAGGCTGGTAGAACTCCTGACCTGAGGTGATCTGCCCACTTCGGTCTCCCAAAGTGCTGGGATTACAGGTGTGAGCCACCATGCCTGGCCAATTAAAAGCTGTCTTTACTGCAATGCTGTGGTCTCGGTGAATGGACTTTGTCTGTGCAGTGCACAGAAAGAACCCAACAGGCAATTAGACCGCATGATTCCTTCTCAGGCTAACTCCCAATCCTTGGCATCCCTTAGAGGATCTCCATAATTGGAATAAGTCTCTATACCATACTCAGCAACTACCTTCCAAGAAATCTAAATATGAGAGATATTTCCTTTCATAATTATATGCAGTAGAAGCAGTCATACACTTCATCCTCTGCTCATTGGCCAGAGCCAATAAACCTTGACATTTTGTTTCTGAAAGCCCTTAAAATTCACACTTTTTTTTTTACATTCAAAAATTTCTTAACACTTAACAGATGAATGCCCTGATATTGAGGACTAAACTGATTTTTTATCTTGCTCAAATTCCTATCTAAGGGGTCTGGGGAGTCGTGCCCTATGAATCATAAATTCTCATTAGATGGGTTTTATTTAACCCTATATATTGCAACTTACTTTCCAAACTGACTCTGGCATAATATTATGAGAAAAAGAAGAAAATCAAAGTATTTTACCCCAAAACATGTTTCTTTGCCATATTTTGAAATGGCCCTGCAAAGCTGTTCTTTGTGGGAGAAAATTTTCATCTGTAAAGAATCTCTTAACATAGCCAGATCTTTTTCTTCCAGATCCTCCTAATTCTAAAGAGATTAACTAAGATCTGAATAGGAAACATTTGTCATCTATTGTCTCTAAGGACAGCCACTATAAGACGTCAAAAGAACTTTGGTCTCCACAATCTTTATCTTAACCAGAACGTTGCCCTTCTATCAATCCCGAGTCTTTAGACAAACTCAACCAATTGTCAACCAGAAAATGCTTAAATTCACCTGTAGCCTGGAAGCCCCTGCTTTGACTTGTCCTGCATTTTTGGACCAAACCAATGTATTTCTTAAATGTATTTGATTGATGTCTCATACCTCTCTAAATTGCATAAAACCAAGCTACACCCAACCATCTTGGGCAAATATTCTCAGGACTTCCTGAGGGCTGTGTCATGGGCCATGGTCCCTCATATTTGGCTCAGAATAAATTTCTTCCAATATTTTACAGAGGTCAACTCTTCATTGACAACATACTCTGGAAGGCAGTACCTCCTTGACAAACTGAAAGCCAACTAGAAATGAAGGCAACCCCCAGGAGGAAAGGGACCCCAGTCTGTGCACTCCCTGGCTCTCCCTCCTGGTGTCCTCCTTCCCCAAAACCTTCCGGGTTCATTCCTGGCTAGGCAGGCAGGTGCGGGCTTGTCAGTGGGTACATCCTGGGGCTAGATCTGCTTGGGCTTAGATGTGACTCCATTGCTTTAAGCTGGGTGGCTTGGAGAAGAGTACTGAACTCCTCTGAACCTCACTGTTCTCATTTGGAAAATGGGAATAATAATATTTCATACTGAAAGAAAGGAACTCACCTGGAGTTATAGGAAGGAAGTTGCATCCTTGAGTCGAGACTGACTTCTAAGGCTTTAAGTATCCTTTAGTTGACAGCCACAGCCACGCTGAGCTCTCGGTGATAAATGAAGCTGGAGTGCCACACTGAGCTTATGTGTCTTTAAGATTTCCTCGATGGAACGAAGAAAAGATCAAAATGGGGCCTGCGTTGAGGAATTCAAGTATCTCCATACAGCAATGATATGTTTTGAGAAGTTTTCAAAATTGGAACTCAAAGGACAAGGCAATCATTTCAGGTGGATTTGCCCCACAAGAGAATTTATTGAGACAAAAGTATATCAGTTTGAACTTCCCAGGAAGTATGTTTTGAGTAAACAGAGTAGACTAAAGCATCCACTTCCAAAATTATCTACTTGAATGTTACAAGGAATGATAAACTGCCATTGACTCAATGCTTCATTGAAATTTGTTCTTGCTAGTGTCAGAGGCATTTGAACCAGAGTGACTCCATCTTGAAAAGGGGCTGGTTGAAATGGGGCTAAGACCTGCTGGGCTGCATTCCAAGGAGGTCAGGCATTCTTAGTCACAGGATGAGATAGGAGGTCAGCTCAAGATACAGGTCACAAAGACCCTGCTGAGAAAACAGAATGCGATAGAGAAGTTGGCCCCAAACCAACCAAAACCAAGACAACAATGAAAGTAACCTCTAGTCATCCACACTGCTTCTTACGTGCTAATTATAAAGCATTAGCATGCTGAAAATGCCGTCACTCCCACCAGCACCATCAAAGTTTACAGATATCATCGCAATGTCCAGAATTACCCAATGTGGTCTGAAAAGGGGAGGAACCCTCAGTTCAGGGAAATCCCTGTCCCTTTCCTGGAGAACTCATGAAAAATCCAACCCTTGGCTGGGCTCAGTGGCTCACGCCGATAATCCCAGCACTTTGGGAGGCTGAGGTGGGAGGATCACCTGAGGTCAGGAGTTCAAGACCAGCCTGGCCAACATGGTGAAACCCCATCTCTGCTAAAAATACAAAAATTAGCTAGGTGTGGTGGCAGACATCTGCAGTCTCAGCTACTCAGGAGGCTGAGGCAGGAGAATTGCTTGAACCCAGGAGGCAGAGGTTGCAGCGACCCAAGACTACACCATTGAACTCCAGCCTGGGTGACAAGAATGAGACTCCGTCTCAAAAAAAGAAAAGAAAAGAAAAGAAAAATCCACCCCTTGTTGAGCACAAAATCAAGACGTAACTATAAGTATACTCAGCGGAGCAGCCCATTCCACCGCTCTGTCTGTGGAGCAGCCATCGGTTATTCCACTGCTCTGCCCGTGGAGCAGCCATCATTTGTTCCACTGCTCTGCCTGTGGAGCAGCCATCATTTATTCCTTTACTTTATTAATAAACTTGCCTTCACTTTACTCTATGAACTCACCCCAAATTCTTTCTTGTGTGGTCCAAGAATCCTCTCTTGGCATGTGAATTGGGATCCCTTTCTAGTAACACCAGCTCATTAGGTTAAGTTTCTAATTTAATAGATTTACTTTTTGGGCACTTGATTTATAAGGAATACACACAGTTCACAAATAACTATTTTTACAGGACTTGGACCATGCCCTATTATTTTAAATCCTCCTGAAGATTTATGATTTTTGTAACTTTTTCTATTGTCCTATTATTAGTCCTGGCTATGATTTTTTAATGGAAAAAGCATAGTCAGGTGAGCCAACTGCAATTGTAATCCTATTCCTATGGGAAACACATGCCCCTGAATGGTTTGCTTTATAACAAGGATTCACTAACAAGTTGCAGGGGAAGTGAAGCCGGCCTGTTGAAAACAAGGCCAGAGGGCTTCCCCTTTCCAATAGCTCTTTTTTTCATCTGAAGTCTGGAAACCAGGGTGGAGTATAATATGCAGAAAATATTCAAAGAGCCTCGCCCTTTCTTTCCTCTTAAGACAAGGAAAGCCCAGAGTCCTGGGAAAAAATAAAGAACTTGAAACTTGGAGAGCAGAAATAGAAACAGGAAGCCCAGAGCAGCAAACCGCCTTGCCCAGGTGGGAGAAGGGCCATGCACAGAGCTCTCAGAAGGCCCTGGTAAGGGTGGCCCTTGCCAATGGCTCCCCCATCTGCACACTGCACGGGGGCCTCCCCGACACACCACTATTGCTTTTCTGATGAGAGAGGAAGCAGCTCTTCTGCAGAGGGACGAAGCCTGCAGAGTGATCATTTCAGAGCCCCAGGGGAGTTTGGTGGATCTGCTCTTTCAGCATTCACAGGGGTGGGAGGCTTCTGGCAGAAACAGAGGCTTTGATCTATTATTTACGAAAAGCATCGGAAAAAAATCAGTCATTTGAAGGTGCCTGAAAAACAGCTTCTCTTAGGAGCTTCCTCCCTCCTGGAACTGGCTCAAGTGGGACACGTGGTCCGCCGGGAGGCCTCCGACCAGGGTCTTCCTCCTTTTGGGCTTGACATGGTGTGCACTAGGGCACCTGTGAGCTTGGCACCTCTGAGCTTGGCACCTAGGAACAATCGCAAGCAAACGTCTCTGATTCTCTGACACAGAGGGTGTTCTGTAAGCAGCTCCAGTCTGGTCTCAGGGTCACGATTAGAAATTCCTGCCTTAGCCTTTTGCTGTTTCCTTTTAGGGGTTAAGGCTGTCCTGGTGAAGCTGTGTTGGAAAAGAAGGCAGTAAAAGTTATTATAATTCAGTTTGTGGTGCAGCTTATATTCCTGCATTAAAAATGAATCATGGAAGACCCTTTGCCCTGAAGCGTGCCTCAGCTGCCAAACGTCACATTGCACAATGGCAAAGAGCATATATACATAGAGGCTTATAAAATCATACTTTGCTCTTAAAAGAAATTTTCTCTCTCACCAAAGAAAGTACTCAATATGGTTCAGAAAACAGGCTTCAAGTGTTCGAAGGTGGCCTCAGAAGGAGGCCTTATTAGAATCCTTTTCTAACTATGAGCCAGTCAGACCCTCCACTGTGACTCTCTCTATGGTAGCAACAAGCCACACCCTTCAGGCTGACTGAATAACTGATTCAGGCGTGTTAGGCACATTAACTCATGGACCAAAACACCGCCTCACCTGCTGAAACAGGGATTCATTTATCTCAATCTATGGCTCAACATCCATCCATCCATCCATACATACATACATATACACATACATACATACATACAGTTGTCCGTCTGTTCATCCATCTGTCCATGCATCTGTCCATGCATCTGTCTGTTCATCTATCTGTTCATCTATCTGTCCATATGTCCATCCATCCATGTGTTTATTCATCTGCCCATTTGTCTGTGCATCCAACCATCTGTCCACCTGTCCATCCATCCATCCATCCATCCATCCATCCATCCACTCATCTGGCCATCCATCTGTCCATCCATCTGTCCATCTGTCTGTTCATCCATCCATCTGTTTGTCTATCCATCCATCCACCCATCCATCCAACCATTGATTCTCTGTCTTGTTCCAATAAAAAACAAGTCTGGCTAGTAATATTACCAGCATTACTCAGAGACTTGGTGATTAATAAAAGAGGATGGAATAGAGGATAAAATAAGAAGCAAACAAACAAAAAAAGGAAGGGCTGGGCATGGTGGCTCATGCCTGTGATCCCAGAACTTTGGGATGCTGTGTCAGGAGGATCGCTTGAGCCTAGGGGTCTGAGACCAGCCTGGGCAACAAAGTGAGACCCCGTCTCTTAAAACAAAAAGAAAAAAAAAAGAAAAGAAAAGAAAAAAAAAGAAAAGAAATTAGCTAGTGTGGTGGTGCACACTTGTGGTCCCAACTACTTGGGAGGCTGAGGTGGGAGGATCACTTGAGGCCACTTCGAGGCTGAAGTGAGCTATGATTGTACTTCTGCACTCCAGCCTGGGAGAAAGAGTGAGAGCCAATCTCTATTAAAAAAAATGGGAGAAGGAATACAGAGAAATGGAAAATGAAAGAGAAATGAACTTACTCTAGTTGGTTTTATTTGAAATATTCCATTATGTTGAATAGCACTGAAAACAGACAAGGAAAGATCACATTGTCTAAAAGATGATTCTTCATATTTGAAAATGAATCTAAACTAATGCTTCCCTACAATAATACAGCAAGTAACTATGTGAAGCTAAGGGGAACCAGCGCTAACACTGATCCATGAAGAAGGGCATACAGAACACCCCTACCCCAGCTAACGACGCTTCCCAACATGTATATGAGACACGTGCTGCTTTTGCTTACCTGGTATCTATCAGTTTCCCCATCTTTTCATTAAGTCATTCTGATTTTCTTCAGGGTAGGTTTGGAAAATTTGAGAGGGGAGGATAAACCTGGCCAATGAATATATTCTATTCCCCTGGTCACAGTGCTGGGCTCAGAAATGGTCACGTGACTCGAGTAGATTCCACCGGCGTTTGCCCTGGGACTGGTCCTGGAGTGGCCAGGAAACCATGGGCTACTTCTGCCGTGTTTGGAGCAGAGGATCCAAGAGGCCAGAGCTCCACAGCTGCTTAAATGACCGTAACCATCACAACTCGGACAAGGCATAGGCAAGCCACGGTGTCCCTCATCTCAGAGCTTCTGACAGAGAGAGAACTGCTCAAGAAGACAGCAAAGCACACTCCAGAGATGCGTGCGAATAAAACCCAGTCCCGAAGACATCAGCAGAGCTGTCGGATCCCAATCTATCCAGACTTCAGTTATGGGAATAATAAGTTCCACTCTTGGCCAGGCACAGTGGCTCACACCTATGATCCTGGAGGCTGAGGTGGGAGGAACCCTTGAGTTCAGACGTTCAAGACCAACCTGGGCAACATAGTGAGATCCCGTCTCTACAAAAAGTAAACAGAATTAGCCAGACCTGTTGGTGCACACCTGTAGCCCCAGCTCTGAAGGCTAAGGTGGGAGGATCGCTGGGACCTGGGATGTTGAGACTGCAGTGAGCCGTGATCGCACCACTGGACGCCAGCCTGGGTGACAGAGTGAGACTCTGTAAAAAAAAAAAAAAAAAAAAAAAAGAGGATGAAAGAGAAGAAAATACGAAATTCTACTCTTTGCTAAAGTCAGTTTAAGCTGGGAGTCAGCTTCCAGAAAAACGTAGTCCTGGTAGGTGCAGACATCAAAGGGCCTCGTCCCCTTCAGTGGCTGTGTTCTCCCCTTCACCCCTAGTCGGGGCAGGAAAGAAGAAGATGGCTTCAGCCACCTGCCCTGCCACATTAACCTTCAGGGATTACATCCGGAACTGCCAGATGTCTCCAGAGAAGAGGCTGCCAATGGCCCCACCACTGGTGAGGCGTCTGCTCACCTGAGGGACGTGACCACATCACTCCGGCAAGGGTTTTTTGCCACCCAGGGGTGTGCGTTGAGCATTTTGGCGTCTAAGTGACACTTGATATTTTATAGCTAAGTGTAGTTCCATCTGCTTAAGGTAAAAATGCCAGAGATTAAAAAAAATCACACATATAGGTAAATGTGATTTTTGGCCACTGTTACGTTAATGTAACTTTTGGAAGTCATGAACTACTTGACAACCTGGAAGCTCCACAGCTATGGAAATAATTCTTCGAGTGTTCTCTGAAGGCAATGAGCAAGGGTAAGAATAAGCAGCCCCAGCCCCCAAAAGCAATGGAAGTATTTGTTTTACTTTTGAAGGCAGGATATCATGGATTATATATGCCTTATCTTAGTTATGGTGGTTTAAACAGCAATAAAGTATAAATTTTAATACATAGTAAAAATGCCATTTTTCACTTTCCTATTATTCCACAATCTCTGAAAAATGTCTTCCTGGAATCTCCTGGAACTTTTGGAACATAATACCAACATTTTCAGAGCATTTTTCAATGTGCCAGGTATTATGTCAGCTACTTAGGATTCAAATAAAAATCTCGCTACTCTGTCGACCTTCAGTGCATAACAGCTTAGCAGAAGAGAGGAGGAAGAAATGGACAGCAAAAGCATAGCTGCGGAGTGAAGTGATGAAAGTCAGAATGCAGGCACAAACCGAGGGGTACAGGAGCAGGGAGCGGGGCAGGCTCCTCAGACCCCTGAGCAAATCCGCGGGAGTCACAGGGGCACAGGCAGGCTTCCAGGAAAACGGTCGCCATGAAGTGTTGACAGTTGTCAGGGTGAAGGAAATTTGATCCTGAGGATGCTGGCCCTGGTTTTAGCATTTCAATACTGCTGGGTGTCTTGCCAGTGTGATACCCCCTGCACGTGATACCACCTGCAGTGGCAGGTTTCAGCCAGGCCTTTGGTGCTTAAGTGACCCTCGGTATTTGGTAGCCAGGGCAGTGAGCTGGCCTTCATTCTGACTGGCCACTGCCCATGTGGGACTAGGTGCTAAATACATAGGATATCACCCCGAATCCTGAACTACTGATTGTTTCGTGAAGTAATACCATGATGTTAAACACTGCTTTAAAATGTTTAAATCAAACCAAGAAAAATATTTTTAGAAAGCAAGCTTCTATACCTTCAAAATCTTCAAGAGGAGGAAGACGAGGATAATGGACAAAGCAAAGCTTCTGTTATAGGAATAATTATTTCATGGTTCCAGATACTTTTGGAACAGTAGAAAGTCAGCATGACCACCATCCTACATTAGAATCTCTATCTATACATGGTGAAGCCCCATCTCTACTAAAAATACAAAATTAGCCAGGCAGGGTGGGGGGCACCTGTAATGCCAGCTACTTGGGAGGCTGAGGCAGGAGAATTGCTTGAACCTGGGAGGCAGAGGCCGCAGTGAGCTGAGACGGCGCCACTGCACTCCAGCCTGGGTGACAGAGCAAGACTCTGTCTCAAAAAAGAAAAAAAAAAAGATGAAGATAAATAAATGCCTGATTTGAGAATATTGGAAGAGCTTTCTCTGCACATGTGAAAACTTGACCGAACATATGCTTCTGTTACAAAAATATCATTGTAGATGCACTGTGATTTTTAAGATCACACTGTTAAGAAATACATAACAATATTTCATTTTCATTTGTCATTAATAATTTATTGTCCTTTTTTGTGTAGCATTTAGCACATTTAAGAAATATCTATTCATAGGTAGTTATAAAGAATACATACTTCATATTTCTACTTTTACAAATGTACATTTTTTATTTCTATCCTGTTTATAAATTTTGCATTTGAAAGGTTTAGGATTTTTTTTAAAGAATGCATGGATTCTGAACACTGATTTCGAAATGCCAGTATGAACAGTGGATTGGAGCCTTCTATGAAGGAAATACTTGCACTCTGAGTTCTGTGCTCTCCCTGGCAGGGCAGTGCCTCCTGGTGCCGAGAGAAGCCCTGGGCCCTGCCTCTGGGCAGGGTTCTCCTCCCAGGCTGTGGGGCTGAGGTGGAACCAACTTCAGCAGACATGGGTTCTGAAGTCGGCTGCAGGCTGAGGTCACCTGCAATCTGGACCTTCCACAATTGCCTCCTGAGGGCACTGGCTGCTGTGTAGGTGCATCCCTCCCTGCATGCTTGTGATGCTGGCACAGAGGCCCAGGTAGAAACAGCCAGGCCCAGAGGGTGGTGGTGCCCATGCCCAGAGGGGTGGCCTTTTCCATGCAATGAGCTGTTGCCCCTGCCTTCCTGGTTCAGCCATCTCCCTGGTAAGGGCCTTTCCTTCCCTCCTGGGCCATCCTCACAGCCTCGGGTCTGTGGAGCAAGGGCTCTGCCCTTCCAGAGCTGTGGCTGAGGCTGTGTCTCCTCAACCTCACTCTGCAGGGATAGCCAAAGCACTGTGAAGGGAAAATTGTCATGAAACGGCCCAGCCTCACCATAGAACCATTGAACTATCTGCATTTCAAGAAGAAAGTTCCCAGGAGAAAGCCTTCTGCAATAGAGGAGTGGCTGGAGGCATCTCAGGGCACCAGGAATGCAGTGAGGTGGCTCCTTCTGATGGGGCCTGCATTGCTGATGCCGTAAGTCACCTGCAGACGACAGCCCTGGCACGGGGCTGCTCATGGGTCAAACCCTCATGGGATGGGGAGGGAATACACTAACGCCACCTCTCTCCTTTAACGTTTTTGTCAGACAATCAAAATAACCTCCCAGAAAAAAAACCGCAAAGTCCTCCCATTTTACTGATCTCATACATAGAGTCAGCAACGCAGGAAATAAATCTATCAGAATCCATTAAATGCCTTTCCCGCACTTCTAAATATCATTGATGAGAAAAGACACATTGATTCAGCCGTGCTTCTCAGCAGGTGGAAGGCCCAGTGCAGAGACAGCAGCCGCCAGAACTGGGGTCACTGGTGAAGGCGGAGACCTGACTTGCCCGAAGCCCGGGACCCTTCTTGAAAGACTGACACCATCAGGACTGGCCCATTCCAAAAGAGGCAGAAACACCCACAGCTGTGTAGGGTATAGGGCTGGACACCGAGTGGTCCCACAACTCCACTCCTGCCCAGGATACAGGAGACAGAAGTGGCTGTGTTCAGATCCCAGGAACTATCACCTTCCTGCTTTCATTGACAGCTTCCTTTCCTAGCAGAACCAAAAATAGCTGTCAATCAACCCTCAACTTAGTGAAAATAAAAGGACAGCAATTCTCCTAAGCAGTGCTGGGTGCATAACGGGACACACAACAAGAGTGGGATGCTTGTGTCTGAGTCCAGCTCTACCGTGGCCCAGCTGCCACCTGGGACAGGTCCTTAACTCACCCATTCAGCCTCTCCCTCATCATCCTCCCTCCCCTCTGCCCCACCTGTCGCCTTCCCCACCATCACCCTCTTTCCCAAACCAGACCCAGTTTCTAAGAAGAGCTCTAACAGCTAGTTCTTCCCCCTCAGTCACTGCTGGGCTCTCTTCTGCTGTGGAAATTTCCAGTAATGGGGAAAAGGGGAGAAAGAATACAAAAATAGCAAAGAAAGGAATGCAGTCCACATAACAAAGAGCCAGTGGGTGAAGCAAGAGAAAGAAGACCATTTTATTGATGATAAATCCAAATTCCTTGCAGGCCCAGGGTCCCTACCTGCCACAAAGCCACCTGCCACACCTCCCCCTTGGATTTGCAAGGAATTTGGACTTATTTTCAATGCACCGGGAGCCACTTCATTCTGACTGATTGTGTGAGGGACTCACTTAACACAGTCTGGTTCAGTCAGATTCTGCAGTGCTTTGGGTAACTGTCCCTGCCAAATCTCATGCTGAACTGTCATCTCTCCAACATTGGAGGGGGGCCTGGTGGGAGGTGTTTGGGTCATGGGGGCAAATTCCTCATAGTTTGGTGCTGTCCTCCTAGTAGTTAATGAGTTGTCAGGAAACCTGATAGTTTAAAGTGTATGACATCTCCCCCACTGATATGGTTTGCCTATTTCCTCACCCAAATCTCATCTTGAATTCCCACCAGTTGTGAGAGAGACCCAGGGGGAGGTAATTGAATCACTGGGCAGGTCTTTTCTGTGCTGTTCTCATGATAGTGAGTAAGTCTCATGAGACCTGATGGGTTTATAAAGGGGAGTTTGCCTGCATAAGCTCTCTTGTCTGCCACCAGGTAAGATGTGCCTTTCACTTTCCGCCATGATTGTGAGGCCTCCCAGCCATGTGGAACCGTAAGTTCATTAAACCTCTTTCTTGTGTAAATTGTGCAGTCTTGGGTATGTCTTTATCAGCTGTGTGAAAATGGACCAATACACCCACCCTTGCTCCTGCTCTTATGCTACCCCTGCTCCTGCTTCACCTTCCGCCATGAACAAAAGCTCCCCCAGGCTTCCCCAGAAGCTGAGAAGGTACCAGCACTGTGCTTCCCTCACAGCCTGTGGAGCTGTGGGCCACTAAACCTCTTTTCTATATAAATTACCCAGTCTCAGGTACTGGTCTGCAGCCTGTTAGGGACCAGGCTGCACAGCAGGAGGTGAGCAGCTGGTGAGCCAGTGAAGCTTCATCTGCATGTACAGTCACTCCCCATCACTGGCATCACTGCCTGAGCTCAGTCTCCTGTTTGATCGGCAGCAGCATTAGATTCTCATAGCAGCACAAACCCTACTGTGAACAGTGCCTGCGAGGGATGTAGGTTGCGCGCTCCTTATGAGACTCTAATACCTGATGATCTGTCACTGTCCCCATCACCCCCAGACAGGACCCTCTAGTTGCCAGGAAACAAGCTCAGGCCTCCCACTGATTTGACATTATGGTGAGTTGTATAATTATTTCATTATATATTACAGTGTCATAATAGAAATAAAGTACACAACAAATGTAATGCGTTTGAATCAAACTGAAACCACCTTCCGACTCCCACTGTTCATGGAAAAATTTTCTTCCGTGAAACTGGTCCCTAGCGCCAAAAAGATTGGGGACTACTGTTCTAGGGAATTTGAATTGGGATGGAGAGGCTGTGGCTGGGGTGCGGTGGCCAAGCGGGCTCCAAGTGTGTTTTAAGGAATTTGATGGGGATGGAGAGGTCATGGCTGGGGTGCGGTGGCCAAGTGGGCTCCTAACATCCTCTAGCACGTCTAGGTTGTAGGAATCCCAGAGCACTGTGGGCAGAGCCGGGGAGGAAGGCCCCACAGTGAGTAACAGAAACAGGGGCGCTATGACCGGGGAGGGGCTGGAGTGATGAGGGATGTGGATGTCGGATGGCTTTCCTGTTCCTGCTTCCACCTCTGCATGAAGCCCTCATGCTCCTTGACCTTGCCATCTGGGAGACATGGCTCCTTGCCCTGCACCGTCCTTGTGCCTCGGTAAACTGAACACGCTGACCTTAATAACAACTTCAGCCAAGATGTTCAAGTCTGGAGGACGGGACTGCTTGACACCACGATGAAAAATGGTGAGTCAAACTCTCAGCTGACCCAAGGATGCCGCTGGTCTGTCGGAGGTCATAGGATGGAGACTAGGGATGAGAAAGTCGTCTATGAGCAAGAATACACAGCCTCGCAGTGTCAGGAATCACACAGAACTAGGCGAACGCTCCAGGCCCATACAGGTTCAGGGACCACCATGCAGGAGGAGGGTGCCCCTGAGTTGGTGCAATGTGTGGTTCACCCTGGCTGGTGATGGCTCTGAGAAAGCCACTGCAGTGTGAACGGAAGCCAAGCACTTGTGCTGGAGAGCTCTAGATAGGAGCGTGCTGGCTGCCCCAGGAGGACAGGAGCAGGGAAATGGGACCACACAGGGTGGGGTGAGCACTCTCTCCCCGAGGGCCAGTGACCAGCTTTGGAGGCTGAGAATTTCACTCACCCTGCACTTGGCGGGCACAGGGCAGGCCCAGCTGAAGGGCAGGCCTCAGGCTTTCATAATCCCCCAGCCCACGGTTTTCCCATGGCCTCTCTCCCAAGGGCCCTCAGTCCTGCCTGGCTCTGATGTGCGTCCACAGCAGACCTGACTATTCAGGACCAGGACCAGGGCCAACCAAGCCAACACCCTGCAGCTCCAGGCTTCTGCACCCGCAAGGGCAGCCACAGTGGCCTGAAGTCTGCTCAGGCTTCTGTTTGGTTCTGGTCATCACTGGGGCCAGCCCACAGCTGTGAGCTGGCTGAGGTTTGCTGTGTCCCTGCAGAGGGAAAGGCGTTGCTCCCGTTGTCCCCTGGGAGGATGCTGTGCCTCATAGAGTCCCTGCCCTGGGTGATGCAGCATCCAGAGATTGCAGGGCTCAGGCCTTTCTGTGGGAAGCAGCTCAACCCCCTAAGTCAGAGGCTGCAGACAGCGCCATGGTGGAAGGCCTTGCCACCTTTGCCCACAGCAGCCCTGGAGGCCGAGATGGGCCATGATAGGAGGTCCTGACACCTTCACCCACAGCAGCCCTGGCTGGGCACCCTGCTCAGGGATGTTAAATAGACTCTTTTTCAATCTTGGAAGCCCAGGAAAGCTCAGAGTCTAGGGATGTCTGTGTCCAACCAGCCAGGTGGTGTCTTGCTCAGAAAAGTGGGACATTGCTAAAAACAGTACCCAGACGAAAATAAGGAGGGTGACATAAGGCCACGCTGCCGATTTAGGAGCAGGGCATCCACGGCACAGGGAGCTCTGCAGCTTTACCCTGGGGCTTTAGGACAACTTGCCACCTTCCAGGAGGAGGGATGACATCGCCCCCCTCCCATCTCTACTTCACACCATCTGCCCCACAAGCCTCGCCTCAGTCCTCCGCACGCCCTGCTCTGACTCAGGATCCTACAGCAGACACTGGCCATGTCTGGCAAATCCATGGGACATGAAGATTCTGTCCACGATTAACTGTGCACCTACCAGCAAACACCAACGATGGAGAGAATATCTGGTCATTCCCCATGGAATTGACTGTTTCATGGTGTCTTTACTTTGTGCTCCAGGGAAAAAGCAATTTCTTTACCTCCCGCGTCAACAGTGTCAGATCTGATTATTTGTTTGAGGACTGAGCCTGAATGCCTGCCCTTGGCTGCACAAGCTGTTGCAGATCCAGAGCAGAGCCTGTGCTGCAGCCCCTGCACAGCCCTGTAGAGCCTTCTCCCCACGTGCCGCCTCCGCACAGGGAGGAGCTGGCGCACATCCCACCTGCAAGGGCCTAGGAGAGCGCAGCTCGCAAGCTGAGAGGAGATGAGTGCTGTTGGCACTGAAGTCTAGGAAGGCGTTCCTGATGCCCCCAAAGCATTCCTTTCAGTTTCCCCTCGACTTTGACTGCCTGGTATCTTATTTTATGTAATACATACATTCTCAAAAGTTAAAAATAAATCTAGTTTTGATATAATAAAAAGGAGTATTATTTTAATGAATCAACAGGTGACCTCATGTCCAATCTTCAGGGTTTACCATTTCAAAATCTCATTGACAGTTTTTGTAAATTTATTGTCGACATTTACCAATTAGACACTTCCAATGCTACCCAAACTGCTTCCATGGAGTTCCAAATGCTCTCTTGTGCTTGGTAATTGATTGTTACTGGGAATTCTGATCACTGTCACCTCCCATTTCCTATCTAGGATCTGGAGAGAAGTGTCTCCACTTTGTGTTCACATGTTCCTGAGGGGCCCACATCCTTTCCTGGCCTGCCTCACCCCAGACTTCCTGGGCAAGCCCCCAGCTTCCTGCTGCACTGATGGGCTTCGGCCGGGCTGGTTTTCCCCATTCCGTGGAGTGGGGGAGGAGTGAGAGAGTCAGAGTCTCCCATGAGCAGACTCTCATTGGAAACTGATTGTGGTTAAATAATAGGAAACCTGTGGTAAGCAAGTAGAATCAATCTTCACACTGATCCTATCTTTGAAGTCAATCATACGCGTCTTTCAAATCAAGATAACTTTGATTCTAGAAAGATTTTTACTTTTATGTGATTTGATAACAGTATTTAGTTTTAAATTTAAAATAACATGAAAGGAAGGTGGGTGATTTTATGGTTATTACCATGGAGGCGAAGATTGAAAAAGGCCGTGGGCGGTGCTCTGATCAACTGCCTTTGAGAGAGGGGACATTCAAAGGGAAATATAAGTTGGAATGGTTTCTGAGTTTGCCATTGGGCCCCATTTTCCTCATCAACCCTGTACCCCCTGTGCTTAGGTGGCAGGCATTCAATAGAGTAGGAATGAATGAAGAATGAAGGAAAAAAGGCACCTCGGAGAACAGACCAGAAATCTCAGCAAGCTCCATACAGGGCCCAGGACACAGCAGAGCAGGTAGCTCTAGGAAGTCAGTGACAGGCTGGCTTTGGATTCTAAGACTTTATATATTTAATCCTATTTCAAGATGTTGAAGAGAAGGGGACATCATGGTCACACAGACTCGGTGACAGCTGAGAAATGTGTAGCAGTGTCTCGACATCATGGTCATACAGACTCAGTGAAGGCTGAGAAATGTGTCACTGTGTCTCGACGTCATGGTCACACGGACCCGGTGAAGGCTGAGAAACGCATAGCAGTGTCTCGACATCATGGTCACACGGACTACACGGACTCGGTTAAGGCTGAGAAATGTGTCCCAGCGTCTCGACGTCATGGTCACACGGACCCGGTGAAGGCTGAGAAATGTGTCACAGCATCTCGACATCATGGTCACATAGACTCGGTGAAGGCTGAGAAATGTGTCCCAGCGTCTCGACGTCACGGTCACACGGACCCGGTGAAGGCTGAAAAATGTGTCACAGTGTCTTGACGTCATGGTCACACAGACTCGGTGAAGGCTAAGAAATGTGTCCCAGCGTCTCGATGTCACGGTCACACGGACCCGGTGAAGGCTGAGAAATGTGTCCCAGCGTCTCGACGTCATGGTCACACGGACCCGGTGAAGGCTGAGAAATGTGTCGCAGCGTCTCAATGACATGGTCACACGGAGTCAGTGAAGGCTGAGAAATGTGTCGCAGTGTCTCGACGTCACGATCTCATGGAGTTGGTGAAGGCTGAGAAACATGTGGCAGCATCTCGACATCATGATCACAGAGACTCGGTGAAGGCTGAGAAATGTGTCGCAGTGTCTCTACGTGGTGCAGGAATGACAGAGTTTCGGATCAGAGGGGTGTGGGATCCACCACATTGCAGTTTATAGTCGTGCTTGTCAAATGCTTATTTCTACTTTAGCTGTTTAAAACATGAAACAAAATGATTTTGAATTTTTTGTGTGTGGTATTTTTCCTAAATAGATTGAATCTTAGATTTAGATTGTGATTACTGAGTAATGTGGAGAAGGAATTATGGGTGTTGTCTAAAATCTTGTGAGTCTAAGGCAAAGTGAAATAGAAAAGTGAATTATTACACATCAAACAAATAACATTTATTGATGACTTGGTTTGTAAGCACAAATCTAGGAAGTATATGTGGGAGGTATTTTAAAACCCGAGGTGGGAATAAATCCTTAGAGGAAAATGAGCACACGTAGAATGAGGGAGCACGGGGAGCATCAGAGCTTCACTCTGTGCTCCCGATCCAAGCACACGGGGAGGCGTGAAGACTCCAGGTGTTGGAAGGGTTTCTCTAAGGGAAATTAATCGAACCCATAGGGGAAGGCAAAGGTACTGTTTCGATAATGACTAGACTAACAAAATATGGTTACAGGAAATATTTAACGCCCAAAAATAAAACCTAAACTGGTTTCTGAGGCTGTTCTATTGTGCTGTGGCGTTCAGACCAGACCTGGAACTACTTTCAGGAGAGACCGTCAGGGGTTGTAGCACTTATAAGGGTGACCCAGGTAGTGGAAGACTGGAGACTAAACATAACCCAAACTAGAGTTATTCTATGATTTAATAATAATAATAAAATTATTAACTAGAACAGCTAACATTTATTGAATATCTACAAAGGGCCAGGCATTTTGTCATGCATTAATTCATTTTGTCTTCAGAATAGGTTATAAATTTGTATTTACAGTGATTGATTAATTAATTTTGGCTTGATAACATATACACATGGTAGAAAATTCAAAAGCTACAAAAGATGTAAAATGAAAAGTGAGCCTGCCGATGCCCTAATGTGAAGGCCCCCATCCCTTCTGGGAAAGTAACTATCAATAATGCTTTACTGCGTTTCCTTCCAGATGTATTTTATATACACTATATATTTATATAAACTATATATTTATATAAATAGGCTCGGCAGATTATTTTTTACTTTATGCTTATCGATAAATCTTTCATTTCCACATAACGGTACTTAATACACTACATCATTCATTTTAATAGTTGCATAGAATTCCATTCTTACAAATGGGCTGTAGTTTATTTAATCATCCCCCTTTCGAGGGACCCTTGGATTGTTGCCAGTCCTCTGCTGTTAACAAGCAACACCTCAGGGAATGATACCATGGTTTCACATGCCTGTGGCTGTCTGTCAGACTCAGCTTCCCAAAACGAGTCCCGCACCTCTCCTGCAAGTAGCTTTCTTTTGCAGCTTCATTCCCAAGTCAGGCAGATTTCCTCCAGGGACATCAACCAAAACCACACCTCACTAGGGCCGAGTGCAGAAGTGGAGCTGGGAATCTGGTTGTCTTCTCCCAGGCCAATTTGTAAAAATGTGAAACAATGCCCTGTTTTCACTAATATTTTTGGAAAATATAACCACTTTTAATGAAAATGTGTTTTATATTGTTATGCAATGGGATTATTATTATTTTATGATATAATACATCTCTTTTAAGTTCATCACTTATAATTTTTAATGTAAATGTCAGTCTATGTAACCCATGTAAACAAAAGTCTTTGGGGCCTCAGTAAGATTTGGAGTATAAAGTGGTGCCAAAACCAAAAAGCTTGAGAATTGCTTCTGTGATTTATAATTTTAGAAGTAGAATTGGTAGGTACAAGTTACGTGCTTTTGTATTTTGGTAGATATTGTCAAATTCCCCTTCCTGTAAACTCTATCAATTTATATTCCCACCAACAATGTATACGGACGCCTGTTTCCTCTAGGCCTGGTCAGCAGCTGTTGTTAAGCTTTTTTGATCGTTGCCTAATTGAGAGTTGAAAATACACCTTTACTGAGTTTAATTTTGTATTTTTCTTATTTTGTATCAGCTTGAGTATGCCTCTGTATGGTTGAGAGCCGATGACATTTTCTTTTTATTAAACAATCTGTTGATGTTCTTTGTGTATTTTCCACCAGGCGATGTGTGTTTCAATGGTCTTTAGGTGCTCAGTGTGAGCCTTCTGCTGTGTGTGCTGGGCACTGTCCTCTCTTACTGGGTCCATGTCTGGACGTCCTGTTCTATTCCAATTGTTTGTGACAACTGGGCAGGAAAGAATTGTCCAGCCATTTGAGTGATTGATTGAACTGGCTGCGTTGCTGAGACATAAACACGTTCTCAGAGGAGTATTTAACAAAGGATTGGGTATTGAAGCAAAGTTCTAGTTCTGTAAAGAAGGTGGAACTTGAGGCACTCTAAAGTTCTTTGAAATACCCTAATATTATCTCAAAGTGTGCCCCTGCATTGCAAAGCAGGCCACATGGAAGAGGGCCTGGATGCTGCTATTGAATTAGAAATTATCCTCCTGCGTAGAAAGTGTTTGGTGCGTACTTTTTTTTTTTTAGAATATTTTATTTTATTTTATTTTTCAGTAACTATTTATTTATTTATTTATTTATTTATTTATTATTATACTTTGGTGCATACTTTTAAGAAAGAGCTTCAAGTGACCTATTGAGCAAGGGGCCAGACTGCAAATGGCTATGAGGTCTTTTTCTGAAAAATCAAAAGTAGAATGTTGCATCTGGAATAAACCTGAGAGTCTTATGTTACACAGAAGAAAACTGCATCCAGAAAGATGAAGGAGCTTGCAAGAGGCCACACAGCATAAGACTGGAGCCAGAGTCTGGATCTCATTCTCACTACCATTCCATGCCCAAAAGGCATATTGATTAATGACTTTAAAAATATTCTGAAACATTCACGCAGCATGGCTTGCTTCTGCTCTGTCGTTTAAATGGTTATTATTTCTTATTTCATTCAGAAATTGCTTTAAGTGTTACTGCCTCTCACTAAAGACAACTGTATAGCTGCCTTTCACAAAGATTAGATGATGCCTGCATTTCCTAACAGAGGTCTGGCCTTTGCTGATACTTTCACAGAAGACAACAGCTAGCAAATAGTTGACCAATGATCACCATTGATCATTCCAGGTTATTCATCAAACACTAGTTGTACTTTTTTTCCCCTTCTTCTTCACATTTTAACATCTTTAGTATAAGGATGTGTCTGGTAATTGATTGTAATTGTGGTTGATCTGAAATCATGATCGACTTTTGCCCGCATGTGTGAGAATGTTTGTAAGAGTGAAATTCAGAACAAGCTCAATGCACAGCCCAGCGACTTGTCATCTAGACTTGTCGCCTAGTGCCACAGCTGGACATCCCAATCTTTGGCTTTCAACTACCCAGTAACTCAGACCATTTGAGGTTGAGGTGATTTTGATTGCTTTCTGGAACCCTCTATTACACCTTCTGTTAAGCTTACAAAGGATCAGCATCCAAATATACAGAATGGGTGTTGGCAGCTTGAAAAAGTCCAGGGGCAACAGTGGAGCCAACTGGCTCTTGGCTGCTCAGAGGCTGATACCGCGTGGGAAGGCGTGAGTGAGGCTGAGTGAGCCGGGACATGACTTAGGAGCAGCGGATGCTGCATTCAAAAAAGTTTTAAAAACATCTTAGCTCTTCATACTGCTTATGTGTTCCTTTTCATTTTTATGCACAAGAGATATAGGATACGAAAACATGACTAAATAAAAGAACCCATTTATTTATTTATTTATTTATGTTTGAGACAGAGTCTTGCTCTACTGTCCAGACTGGAGTGCAGTGGCAAAATCCTGGTTCACTGCAGCCTCAACCTCCTGAGCTCCAGTGATCCTCCCCACTCAGCCTCCCAAGTAGTTGGTACTACAGGCATGCACCACCATGCCTATCTAATTATTTTATTTTATTTTTCGTTTTCTGTAGACATGGGGTTTCACCATATTGCCCAGGCTGATCTCAAACTCCTAGGCTCAAGTCGTCCTCCTGCCTCAGCCTCCTAAAGGGATTATAGGCATGAACCATGGCACCCAGCCAAGAACTCTATTAATACATTTACAATTCTCAGTGATAAGAATTCACTGTGCAATGGTTTAGTTGGCAACACTTTTTTTTCCTTGTGGCACAAAAAGCAGTGGTGAGTTATATAACTGGTGAAGGTTTAGATCTGACAGAGTATGGCCCATTGTGAATAAGCCCATATTTGCTCACAACTATTCCATGTTTGCTGGTTACTCACTTGTTAGCTTGGTACCTTGTTTATTTATGTACATTTTTTTTTTTTTGCAAACAGTGAGCACCTGTTTATGCACTGCAGTCGTGAGTGAGATAGAATCATGTGAGGAGTGGACAGTCTGCCTTACAGCCCATGCTCAGTACATATCCTAATGAGGAATTGGTCCCTGGCTGTCGTTGTCTCCACGCCCTTGAGTTGGACAATGGTATTTACCTGCAAGTCTTTCTGCTTTGTAGAATGGCTGGTACATGGGACATATTGTGATACTTAATGTCATGAGTTGAACTGTGTTCCCCAAAAGACATGTTGATGTCCTAAACCCAGGTATCTGTGCATGTCATCTCACTTGGGAATAAGTTCTTTGCAGATGTAGTTAGATTCAGATGAAGTCACTAGGGAGGGCCCTAATCCCCTATGACTGGTGTTTTTATCTGAAGAGGAAAACACTGCATGAGGCCAGGCCACCCACAAGGGGACACTGTATAATGACAGCATAAGGGTCTGGCGCGATCCCACAGGGGGACACGGTATGATGACAGGGTCAGTGACTGGTGCGATCAGCTGCAAACTCAGAACCACCAAGCAGTGATGGCCACCACCAGAAGCTGGGAGGGGCAGAAAGGATTCTCTGCCTCTCAGAGGGCGCACGGCTCTGCTAAAACCTGGGTTCCAGCTTCTGGCCTCCAGACAGTGAGAGAAGAAATCTCTCCTGGTTTAAGCCTCCCTGCTGTCCTTTGTTACAGCCACCCTCGGAAGCAAATAGGCTTAGCTTTACAACGAGACTTGGGTAGCAAAATTGAGACCCTTCTCAGTAAAGTAATCAAAATACACTGAATTTTCTGGTGACACTTGGAGCCTTTTTTGGTGGTGGGTGGAGCCAGGAAGTATGAGCTGAAGTTTACTCATATTGGTGGGTGGAGACATCGAGGGCCTTTCCTTCCTGCGCATTGCATTTATTCAGAAAATGTTTCTCCAGCTCCGTCCCAAGGATGTGACAGATTCTTTCATTTATGACTATGCCACGCTCAGCCCATCTAACCTCAAATCTAACCTAATCCTGGTGGCCCTCCCACCTTCCCAGCACACAGGAGCAAGCAGAGAACATGGGCAGTCAAGTCAAAAGGAAAGGATGGCCTACAGGTACCCTGGTTTTCTTTCTTCTGCTGGAGCCACATGTAAATATTTATATATAAATACCCAGGAGGCAGTCAGTATTTCTAAAAGGGTTTATAATGTAAATGTGAAAAATCACTTTCTGACCCAGTGGGAACTCTGCTCTTCCTCACTTCGAATCACTCACTCATTCATCCATTCCCTCATTTCACAAACACTTAGGATGCACTGTGCAGCAAGCATTGTATTTATTTTTGCTTACAATGTCAAAATTAATAAATGATATTTTAGTTGAAATGTTTAAAAATAACAAGAGTTTCTTGATCAGAAGAGAAAAGCTCTCTTGTGCCAACAAGTTCAGAATATTTGGTGAGTGGACGTTGGCTGGGCTGGGCTAGGTCAAGTTAATCTACTCTTCATCAATCAGCTCTGCATGGACCCCTTTAAGTGACTGGCAAAGAGAAAAGCTGGAGCTCAGGAGGAGGCGCTGGGAGGCAGAAGTTTGGTGAAGGGTGATTGACATCTAGGGGGACAGGAGAGCATCCTCCCTCTTTGTTGGATGTAGAGAGGGCTAGTTTCTTCCTCTGGTTGGGGTTGCCAGGTAAGATACAGGACACTCAGTCATATGTGAATTCCAGGCAATGAGATATTGTTTTAATATAAGCACATACCAAATATTGCATAGAATATATTTATACTGAACATGTATTTGTTGTTTTTCTGAAATTCAAATTTAACTGAGTGTCCTCTACTTTTATTCTGCTGACTCTGGCAACTCTACCTCTGGTTTCATCTTTATTTTACGAGTGGGAAATTCAGTCATGGATGAACTCTAGAGAGGCAGACACAAATCAGGGGGTTGAGTTTTCATTTGAGATGATTTGCTGTAGAGTTTAGGGTTGTATTCAACGTCTGTGAGCCTTGATTTTTCAATAAGCAAACAATGAAAGAAAAAACACCTGTCTCTAGTGAACTTCCAGCTCCACCATGAAGATGAATAGAAGCAAACTCTGCAGTTGTCCTCTGAGTTCTTGAGGAAGCCGCATTTCCTAACCCAGCATTTGTTCCAGTCGGTTGCAGAAGGCTGTGCTCCTGGAGCCCTTAGTTGGTTCCAATAGCTGCTAATTGCCATGGAGTCGCCATTCTTCCTGGCAGGTGTCAGAGCCTCCGGAGAGAAGCCAACTCTATCCTGATCTTCCACCCTGAGGCCCAGGGCTCGGCCTTGGTTTCTGTCTTACTTTCCCGCTGGGTCTAGAACTGCCCTCTCTCCTTCACACCAACCTGTGTTTAACACATTTAAGGGAATTCTTGAACAAGTTTTGGGAAGATGCTGCGGGGTGTGTTAATGGCACTCTGAGCTTGTCCGGCTGTGCATTAGGAAATGTGCCTGGTCATTCCCTGGTCTCCAAATCCGGCGCCCTGTCTTTGCTCTAACGTTTTCATTTTTGAGCTCAGAGTGAGAATTGGATAAAAGTGACTATCTTGATGGATGGGCATTTGGGTTCCTTGTTATTACTGATTCCCTCAAAAAAAAGGGAGGACATATGATTTGTGCTATTTGGTGGTCTGATGTTTGTTGTTTCAGCTTCTTCCTTCTTTCTGTCTATTCTCTTCTCAATGCCTTACTTTAATCAGAAGTGGCAAGCATGGGTAGTTCCTGGTTCCCACAGCTCAGGGAATGCATTTCATTTTCTTTGGAGATGGATTTGTCTTTGAAAACAAGTGTGTCTCCCAAGCTTGCATCTTCATGATCATAGCCAAACTCAGCAGGGAAATCCCAAACAAATAACAATCCATGAGGGCCATGTGTCCTCCTCTTTAAAGAAAGAAGTGGGGTTAAGATTTAAAAATAAAACACCTGGGGCTTTTATGATTCTTTTTTCCTACCGGAGCTGAGCCACCATTTCCCTGATTGGCTATTTCTTGAGGACGTTCAAAGACTGTAATAGCACAGGGACACATTTTCCCCAATTGCTTTTAAATAGGAGATCGGGACCGCGTGCAGTCTGTAATCCCTGCACTTTGGGAGGCCAAGGAAGGTGGGTCACTTTAGGTCAGGAGTTTGAGACCAGCCTGGCCAACATGGCAAAATCCCATCTCTACTAAAAATAAAAATAAAAATAAAATTAGCTGGGTGCGGGGGTGGTGCATGCCTGTAATCCCAGCTACTTGGGGGGCTGAGGCATGAGAATCACTTGATCCTGAGAGGCAGTGGTTGCAGTGAGCTGAGATCGCACCACTGCACGCCAGCCTGGGTGACAGCATGAGACTCTGTCTCAAAAATAAATAAACAAATAAATAGGAGATCAGATTATGTGTGAACTTTGAATTGCAAAGTACCAGAAAGCCTTGGAGACTATCAGTGGCTACATCATTCAAATAGCTTCTCCTGGGACTGATATTGAATAAGTCAACTCTGAAGTAACAATCACCATTATTAGGACACTTTTTTAAATCGATTACCCTTTTATACAGGATGGATTTAAATGGACTCATTTTACCCCACCAATATAATTTTTTTCAGGAATGTAGGACCTCTGATTATAATAATTACTTGACTTCTATTTCCCCAGCCCCACGTATAGGACCAAAGTTTTTATTTAACCATTTTCACCATCAGCAGCAACCTTTATCTTATGTGTTCTAATAGTGGTTGATGTGTTGTTTTCATCATTCTGAACACATCAACCCGGAATGCAGTAAATCAGCACAGAATAGAAGACTCTTTCCCACACTATTTTCTCCCTGTTCTGCATGTACACATCCCCCAAATTTTTTTTGTAAATTGAATAATATTTTGAATGTCATAAGGTAACTCCCAATGGGAACCCATAAGGGATTCTTTTGAAAGGAAAGATATTGTTTTCTGTGAATTTAATGTTCAATCCCTCATTCACCTGCCACAGGCTCTTCAATGTCCACTGCTTGTATTTTTTTAAAAAATGGAAGCATAACTGTGTTGGGCTTTTTCTCCTTATCATCAAATGTTACCACTGAGCAACTAAAACTTTTACAGATGCTGTTCTGTGAGGACAGTGTCCAAACCAGAAAGTCAAGATGCCTCTTTGAGGATCCGTCTGAAAACAAACAAAATACGTGAAATCCAGGAGAGCTGGAGTAGAAAACGCCGTGAAGGTAGCGTGGAGAGCATCAGGGAGCAGCTGCTATTTCAACACAGTGGGGACTTCGCACCTGGGCCTGAGGGAGCCTCACTGTTTCACTGAATTTATGTTCATATATTTATGATAATAAATATGTTCATACACTTACGTTCAAAATATGTTTGTAATATGGTCATCTATTTATGTTCATATTTTGTGGTTTCTGGAACAGAATCTAATGTTCTTATTACCAAATAGTAGGCGAACTCAGTACTTTGGCAGAGACACTTCCGCAATATGTCTCTTAATTCCTGTTCTCAGCAAGGCTTCTCCTGCAGTAACTCCTTGTCCTTCATCTTGACTTCTTGGTCCCTGGTATCCATCTCCCTGAGGGAGGGAGGGGAGGCATGTGTTTGCTGAGTGATTCATTAGACTTCAGCTCACGAAGGATTGATAGTCTGTCTTGACATGAGAATGGGATCTGCACAGGTTTTAAGATGTTAGAAAAGTGACTTGCAGCCTCACAGTATTGCCTCTCGAAGGTCAGACCCATCATCCTTGTCTTTTAGATAAATAATCGAGGTACAACTGAGCCAAGCAACTTGCTCTATAAATCAGGTCGCTTCTAATCAATAGTCTAGTTCATGCAGAATCCAAACTATCAGAAAGAAAGAACAGTAATAGTTTCAAACTCCGGTGCAATGGCAGCTGGTGTCAATAGTGGCAACCCACAGGCATATGCTGAGTTGCTGAGCTGCTTGAGGGGAGGGCTGTGTCCTGTCCAGTTCTGCATCTTTAGAGTCCAGTTCTGGGCCTGGATATGCCCTCAGTGAGTATTTATTACATTGAATTTCATTTTTGAGATTATGATGTAGCTTCCAAGCCACAAAGTTCTATGAGATTGAATTATTTTTTCTTTAGTGTTAGACCTAGAATATTTAATGAATTTTTACTGCCTGACCATTAGAGATCTGTACAGCATATAGAATGACTTTTTTATTAACCATTATTCTTGTAGAAGTACAATTTACTGAGGATTCAAACCTGAGATTTTAAAAAAATTGTATCACATGAATTACCATGAAAATCAAAGTCATAAGAATTTCAGTAATTGTCTTTAATCCACAACTCTCTCTTTTCCCAAGTAATTTATTTCTACATTGAGGAAAACAAAATGACTTTGGCATTTTAACTCTGGATCATTAAATGCATCTCAAAAACACAGATTACTGAGCAGTTTGTTTCCATAGAGCCTTTTGATGCTTTAAATTTTGTCTTTTCTTCTTAACATTTACAACCTCAGATAATTCTGGATAGATCACTTTTATGATGATCACAGGCAGGTGTATTTGTTTTGGAAACACAACCAGTTTCCAAAGACTCAAGAATAGCCAATTTATTAATTTTTATTAGTAACTTGAACAGAAACAAACAGAACAAATATTACGAGAACCAAAGGCCACACATTTTTAAAGAGTCAACTTTCATGCAGCCATAAACTGATCCATAAAACTTCTCCAAGTTCTTTAATTTGGGACTTTATACATCATACGCAGAGAAAATTCACTTAAAAAGGACTGGTTATATATGGACCAGATTCTCCCTCAAAATCATCCCAAATCTATGAAGGTGGGAATCTGGAGAAAGCCATCAGCTGAGTTCAGACGAGACATTGGCCAGTGGCAGCCTGTCCACCGCCACAACCCCAGAGCTCCTGCTGGGCGGGGGTGTCCTGCCAGGAATTCCTCTAGAAAGTCACCGGTTCCTCCTCTTTGCTATGGCTTTAGAAAAATAAGAGACAATTTGAAGAATTATAGTCATTCTTAGGAAATGTTTAAGAAAAAATTCAAAATAAATTACCTTTAAAAAAGTTCGCAGCGAATGGAGAAACTAGTCTGATAATCATTATAACAACTAACATTTAACAGAGCTTCCTTTCAACAGGCACTGTCCCTTTTCAATGGGATGGGGGGATCCCGAGGGTTTGAGCTGTTAGAAAAAGGTTCGGGAAGGAGGCAGAGCCGAGCATTGAAGTGTGAGAGTGGAGAGAGCAGGGTGTGCTCTAAATTGCGAGGTGGGGTGGGCTTAGCAAGAGGGAGCGTGAGCAAAGGCTTGAAACAAGGACGGTCAATTGAACTGAGAGCTCGGGTTCCTGGAAGAAGTCTCGGGAGAGAGCGCTGGAAGTGGGAATTCTCCCCACAGTGACCATCGGTTCAAAACAAGCTCAATGAAAATTCCAATAGAAACAGTAGACACACATCTGGAAAGGGAACTTGATTACCAGATATAAACATTTACTATGAAGTGAGTGTAATTAAGGCAGTTGTTGATGGTGTAAAAATATACACATTGGCTGATGTAATAGAATAGATGGCCCAAAAACAACCACACACAGTTGTGAAGCTTGAACTTTTGACAGAAGAGTCACAGGACATCACGGGGAAAAGGGGGAGCTATTCAACAAATGTAGCCAGGAAAAAGTGACTATTCATTTGGAAAATACAGTGAACATGGATCCCAACTTTATACCACATACAAGGCAATTCTGAAAGGCCTTAGGACTTATGTGTCAAAAGCAAACACTTTCAAGCCTTTAGTAGAAAATATATAGGTGTTTCTATCCTTGGGGTAAGGAAAACAATTCTTAAAGAAGACTCAAAATGTGGCAACCACAAAAAAAGAGCAAAACACTTGATTCTATGAAAATTACAAATCCCACTCATCATAAGACAGCACAAAGAAATTGAAAACAGAAGCTATTACCTGGAAGACAATATTCTCAATGCATTTAACCTGAAAGAATTCCTGTCAAAAATGCATCAAGAACTCCTAAAATCAATCAGTAAATGATAAACAATACAACTTAAAAACTCTCGGCAAATGTCTGTGAGGCATTTCAGAGAAGAGGAAGCACAAACATCCAGTCAGGAAATTAAAAGGTTGTTAACCTTATTAGTAATCAGAGAAATGCAAATCAGAATTTCCAATTCAGTAGGTCTGGGGTGGGACTCAAGAATTAGCATTTCTAATAAGTTCCATATTCTTAGATCCTACTGTATGGAGGCTAAATGGTGATAACTACAGCTTAGAGAATAGCTTTTAAGAATACAAAGCTACCAAATCTAAACAATATATTGTTCAGGCTCACACACACATACACACCCTTGCTAACACTGTACACTAAAAACATCAAGAGAACCATAATGCCTGATTCAGGCTGGAGGCTACCCGTCTGAGTGGAGAAATAAAGCCAGAAGGGCATATAGACTTTAGTGGCCAGTGCTGAAATTCTTGGGTTGAGTGGTATGAATCTTGGTTTTCATTATATTACTAAAAACAAATTAGTAAATAAATGAAATAAAATACAAGACAGCAGGAGAGTCAAGTATGGAGCAAAGATGAGCATGTATCATGAATCAAGAATAATGATTCATTTTATTCTGTAAACTTGAATTCCATTAAAAGCATAAAACAAGATAGAATCTATTGAGGCCAGAATTGAACTTGAATGGCAAGGAAAGAAGTTTTACAGCTCCTCAGAAGGCCATGGGAAACCACACTGATGTTTAAAGAGTCCCATGAACAGTGCCCAATAAAAGCTGAAAGGAAAATCGATGGAAGGCATTTGTGTCCTAGCCCAATCCACTGGCTTTCCACAGGCAGAGAGAGCAGTTAGAGGCCATGGTCACTGGGGTGGGTGGCTTTCTTCTTTCCTCGGTGGGACACAAAAGTCAGGGTTGGATTCAACGTGAGGGGATTGTGGGGAGGCAGCCCAGGCATGAATCTCAGCTCCATCCTTTGGTGTTCTGTGCCAATTTCATCACCTGTAAAAATAGAAAGAACAGCGCCTGTTTTCCTCCATCTGCCAGGTCACTGTGGGCATAAACTGAGACAGTGGATTGAGGTGGCTTTGCAAGCTGCAAAGCTAAGTAAACACCAACGCTCTTTATAAGAAGGAAGCAAAGGCCAAACAATTGCTTTAGCTATGCTGCCTTTTTATTCAGGTCTTCTCTGATCACTGTAGAGAAAGTGGGATGCTCCCATTCCTGCCTGCCCTCTCTCTATTAATTTACCTAATTTCATCATTCTTCATAGTACTTCTTAACACCTGAAGCTGTTGTATATTGATTTGTTAGCTTACTCATTGTATGTCTGTTCCAGTAAAATATTAGCTTCAAGAGCACAAGAACTTAGTCTATCTTGCTCACTCCCTCATCTATGGGCACAGAACTGTACTTGGCATGTTGAAAGTTCTCTCTGGGCCAGGCGTGGTGGCTCACCACTGTAATACCAGCACTTTGGGAGGCTGAGGCAGGTGGATCACGAGGTCAGGAGATGGAGACCATCCTGGCCAACATGGTGAAACCCCGTCTCTACTAAAAATACAAAAATTAGCTGGGCATGGTGGTGTGTGCCTGTAATCCCAGCTACATGGGAGGCTGAGGCAGGAGAATTGCTTGAACCCAGGAGGCAGAGGTCACAGTGAGCTGAGATCACATCACTGCACTCCAGTCTGGTGATAGAGTGAGATTCTATCTCAAAGAGAAAAAAAAAGAAAAAAGAAAAGAAAAGAAAAAAGAAAAAAAGAAAGTTCTCTCTGAGTATGGGTTGAATGAGTGAGTGAAGAAATAAGTGGATGAGGGAATAAATGAATGAGTGAGTGACTGACTGAATTAGTGGGTAAATGACTGGATGAGTTAGTAAATGAGTGAGTGGATGAGTGAATAAATGAGTGGGTAAATGAGTAGATGAATAAATACATGAGTGGGTCAGTGAATGAATAAATGAGTAAATGAGTGGATGAGTGAATAAGTGAATGAGTGATTGAGTGAGTGAACAACTGGATGAGTAAATAAATGAACGAGTGATTAAATGAGTGAATGAGTGAACAAATGAGTGAGTAAATGAATCAGTGAATAAATGAGTGGATGAATGAATAAGTAAATGAATGATTGAGCGAGTGAACAAGTGGGTAGATGAGTGGATGAGAAATAAGTGAATGAGTGGATAAATGAATAAATAAATGAGTGTGTTAATGAATGGATGAATGGGTAAATCAGTGGATAAGTGAATAAATGAATTAGCAAGTGAATGAATGAATGAGTAAATGAGTGGATGAGGGAATAAATGAGTGAGTGAATGAGTGGATGAGTGAATAAGTGAATGAGTGATTGAACAAATGTATGAGTAAATGAGTGGATATGTGAATAAATGAGTGAGTGAGTGAATTAATAAATGGGTAAATGAGTGATGTGTGAATGAATAAGTAAATGAGTGGATGAGTGAATAAGTGAATGAATGAGTGAATGGGTGGATAAGTGAATAAATGAGTGAGTGAGTGAATTGAGTGGGTAAATGAATAAAAAATGAGTAAATTAGTGGATGAATGAATAACAAATGAATGATTGAGTGAGAGAATGAGTGGACAAATGAATAAATGAATGTGTGGATGAATGGATGAGTGAGTGAATGAATGAGTGAGTGGGTCAGTGAATGAACGAATGAGTAAATGCAACTGCAGCCAGGCAGGGAGGAGCACGCAATAGTTCCAGGAAGGAGGAGCTGGCATGAACTAGAAGATTCCACAGAGGGAGGCAGCCACACACCTGCCGCCCAATAAGGCTGGGGCCAAAGTAAAGAACCCCCAGGCTGTGCCAAGGAGGGAGGATGCCCAATCTCCCCTGAAAGCCACAGAAGTGGCAAGTGGATGAGTGAATAAGTGAAGGAGTCACTGACACAGTGAATGAGTGGATAAGTTAATAGATCAATGAGTGACTGAGTCAAGCAGATGAGTAAATAAGTGAAGGAGTGAGTGAGTGAACGAGTGAATGAGTGAATAGATGAATGAGTGACTGAGTGAGTGAACAAGTGAATGAGTAAATAAGTGAATGAGTGACTGAGTGAACAAGTGGATGAGTGAATAGATGAATGAGTGAGTGAACGAGTGGATGAGTGAATGGATGAATGAGTGACTGAGTGAGTGAATAAGTGAATGAATTACTGAGTGAAGGAGTGGATGAATGACTAGATGAATGAGTGAGTGAGTGAACGAGTGGATGAGTAAATAGATGAATGAGTGACTGAATGAGTGAACGAGTGAATGAGTAAATAAGTGAATGAGTGAGTGAGTGAATGAATGGGTGAGTGAATAGATGAATGAGTGAGTGAGTGAAGGAGTGAGTGAATAGATGAGCAAATAGATGAATGAGTGACTGAGTGAGTGAATGAGTGACTGAGTGAGTGAATGAGTAAATAAGCGAATGAGTGAGTGAGTGAATGAGTGGATGAATAGACGAATGAGTGAGTGAGGGATGAGTGAATAGATGAATGAGTGAGTGAGTGAATGAGTGAATGAGTAAATAAGTGAATGAATGATTGAGTGGATGAGTGAATAGATGAATGAGTGAGTGACCAGATGGGAGGAGAACACATGTCTGAGGAGCAAGGTTTGGCCCAGCAGTGCCCTCATCCTCTGGGGGTTTCAAGGACGGGCTTTCTCCCTGTTCCTCCTGCAGCCCTCCTACAGGTCCCAAGAGTACAGGGCTCCCTTTCAAGCCCTGGTCCAAGAGTGAACAAAAATGCCTCTTTGTCCCATTTTAAGGCAGGTAACATCACCAAAACTTTCAAAAAGATGTACTGAAAATCAGGATAGATTCAGGGGCCCAGATACCAGAAAATATTTCAGGATCTGGGTTTTCAAACTCCAGGTTCTCTGGTGCTGGTGAACAGCCAGTCCCTTTCACATACCCCATTGAGGGAGCCTTACTCTAGCCCCAAAGGCTGGCGCAATCTCACAAGCGTCTTGCCAGGGGCCCTCATCATCTTGTTCCATATGGTGCTTATAGTCTCAATGCTTGTCACCAAAGAGCCGCCCTAAAGAGCATGATGCATTTGCTGATAAGACTACAGAAGAGAGAGTTCTCCTGCATGATGTCTGAGACGTCGTCCTTGATCCGGTTTCTGCTTGGACAGCTCACCCCCGTTCTCTAGTGCTAGACACTGGAATGAGCATCTCTCTCCTCCAAGGGCACTGCTGTTATAAACATAGTTCATTTCATTATGGAGACAATTTTCCAGCTTTTGCTCTAATTTTTTGACCCATGTCAGGCCTAATCAGGCTCCTGAGCAGAGCCTAACTGGGCTCCTGAGCAGAGCCACGTAGCAAAGCAGAAGCCCTCAGGAGAGGAGCTCTGATATGTCAACATTTAATCACTCTCACCCCGCAAGTCCTTTTAAGGCATTAGGTCTCAGATTTGCCCCTTGGGGAGCTCTGAAATGTGCCCATGCCTGGACCCCACTCCTAAGGGTTCTGATTTACCTGGTCTGCATGTGGCTTGGGCATCACATTTTTAAAACTCCCTCAAAGATTCTAACAGCCTCCAAGATTGGGACCCACAGCTGTAGAGCTAGGAATGACTTCCAGCTTTTCATGAAGAAACAGGATGGCATGCAGTAGTGCTGGGAGAAGAAAGAGAGGCAAATCCATTCTGTTACACTTTGAATTGTGTCCCCCCAAATCCATATGTTGAAGCCCTAACCCTCAGTAGCTCAGAGTGGGACCTTATTTGGAGATGGTTTCTTTCCAAAAGTAGTCAAGTTAAAGTGAGATCACTGGGGCAGGTCTGATATGGCTACGTCTTCATAAGACAGAGCCATATGACACAGATTGGGACAGAGAAGATACAGAGGGAAGATGATGTAAAGAGACAGGGAGAAGTTGGTGTCTACAAGCCAAGCAGAGAGACCTCAGAAAAAACCGACACAGTAGGTGCCTTGAGTTGGGCCTCCAGAGCTGTGACATGCACACGTCTGTTGTTTAAGCCCCCAGGCATTGTGTTTTTACAGCAGCCCCAGTGGCTTAGGCACACCTACACCACTGTGGGATCCTGGTACCTAGAACATGGCAGCGCTCTAGAGTTCATCAGTGAATTCGGAGATCAGGACTCTGATCTTCCCTCACCCTGTGAGGTCGGTGGGCTGTAGCTATCTTCATTCTCGGATGTTCAGAGAGCCTGTGCCTGAGGTAATGTGGGTAGCTGGTGTGAGGTTTGGGATCCAAGCCCAGGTCTTCCCTCTCCAAGTCCCAGCTCTTTTCACTCCACTGACCTAGGAGTCTTTCTTGAGACCTGGAGGAAGGTGCTGATACACGTGATACACCAGGGAGAGGCAAGAAACAGAGGGGGAGAAGAGCAAGGCTGGGCTTCTGCAGATAAAAGTCACCCACTCTATGGCTCTCTCTGCTCAGGACCCTGATGGGAACCTATGGGCTCCCACCATTGTTTGGGGCCATGTTCTAAGAAGCAGAGCCTGGAAACTTTGGGTCCCAATTAAAACTCAGTTACTGGTGGTCCTCAGCCCATCTGCCCCATAGCTCATCCCAGCAGCCCTTGCACAAACTGAGCCAACTTCCAGGGGACATTCAAAGCACCCTGGTTCCTGAGGGGTGCCATGGGGTGAACACAGCCTGTGCCATGGAACGTCATTCCACACTGGGAAATCTCTCCCTTTTCCTTAAGTAGAAGTCCAGAGTTTTCAACTACAATTCCCATCTCCCCAAGGAAGTGCTTGCTCACCTGGACACCTGCTTTCAGTTTCCTTCTTTGCTGGCCCTCCACTTTCGGCAAAGCTGCTTCTTCAGAGGGCATGGGGCAGGGTCAATGCTGAGCAGCTGGAGCACAACCTGGAGCATAGCTGCTTCCCGTGCATTGTCACGCTAACTGGCAATGTGTTACAAAGACACCTGTGCAGCTGACAGGGATTTGTTCAGCGTCTTTCACGCCTGTTTTGAAAATATATTTAATGAAAGGTTTTCATTTCATCCCAGATCCATTTATTGTAGCTCAGATTTTGAATGAAAGTGTGGACATAAATGATCCCCATCTTTCAATGAGTTGCAAATCCCTTGTTTTGGAAGATGGTTGAATTGGCTCCAACTACCTTTCTTAGGGACTTAAAGAGCTTAGCCACATTTGTTCACGGACTTCTTCCCTCAACTACTACTCTCCAAACTCTTACCCTCTGCCCAAGGCTCTATTCCCCCTCCTTTTTGGGCTTTAAAACATGAACCATGACTCTCTTCTGAGATTGTCTACTACCTTTAAGGACAATTATTTTCACAACAGGAAAAAAAGATGTAATGAGGTTATTCAATTTAGGAATATTTCATGGGTAAGCAGAATGTTAATGGAGGAAGGCAGCACAAGGTGACCTTCATTCCTTTACACCCGATTAACCGCCCCCTCCCTTGCCCTACCCATGATGTTTGAACTTCAGGCTTCCTCTGCAGGCTTTGGCCTGGTAATTGAGCTTGCAGTTGCCAGATGGAGAAATACACAGTGAGATCTTTGGGGATATTTATCTGCGGTTCCAGTTACAAGTTTGATGGAAAGGCAGAGCCATGTAGGCCCAGAGTGGTGCCTCTGCCCTAAGTCAGACCTTTTGGTTTTATCTGCTCAATATCCATTCCTTCTTACTTCCTCTCCTTCCATTTTGCTACGAGGAGCCAATCTTCCCCACTGAATGGGCACCAAGATGGTGCAGTAAGAATTTTGATTGTCACCAAGATTCAGCAGGTGCCACATTCCAAACTGAGATGAGAGACCACGATGACTTTATTTCTTACAAAGGGTTACAGCCTGCAAGGTGGCCATGCTGAAGGCTGGGAAGCGGCCATTGTTTTAATCTTGCTTATCTTGAGGGCAGTGCCTGTTTTACTGCTAAAAAAAAAAATAATATCCTTGTGGCAGTTAGAACACAGAGTAATTTGTAAGAGTAGGGTGTGTGACTTAACCCTTGCCTGGTATGAACTTAGGTCCTGTTTATAATTTGTTATCTTAGTGCCACAAAGGGTCTGCTCCATCGGTCCTATGGTCTCTATTTTAACATTAGTGCTGGGCCATTGCTGTGTCTAATATCCAAAAGGGAGGGGTATGAAGATGCACGTCTGACCTCCTGTCCCATCATGGCCAGGAACTCAGTTTCTAAGGTTTCTCTGGGGTCCTCCTGGCCAAGAGGGAATCTGTTCAGTCAGTTGGGGGGCTTAGGATTTTATTTTTAGTTTACATGCTTATACCACAGGGCAGTCAGAACTCACAAGGCATGAATACTTGTCAAACAGGTCAGTATGCGAGACTACTGTGTGAACTATGAATCATTCCACAAATGCAACTCATTATGTGTGCATTTATACACAGTGCGTTGATAACTGTCCATGCCCCTTGACTGAATGAGTGTATATTAGCCCCTACATCCTTTGTTCAAGTCTACCTAGCAGGGAGGAGGTCCTCAGGTGGTGTGAGCCCTCTTGGGTGTCTGGAGTCGAGCTTGGCCCCACTGGAGTTAACTTTTAGGAGGGTTTGCCTGGATGAGTAGGAAGGGTTGTGTGGTGCATGGGGAGAGTTAAAGTCGGGACATGGCTTGAGGTCTGCCCTAGAGACGGGCGTCCTGGCCTGACCTCAAGAGCCCCTATCTGGACCCCATGGAAAGGGGCTGTAGGAGGAAGCAGGTCTCTGGGGGACTCTGAGCCCCCGGTACAAAGTGCAACCCCATGGAGAGGGGGGCATTTTCCCACCTTCAGCATGGAACACACACAGCCCCCACAGGCAAAGCCCCAGGGCCTGCAGACTCCATGCTCCCAAGGCCATGCAGCCTGGTGGACATCTGGAGACATACTTCATGACAGGGACTTGGGCACAAAGGCTCTGGAAGCAAATCCCGGGCAGGTGCCCCTTCCAGCAGCTTCAGAAGCTGCGAACACCAACATGGAGGGACTGTCAGTGAGCTCAGAGGAGACCCCCAGCCAGACTCCCCAGAAGCCTGGGTGAGGCCCAAATCAGGGTGACCATCAGTGGCAGGTGGGGATGTGGCTGCCCGAGGTCACAGTGCCACTGGCTGTGTCCCGGGGACCCTGGCTCATGGGGGCTTCCAGGTGGCTGCTGTTTCTCTTGCTGTCACTCTTATTGTCAACTCCCCTTGTCTTCTTCAGCCCAACTCCTGACTGCACAGATTCCGCACCCCAATATCTTCTAAGGAGGATCTCCTCAATGCAAGTGTTTGGGCCCAATGCAGGGAGGTGGAAGGCGGGTGCTGCCCTGGGCATCCCTGCCACTCCCACATCCTGTGGAAGGCGCAGTGTGGCCTTCTCTCCATCTCCAGTTCACCTGCAACTCAACACATGCTGAGCGTCCACCATGCACCGAGACTTGCACGGGGTTCTGAGTTCGAGGAACCACACCATGATGTACAAGCAGCTCAAACCGACTAGTGCAGGGACTCACCACACCAGGCTGGCCTTGGAGCAGACCTCCGAGCCCCAGAGGGTGTCTGCTTAGACGTCTCACTTTCCACTTTCAGGTAATGGGACACTGATTCTTTTCATTCTGGCCTGTTCAGTTCCCAGGGGACTCTCACTGTCTAGCCCAGGTTTCTGTGCATTGAGTCTGCATAGAGTAAGATTTCTTTTTTTTTTTTTTGAGACGGAGTCTCACTCTGTCGCCCTGGCTGGAGTGAAGTGGCACGATCTTGGTTCACTGCAAGCTCCACCTCCCAGGTTCACGCCATTCTCCTGCCTCAACATCCTGAGTAGCTGGGACTATAGGCACCTGCCACCACGCCTGGCTAATTTTTTTTTTGTCTTTTTAGTAGAGACAGGGTTTCACCGTGTGAGCCAGGATGGTCTCGATCTCCTGATCTCGTGATCCGCCTGCCTCGGCCTCCCAAAGTGCTGGGATTACAGGCGTGAGCCACCGCGCCCAACTGATTTCTTTATCTTGCAGGATGTCAGCACTCTCTGGCTGTGCCTAATGCCACCGGCATCCCATCACAAACCCACAGGGATGTGGCTATGTCTTTATGAAGGCACTTCCCCCTGCAGTGTCCCCTAATAAGCATCAATAGTCAGCTGAGCCACTGGAGCTGCCAGCACCCTCACTCACTGATTAGTAAACAGGCATTAAAGACTTGCTTAAATTTCCACAGAAATAATAATGGGACTGGAAGCTGGGTGTCTTTATTTATGAAGAACCCATGTATTCCTGGATATCCACAAGGTCTTTGTGGGTTAAATTTCCTTACTATCCATCTGAAGGTTGACGACTCAGCTTACAGTAGGCATGCCTGCCAGGTAACCCCAGACGCCAGCGGCAATGGCTCCTCCTGCATATGGAAGGGCATTTTCCTGACAAGCCCATAGAAATGTTGGTTGTGGAGCTCAGCAGAATGTGTGATATTATCCATCGCGCAGCCATGGCTGGGTTTCTAATATAACAAAGTGAGAACACGCCAGTTTGGATATACCATCTGTGCCGCTAAGTTAGCAGTTCTTGGGGCCCTTATGTTCTATTAATGCTCTTTTCTTCCGTGAATATATATTAGCATATGTGTGTGTGCATATGTGTGTTTGTGTGTATATATGTGTGTGTGCATATATATACTTACATGCGTGTGTGCATACACACACAGACATATATTTGCTGAGCTTCATCTTCCACTTTTCTGTTATAAAAACTTTAAGTCACTTCTTATCAATAATGAGTACCTCCACGCTGTAATCTAGTTTATATGCCCTTTCCCTAAATATATGCTTGGAGAGGCCCATTCGTTTCTTGTGGGTGTGGTTCAGTTTCTGAAATGTTAGGAGTGTAGACCACCCTGGAACAACCTAGTGTTTCTGAAACAGACAAATTAAGAATGGGTCAGGTAGTTCCTCTGTCCTTCCCTTGGCTGAGCAAGCTTCAGTCCTGCACAAGTCCACTTTTCCAAAGCAGGACAGTTTACGAGGTGTGATGGTGGCGAAGTTCTAAGCCTTGCTCAGAGCTGGTGGCTCATGCGGACCTAGCCCTCGGCCGCCCACCCTGAGAGCTCTTACTGCTTTCCTTATTCCACAGTCCCCCTCCAGCCGGGCAAGGTGTCCCTCATCAGGCCGTGCAGCACTCACAGTAATGAAATAAAGTTCAGGAGCCCCTGCTCCCTGCCCCCGTCAGGGCTTCAGGGTGTCCTAGGGGCAGTGGGACATCCTAGGCCAGCTCAGCCCATCTGTGGGGGCCTCTGGTAAATGTGAGTCAGTGCTGAAATAATGGGGATTTTTCTCTTTCTCTCCAGGTGAAGCAGAGCGCTGGCCCTGCCCCCTCCTTTTCCCAGCATCAGTGACAGAACAGCTGTGGCGCTCTGCTACATTGCTGAACATTAAGAAAATATCAGATTTGCCCAGGAGCTACAATTGGTATCTCTGTGAATTGATGAAATTTGCATGAGGAGAAATAGGATCATCAATAATTAAGTGCTCTAAGCTCTCATCTTCAGAAAGCGTTGAACAGAAGCAGAGGGGAAACGTGTAGGGTCGCGGGTGAGGGGCAGCACGACACGGGGATTAGCTGGGGGATAATGGTGAAATGTTCAAAACTAAAGGCCCACAAGGAACCTGGAGACATTCTAAAACACTTTATTAAAAGCCAAAGGAATGCTAGGTCGCCCCAGAATTTATTATTTAAAAAAGCCAGTGGAAGATACATCCTATGTCAAAAAGCCAAGAGAAGGTGCAACTAATTTTTTATAGGGACGTGACACAAAGGAGAAAGTCAGACAGGAATCTATCCTGCAGTTGTGAAGTTGTGAGGTAATGCAATGTGCAGCACTTTGTCACTCCACAGATATTGCCAGCACTTCTTCTGTTTCAGGCTTGGTATGCGGAGCTGGCGTTAAATCTGTCTTCAAAACCAGCCATGGTTTCTGCCACTGTGAGTCTGAGCCTGGGAGGAGATGGGCCTTCACCGAATCACGCAGGTGGAGACACGCTGGGTGCTGGGGACGGTGGGGCTGGTGCAGCAGGGAGCCCCTGCAGGAATCAAGTTCTGGTGAGATCTGCATGAGAAGATGAGGGGCTTCCCAGAGAGGGGAGATGGGACCCAGTAACTGTGATAAAGAGCAGCATCTCCGGACCCTGAGGCAAGCTTATCTGGGCAAAAAGCACCCGCAAACTTAAAGGGAAAATGATTTTCCATATGCAGGTAGGATAAAACCTTTGGCCTCACAAAGGGAGATGGAAGCTATCTGGGTATGGCTGAAGTAGACAGGGCAAGCCCTGCTCCCCACTTTGCAGAAAACCTAAGAGAATTCCTGCAAGAAGTAGAGACCATGGCCTCTCCTAGTGTCTGTTGCTCTCAGCAAATACCCCATGAAATTGAAGAGCTGAATTCTTAAATAGGTCCATGAAGAATCAAGATAAACTCATTAGCAGTAGATTTACAAGGAGCTGAGCTATGAGTGACAGCTGGAAATTGCCTGGTAGGTGCCAGGCTCCTTGCATTGATGCTGTAGGACACAAACTTGTCATTTCTTGTGGGGAGTTTGACAGCAGAGCACTGAGTTGACTCCAGGTGGAGTTCATGATGCCCTGTGGGCGCTGGTGTCACTAACTCCCTGCTATCCCATGGATGTCTTTCTCCTTGTGTACACTTGAGACTCAGCTGACCCCCTGGGTCTGCTCATAGAAGAGACCAGAATGTTCACTCGTTTAACCAACACTGCTGCTGAGAGTTGGGGAGCGTGCAGAGCCCACTGCAGAATTGGTGGTTTCTTCCGAAGGTCAGGAGGTTAGCAGAAGGTGGGAGCGGGCTTGGTAAGGTAACAAAGTCTGGAAGCTGAGTGACACCAAGTGGTCATAACTTTTTGGCGTGACCACTATTACCGGAGTGTTTGCTGTGTGCCAGGCTGGGTAAGTAATGGCAGGCAAGACGGGCATAGCCTACGTCCTTGTAGGCCTCACAGTTTAGCAAGACATTTATAAACAGTCTGAAATTGCCAGAAGGCTCAAGGTAGCTTATCTATATGACATTATTTCTTTGTTCATTCTATAGACCAGAGGTCCATGGGTTGTTGACAGAACCTCAAACCCTTTCCCCTGCAATGGAAAGCTATTTTTCAGATTATGATAATTATCTACCTGTGTCACAAAAAATATCAAATTGATATGGACAGGAGGCAGGGAAATACTGGGCAGAAGAGGGCAGTTCCCTGGCAAGTCACCACCCTCAAGCCTGGAAACCATAGCCCTAAATGAGAACAGTTATCCCTGTTTTCTTGCCCAAATGTTACCTTTTGGCCCACCCCACCCCCTATCCTGTGCCTATATAAACCCCAGGCCTCAGCTGGCAAAGAGACAAGTGGCTGAACGTTGAGAGAAGAAGCAGCTGAGCATCAGAGACTATGGATAGATGTGGCTTAACTTCAGACGGCACAGCTTCAGAGAGGAGCCTGGCTGCAGATGGCCGGGCTTCAGGGAAAGATAACCTTCTCCCTGCTCCATCCCACTTCCAGCTCCCCTTCTGCTGAGAGCCACTTCCACCACTTAATAAAATCCTCTGCATTCATCACCTTTCAAACCATTTGTGTGGCCCGATTCTTCCTGGACGCTGGACAAGAATTCAGCATGCACTGGATGTGGGAACCCATAAAGGCTGTCACACTGACTCTTCACTGAGCTGTTTAACACTTAAGCCATCTGTGGACGGCAAAGCTAAAAGAGCATTAATTGTAATGCAACCCTAGATGCTGCTGTGGGTCTGGAGCCCAAAAGCCCTTGCCAGGGTCCCAGCACCCACTCGCCTATGTGCTCCCTCCCATGAGGGGTTGAGTCCAGCAGGTTCAAGTGATTGAAGTTCGTCCCTGCTAGTGCTGAAGTGGCCAACTGGACCCAGAGGTGCACTCCAGTTCCTACCCATGAAAGAGTCAAGGAATTATCCCATCTCATAAGTGCCGTAAAATACACAATCCTTATATATTTCCTAAGTCACATATATGAAAGACTGCTTCCCTTCGCCTCCTCCTGTGCCCTCTAAACTCAGTTAGGGGATCCATCTATGAGCACCACCTTCTCCGGCTCCTTATGGATTTTAATTGCAATTGCTTCCCTCACCCTTCATCTTCCCCACCCACTCTGCCTTGACACTCCTGTACCGAGGCAAAGTGTTCTGGGCCAGGCAGGAAATAATTCATTCGTTCTGTATCTCAAAGCCACACGAATCCAAAGCATGACTTGTTTTTCAACATCCCTTTCTTGTCTGTCAAGAATGGCTGTGCATTTTGAAACAGAGGCTGTCTCGGGAGGGAACGCAGACCTTCAGGGCGGAATCCTGAATCTGGATCTGCAGCAACAACACAGAGAATAAAGCCAGGGGGACCTCCACCCACCCGGGGGTGAGATAGAGGCACAGCTGACAGACACAATGGCTCAATGACTTTTATTTGAATTTCAGCAATTTAACAACCTCCAAAAGGAAGCCAGTGAATACTGAACTTTTTACCTCCTCAAAGTGTATTTCCAATTGTTGTCTATATTGTCCCATGTTGTTGTTTAGTAGTGTGTCCAAATGCTTGTGTCACATTTTTCTCCATGTACTCTGCGTACAGTTTTCGTATTTTTGAAGGAAACTGCCTCCTTGTCAGTTTCAATGATTGTAGTGCTTTCATCATCCATAGCTGGCTAAACCGCAGTGACTTGGGGTTTTAAAATTAAGTCCATCATCCAACAAACATTTTGAGAAAAGGAAGACAGAAGAGGATCCCCATCCTTGAAGGCCTGGCCTCTGCTGCGGGACCCCCTCCCCCGACCCCGGCTGAATTTTTCAGGCCAGATGGTCCTTTTCTGCATCTTTTTTACCATTGTCAGCCATGAAATTTTGTAGGATGGCCTCTCTACTTATCTTTTTAAAACACCTTTTTGTTACATCAAATTCATCTTCTGTGGTATCTCATTTTCTTCAGATTTTCTGTTGCCTAGGAAGTTAAATAGGGGATTGTTTCAGGAAACGTGAGTAGATGTGGGCTGCTGTGTTCTCTGTAAGCCCTTGCCAGGTGGAAGGAGGGGCTGCTTTTCATCTGACAAGAATTTCTGCAGCAGCAGGGCAGGCTCATTAAGATTTTTCCCATGCCACATAACAAAAGATGGCTGGGGAATAACAAAAGTGAGATTCTGGAGTGTGTGTTTCTTTGTCATGCACGCCCCAAGCCTTGCTGAATCTCCCAGGCTGGGGCAGGCATCGTTAGGAGCAGCTGATTAAGTTTATTGTGCTTTCAATTAAAGAAAAGGGTGGCCCCGGGAGGAGAGGGAGTTGAGAGAGATACGAGGTTGGTCTCATTCGAAACACCCCGTGTCCTTAGTATTTACATAATGCAGAGTTAAGATTTTCTTAGATTGTCAAGGACAGAATCGAATCTCTCAGAACAGCACTGTGAATGGAAGTGGCATGCCTTTAATTCATAAAATGTCACCCTCTTGAAATAGTCCTTAGTATACGCAAATCAGAAAGTAGTCAGGAAAGCTTTTCAGCCCTGCGTGGTAACACGACCTTACATTTCCACAGAACCTTGCTTTGCATCTGTTGTTAACTCTCATTATCTTAGGGGATCCTTTCAGTATTTTGTCCAGTTTCCTGGGTTTGTAAATAGAAGCTGTGGCTTGCATAAGGTCAGGCAGCCGCTTTTAGGAATTGAGTCAGGCCTCATTTTTTTCACATTGTTCTTCAACCAGCTTTCCACTTCAGCTCCCGACTTCCCCAGCTGGAGAGAGGCAGGGCTCTGTGCTGCTCTGCTGTGCTGTTGGAGGGGTTTTTCCTGTCGATCTTATCCAACCTGTGTGATGAGCGAGCAGGCACCCTGTTCTGGAGGCAAACAGAAGAAAAGGCGGGAAGAAAAGGCCGTTTTTGGAATTCTGTGCTAATTACAACGTCAGGTAAAAGCAGAGTTGTTTTCGTTTTTAATTCTTATAATTCAGTAGGAGGCAACTTTGTGTTTTTCTTCGGTTTTTTTTTTTTTTTTTTTTTTTTTTTTAGGTGGAGTCTTGTTCTTTTGCCCAGGCTGGAGTGCAGTGGTGCTGTCTCAGCTCACTGCAACCTCTGCCTCCCAGGTTCAAGCACTTCTCCTGCCTCAGCTTCCCAAGTATCTGGGATTACAGGCATGAGCCACCATGCCCAGCTAATTTTTGTATTTTTAGTAGAGACAGGGTTTCTCCATGTTAGCCAGGTTGGTCTCAAACTCCTGACCTCAAGCGATCCACCTGCCTTGGCCTCCCAAAGTGCTGGGATTACAGGCGTGAGCCACTGTGCCTGGCCTACCTTGTTCTTTACAGCAGGTCATCCTGCTTTCTGATTGGGTGTTGACAGTTTTCTAGGCCAGTCCTTCTTAAAACCCTTGCTGTCCATCAGAATTATCTGTGGGGCTTTAAAAAGACTTCTAGGTTCCTGATTATTCAGGACCCAGTGGGTTAAAATCTCCAGACATGTGTGCAGAGGACATTCATCAGCACACATGATGTGCACGCATATAGTGCTTATCGGGGGGCCATGGGGGGACCGCATTGAGTGTATACATCAATTTCAGAAGAATTAGTATATTAATAATACTGACCAATTCAACCCATGAGCTCAGTCTACATATCATTTATTCAAGTCCTCTAATTTTTCTCATCGATTTATTATATTTGTAGCGTAGTTTCCAGGTCTAACATTTATTTTGTTAATTTTCTCCTTAAGCATGCTTCTTATGCAATTGTAAAAGTTTGGTTTTTTTTTGTTTGTTTGGTTGTTGTTGTTGTTGTTTTTTGAGACAAGAGTCGCCCAGGCTGGAGTGCAATGGCGCGATCTCGGCTCACTGCAACCTCCACCTCCTGCGTTCAAGCGATTCTCCTGCCTCAGCCTCCCAAGTAGCTGGGATTACAGGCACCTGCCACCACGCCTGGCTAATTTTTGTATTTTTAGTAGAGACGGGGTTTCACCATGATGGTCAGGCTGGTCTCGAACTCCTGAGGTGATCCACCCGCCTCGGCCTCACAAAGTGCTGGGATTACAGGTATGAGCCACTGCGCCCAGCCAGTAAAAGGTTCTTTTAAAATTTCATTTCCAATATTTGCACTACTCGTATATGGTAAAAGAATAGGCTTTTGTTATAGTGGCCTTCCATCCTACAACCTTGCTAAATTGATAGCTTTAGCAGCTTTTTAATTTTTTTTTTTTTTTTTTTTTTTTTGCAATTGCTTAGCATTTTCTGTGTACTTTGTCCTGTCATTTGCAAATAAAGGCAGATTTTCTTCTGCCTTACTGGTCTGTATACCATCTACTTCTTTTCTTGGCTTATTTTACTGGCTAGTACAATGTTGAACAGAAGCAGAGAGAGCACACATCCTACCTTGCTCAGCCTTAGGGAAACAGAACTGAGTCTGTCAGTATTAGGTATGATACTAGCTGTAGGTGTTTTGTAGATGCTCTTTATCCAATTACAGATGTTTTTATTTCTAGTTTCCTGAAATGTTTTATTTAATCATGGATGTTAAATGAATTTTTCTAGACACGTTGAGATGATTTTTTTTCTTATGTTAACATGGTGAATTACATTATTTGCTTTTCATAGATTAAACCAAATTTGTAGTTCAGGAACAAATCCCATTGACCATTGTACTAATTTTCTTGAGCTACTCTACCAGAATAACAGAAACAGAAACAACAGAATCAGATCCTCCCACAGTGCTGGAGGCCAGGACTCCACCTCAAGGTGAGGGCAGAGCCTCACTCCCTCCAAAGGCTCTGGGGAGAACCTTTCTTTCCTCCTCCAGTTTCTGGTGGCCACTGGCCATCCTTGGCATTTCCTTGGTTGGTGGACACGTGGTCTCTGCCTCTCCGAATGGCTTTCTCCTCCCTGTATCTCTGTTTTCTTCATGTCAGATTTAGGATACTAGCTATGTTGGACTTAGGGAGCACCTTACTCCAGCATGATCTTATATTAGCCTAACTAATTACACCCGCAAAGACCTTATCTCTAAATACAGGCCCATTCACAGGTACCTGGGGTTAAAATTTCAGCATGTCTTTTTGGAGTGCACAAGTCAACCCACAGTGGCCATACGGTATTATCTGTTTTCTCTATTTCTGGATTCACTCGGTAATATTTTGTTGAGGATTTTTACACTTTTGTTCATAAGGAACATTCATGCGTAACTTTATTTCCTTTTAATGTGTCATCTGGATTGAGTAGGAACTCATGGCCGGGCTCATTAAATGAATTGGAAAATATCCTTCCCTCTTTTATTTCCAGGTAAAATTTGAGTAAGATTGGTGTCTTTCTTTCTTGACATTATTCATCAGTGAAGCCATCTGAAATTTTCTTTGCTTTTAATTTCAAATCCAATTTCTCTGGGATATATAAAGTCATGCTTTAAAAAAATTATCCTTTCTTGTGTCAGTTGTGGTAATTTGTGTCTTTCAGGGAATTTGTCTACTTCTTCAAAGTTGCCAAATATATTGACAAGATTCTTTCTAATATTTCTTTTTATCATTTTCTTGTCTGTAGCATCTGTGGCAATGCTACTATCTTGTTCCTGATATTCATAGTTTGTGTTTTCTCCGTTTTCCTTCTTTTATGATATTAAGCAGATATAACTAAGCATTTCCCTCCTCTTACTACATTAGCTGCAGCCTACAGATTTAGATATTTTCTATTTTCATTATCATTCGACTTAAAATATTTTCTAATTTCCTTTGTATAGTACGCTTAATGGTGGCTCTGAAGATATGACCACAGCCAATTCCTGGAGGCTGTGAATATTACCTTATGTGATAAAAAGATGTGGTTAGATTAAACATATTGTAAGAAGGGGTTAGCCCTGGATTCTCCTGGTGGACTCTAAACACAATCACACAGATCCTTAGAAGAGGGAGGCAGAGGGAGTTTCAACACAGATGCACAGAGGAGAGGGTGATGAGGAGATGGAGACAGAGACCGCAGTGCTGTGGCCACAAGCCAAGGAATGTCTAGAGCTATAGAGGCTGGAATAGCGAGGAATAGAGCCTCCCTAGAGTCTCTGGGGGGAGTGTGGCCCTGTCAGCACCCTTATGTCTGTCCAGTAAAACTGATATTGTACTTCTGGCCTCCAGAACTGTGAGAGAGAAAGTTCTGTTGTTTTTAGCCACCCAGTCTGTGGCACTTTCTATGTCGGCCCTAGGAAGCAAATCTACTTTTGTATCAGTCAGGGTTCTCCAGAGGGACAGAGCTGATAGGATATATGTATACATGAAAGGGAGTTTATTAAGGAGAATTGGCTCACACAATCACGGGTGAAGTCCCATGATAGGCCATCTGCCAGCTGAGGAAGAAGGAAGCCAGCAGAGGCTCAGTCCCAATCCAGCAGCCTCAAAAGCAAGAAGCCAACAGAGCAGCCTTCATTCTGTGGCTGAAGGCCTGAGAGCCCCCGGCAAACCACTGGTCTAAGTCCAAGAGTCTGAAGGATGAAGAACCTGGAGTCTGATGTCCAAGGGTGGGAGGAGCGCACAGGAGCCTGCTCTGTCCCAGCCGCGGTGGCAGCCGATTGGAGGGTGCCCACCCACACTGAGGGTGGGTCTTCCCCTTCCAAGTCCATGGACTCAAATGTCAGTCTCCTCTGCAGCACCCCCTCAGACACGCCCAGGAACAAGGCTTCACCAGCCACCTAGGCATCCCGGACCCAGTGGAGGTGATGCCTAAGATTAACCCTCACAATGCTGTAATATTTTTTGGTCCATAGGTTATTTACAGGAAGTGCCATTTAGTTTCCAAATATTTAAAGATTTTCCAGCTATCTTATTACTATGGATTTCTTTTTTTTTTTTTTTTTTTTTTTGAGATGGAGTCTTGCTCTGTCGCCCAGGCTGGAGTGCAGTGACGCGATCTCAGCTCACTGCAAGCTCCACCTCCCGGGTTCACGCCATTCTCCTGCCTCAGCCTCCGGAGCAGCTGGGACTACAGGCGCCCGCCACCACGCCCGGCTAATTTTTTGTATTTTTAGTAGAGACGGGGTTTCACCGTGTTAGCCAGGATGGTCTCGATCTCCTGACCTTGTGATCCGCCCGCCTCGGCCTCCCAAAGTGCTGGGATTGCAGGCATGAGCCACCGCGCCCAGCCCAGAAAATGTATTATACATGATTTCAGTTCTTTTAACTTTATTGAGTCTTGTTTCATGGCTTAGAATGTGGTCTATTTTGATCAGCGTTCTATCAGAACATAATTATAGTCTGCACGTGTGGGATGGAATGCTTAAGCAATGTTAAGTGGATCGAGCCGGGTTTTAGTGTTTTTCAAGCCTTCTGTGCTCTTACTGACTTTCTGTCGAGCAGTTACTGACAGGGGAACGCGGAAAGGTATAACTGTAATTGTGGACTTACTTCGTCTTTCAGGTGTCAGTTTTTTTTTCACATATTTGAAGCTCTATCATCAGGCACATCTGTTCTTAGAATACTTGGTACCACCCAGCTTTCCTATGATTACTGTTTGCATGGAGCGTCTTTTTCCCTCTTTTCTCTTCTAACCTATTTCTACCTGTGTGTATGAAGTTCATCTCTTGCGCATACTGTAGAGTTGGGCCCTAGTGCTTTATCCATTCTGACAAGTTTTGCCTTCTAATAGGAGTCTCTAGACCACTAATTAAATGTAACCATCAATATAGCAGATTTAAGTCTCTCATGCTATTTGTTTCTATTTGTACCATTTATTAGGGTTTTTGAAAGTAAAAATGTTGGGGATTTTCTTTTAGTTCCTTCATCTCTTATTTCAGCAGGCCGCAGATTTCCTTCCACTGGAGGTGAAGTCAGGTGTGTGAGAAGCTCACTGCGGGGTCCTGGGTCACATTTTTCGAAGTATTTCCTATTAGTACTTGGGATAGTAAAAGTGTTTATTTATTTATTTATTTTTAAAAAGAGCTATCTGTTAAAATAATTTGAGGAAAACAGTGGGTTAAAGATAATTTAGGCTGGGCCTGGTGGCTCACACCTGTAATCCTAGCATTTTGGGAGGTTGAGGCAGGAGGATGACTTGAGGTCAGGAGTTCAAGATCAGCCTGGGCAATATGGTGAAACGCTGTCTCTACCAAAACTACAAAAAATTAGCTGGGCATGGTGGCGGGCTACTCAGGAGGGTGAGGTGAGAGGATTGCTTGAGCCTGGGAGGCGGAGGTTGCAATAAGCCGAGTTTGCGCCACTGCACTCCAGCCTGAGTGACAGAGCCAGAGTCTGTCTCAAAACAAATGAACAAACAAAAACAAACAAACAAACAGATAGGTTAAAAAATACCTTTGTTTTTGTGTGTAGGTTTGTTTTAAATTCAGGACTCCTTGGAGGTTTTAACATATTCATGTATACTTCAGTAAATTGCCCAACTTATTTGACAATAGAGTCACATTTTTAAGGCACTCCTGGCACTCACGCTTATGAAATGTATTTTAGGAAACTCTGCTTTACAGTTTTCTTGCAAGCATTTGATTCTCCTCTTACAGTAGAGTCCAGTCACAAAGGGTCTGAACAGGCTCTTTCCAGGGAGTCATTCTTGGGACGATGGGAGGCCAGCAGTGTGGAGGCCCAGGATCTCCACGCAAAAGTTGCGATTTCTGATCTGAAGCCCAAAAAAGGATAGGAATGCAAGGTGCAGAGTGGCCTAGTTTAAGAGAAAGCACATCATATTTAATACTTAACAGCTATTAATTTAAGCTAGTCAGCTTCTTATTTGAAATATTCCTTCATGGTTTTCTTTTTTAAAAAAATGTATTACAAAATATCTTCCTAGTCACTAAACCAGTTGAATTCTGGAAAGAGGGAGAATATTCCCAGCTTTTGTGTAAAAGACAATGAAGACCTTAAAATGATTAAAACAAAATTGTGTAATGGCAGCCTGCAAGTGTGTTTTGTTTGCCTGAAAAGAGTTTCACATTTAAAAAATCAATTACAAAGAAAAATTACTGATTGTCAAACATTGAAGTATGGAGAAATTCGCTTAGAAATTTGCATTCCCGGATTCTCTCTGCGGACACATGTGGCAGGCCCTCTCCGAGCACAGCAGCAGCCTGTGGGCAGCACGGGTCCTGGGTGGACTGCACCCCTCCCCTGCCCCGCTCACTGGGCTGCTCCTGGACCCCTCTTGGCCCCGTAGGGCCTTGAGTGTGTGACTTCTGAACAACCAGGTTTTGTTGTTACCATTGCTGTTCCCTTGATGAGTCAATAGCCACCATGCCACGTCCTGTGTCATCTGAGGCGCTGGTGTCAGCGGAATGGACCCTGAGAGTTGCTGTCTTCCAGAGCACGTTGGTTCCCTAATGATGCGAGACAAGTGACGGCAGGTGTAGTGGCTTCAAGCAGAACAATGTTATCCTCTCACGGTTTCTGTGGATCAGGAGTCTGGAAACAGCTCGGCAGGGTCCTCCGCTCTGGGGCTCACCAGCCTGCAATCAGAGTCAGGTGGTTGCGTTCCTTTCTGGGTTGGGATACTCTTTCAAGCCCACCCATTGTTGCCAGAATTCAGTTTGTCATGGTGAGGACTACGGCCCTTCTTTCCTGCTGGCTGTCAGCAGGAGGGCCACTCTCAGCATGTAGAGGCTGCAGCAGGAGTGCAGTGTGGCTGAGCAAATGCATACGATGCGTTTGTGCATTGCCGGTTGCAGCATTTCCCATCCTGAATAATACCCCAGATAACCCCACCCCATGGTCTCCGCCACTCTCCACACTACCACCACCTCCATTCACACTCTACCACCACCACCACCATCCACACTCTACCACCACCACCTCCATCCACACTCTACCACCAACACCAACACCCACACTCTGCGACCACCACCTCCATCCACACTCTACCACCACCACCACCCACACTCTACCACCAACACCACCACCCACACTCTGCCACCACCACCTCCATCCACACTCTACCACCACCACCTCCATCCACACTCTACAACCACCATCTCCATCCACACTGTACCACCACCACCACCATCCACACTCTACCACCACCACCTCCATCCACACTCTACAACCACCACCTCCATCCACACTGTACCACCACCACCACCATCCACACTCTACCACCAACACCACCACCCACACTCTGCCACCACCACCTCCATCCACACTCTACCACCACCACCTCCATCCACACTGTACCACCACCACCACCCACACTCTACCACCAACACCACCACCCACACTCTGCCACCACCACCTCCATCCACACTCTACCACCACCACCTCCATCCACACTCTGCCACCACGACCACCATCCACACTACCGCCACCTTCACCACCATCCACACTACCACCACCTCCATCCACACTCTGCCGCCACCACCTCCATCCACATTCTGCCACCACCACCTCCATCCACACTCTACAACCACCATCTCCATCCACACTGTACCACCACCACCACCATCCACACTCTACCACCAACACCACCACCCACACTCTGCCACCACCTCCATCCACACTCTACCACCAACACCAACACCCACACTCTGCCACCACCACCTCCATCCACACTCTACCACCACCACCACCCACACTCTACCACCAACACCACCACGCACACTCTGCCACCACCACCTCCATCCACACTCTACCACCACCACCTCCATCCACACTCTACAACCACCACCTCCATCCACACTGTACCACCACCACCACCATCCACACTCTACCACCAACACCACCACCCACACTCTGCCACCACCACCTCCATCCACACTCTACCACCACCACCTCCATCCACACTGTACCACCACCACCACCACCCACACTCTACCACCAACACCACCACCCACACTCTGCCACCACCACCTCCATCCACACTCTACCACCACCACCTCCATCCACACTCTGCCACCACGACCACCATCCACACTACCGCCACCTTCACCACCATCCACACTACCACCACCTCCATCCACACTCTGCCGCCACCACCTCCATCCACATTCTGCCACCACCACCTCCATCCACACTCTGCCACCACCACTTCCATCCACACTCTACCACCACCACCACCATCCACACACACTCTACCACCACCACGTCCATCCACACTCTGCCACCACCACCATCCACACTCTACCACCACCTCCACCGACACTCTACCACCACCACCATCCCCACTTTGCCACCACCACCTCCATCCACACTCTGCCACCCCACGGTCTCTGCCACTCTGCCACCACCACCACCATCCACACTCTGCCACCACCACCACCACCATCCACACTCTACCACCACCACCTCCATCCACTATCTACCACCACCACCTCCATCCACACTCCGCCACCACCACCATCCACACACTGCCACCACCACCTCCATCCACACTCTACCACCACCACCTCCATCCACACTCTACCACCACCACCTCCATCCACTATCTACCACCACCACCTCCATCCACACTCTGCCACCACCACCATCCACACTCTACCACCACCACCATCCACACTCTACCACCACCACCACCCCCACTCTACCACCACCACCACCATCCACACTCTACCACCACCACCACCATCCACACTCTACCACCACCACCACCATCCACACTCCACCACCACCACCATCCACACACTGCCACCACCACCTTCATCCACACTCTACCACCACCACCTCCATCCACACTCTACCACCACCACCATCCACACTTTACCACCACCACCACCATCCACACTCTGCCACCCCATGGCCTCTTCCACTCTGCCACCACCACTTCCACCCATACTCTGCACAGACGCTCGTTCCTGGAAAGATGAACTACCTGAAAATGCCACCCAACAGCTGAAGGGTTCTTTTTATTTTAAACAAAAAATACCTTTAGGAATCAAAATTAAAACCAAATAAAGAGAAGGGAGGTTTTCAGGTTTTCAGTTTTATAAAGGGATAGTCTGTCCGTGAAACCAGAGCAGGTTAACATGAAGAGAGGATGACAGATCAGAGAAGAGCCCCCGAGATGAAAATTGGTGATCACTAAGTACAAAGCTGCATCTGGTCGGTGATCACTAAGCACAAAGCTGCATCTGGTTGGTGATCACAAATTTCAAAGCTGCATCTGGCGGGTGATCACTAAGCACAAAGCTGCATCTGGGGCAATCAGCTGTATTCTTCACACAGTGCAACCCTAACCAGCAATGAGGATGGAAGTGCTTGGCTGCGTGCAACCATGTGAATGAATTCCACAGGCAGGAGCTGCCAAAGAAGCCAGACACCCAGGCATAGATACCTCAGGGTTCCATTGACATGAAGTCCAAGTACCCACAAATAAATTCTATGCTTCCAGAAAGCGGAGGCCTCCAGGAGTTTGTGGTTACAAGGTGATGAGAAGGGTTCTAAGATGTTGGCGATGTTCTGTTTCTGATCTGGGTGCTGGTTACTTGGTTACTGGGGTGTGTCCACTGTGTGAAAATCAGCCAGATGTCTATCACCGTATGTGAGGGTTCTTGTGAATGTCGTGCTTTCAGTGGAAAACTAAATAAACACTGGAATCACATTCTGTACAGGTCAAGTATCTTTAATCCAAAAGTCTAAAATCTGACATGCTCCAAAATCTGAAACCTTTTGAACACCAACATGATGCTCAAAAAAAAAAAAAATGATCATTGGAGTATTTTGGATTTTGGATTTTGGGATTAGCGATGTTCAACCAGTAAGTATAATGCAAATATTCTAAAATCCCCTTCCCCAAATTGCCCAAATCTAAAACACTTCTGGTCCTAAGTATTTCAGATAAAACAGAATCAATCTGTATTGCAGAAGTTAATTTGGCTAATCATAACAAAAACTCAAGAAAGTCCCTAAGATTGTGCAAGGAAAGAGTACAAAGATGGAAATTATATAAACTCTAAGCCCAGAAATCACAAATCTGTAAAATTTTAATTCTAAAAGAAGACAATAGAGGTGAAAAAAGAGAGACATTCATAAAATAAATAATAGAAAAAAACTTTCCAGGTAAAACAAATTTTTTTTTCAAAATGAAACGTGCATTTTAATTATTTTTATTACAAATTATAATTGTTCATGCTTAAAATAATCAAGTAACATAGATAGGGGCTGGGCACAGTGACTCAAGCTTGTAATCCCAGCCCCTTGGGAGGCCAAGGTGGGAGGATCACCTGAGCCCAGGAATTTCAGATTAGCCTGGGCAACATAGTGAGACCTGTCTCTACAAAAAATAAAATAAAAAAATAGGCAAGGTGTGGTGGCTCACGCCCGTAATCCCAGCGCTTGTGGGAGGCCAAAGCAGGCAGATCACCTGAGGTCAGGAGTTTGAGACCAGCCTGACCGACATGGAGAAACCCTGTTTCTACCAAAAATACAAAATTAGCCGGGCGTGGTGGTGCATGTCTGTAATCCCAGCTACTCAGGAGGCTGAGGCAGGAGAATTGCTTGAACTCAGGAGGTGGAGGTTGTGGTGAGCTGAGATCTCACCATTGCACTCCAGACTGGGCAACAAGAGCAAAACACTGTTCTCAAAAAAAAAATTTTTTTTAATAAATAAATAAATAAATAGCCAGGCATGGTGGCACATGCCTGCAGTCCCAGCTATTCAGAAGCTGAAGCTGGAGAATTGCTTTAGCCCAGGAGTTTGAGGCTGCACTGAGCTGAGATCCCACCAGTGCACTCCAGCCTGGGTAACACAGTGAGACCCTGTCTCTAAAACAAAACAATACAAAAAGCCCAACACCATACACACTCTCACACACACACACACACACACACAGAGACATGTGTAAAGTAAGTCAACTCTCCTAACCCTATAACCACTATCATCCCCAATGCTGAAGATAACCACTGTTTCTATCTTCCTTTCCACACATAGAAATATTTGCACACATATAAATATATGCATATGGTACATTCCATCTTAAATAGTATCATGCTATATCTCCTGCTCAGCAACTTCCTTTTTACTATAAACAATATATTGTGTGCCCCTTTCCTTAATAGTTTATATAGATTCCTCTCATTACTCTTAATGACTGTGTGGTTTTTCACTTTGTAGATGTATGTTATTAATTAATCAAAGCTATTGTAATTGCGAATATCAAAAATCCAATTCAATACACTTTAACATTAATGACTGTGTGGTTTTTCACTTTGTAGATGCATGTTACGAATTAATCAAAGCTATTGTAATTGCGAATATCAAAAATCCAATTCAATACAGTTTAAGATTAAAAAGGGATCTATTGATGCTTTTAACTAGAAATGTCACAAATAGATTTCTTGCTTCAGATATGACTGGATCCAGGGACTCAAATGAGGTTGTTAGATCTCTCTTCCTCTCTTCCTTCCCTTTTCCCTTCCCTTCCTGTTATGAGCTAAACATTTGTGTCCCTCTCCCTCTTCATTTGTTGAAGTCCTAACCCCAGTGTGATGATATTTGGAGGGAGGCCTTTGGGAGATAATTAGGTTTAGATGAGGTCATGATTGTGGACCTTCATGATGAGGTGAGTGCCCTTGTAAGAAAAGACACCAGAGATAGGTTTCTCTGAGTGAACCCATATAACATTCTTTATGCTGTTTGTGTTTCTAGGACAGAAGACCACAAAAGGGGTAATTTATAATGAACAAAATGTATTTGGATCATGATTCTGGAGACTGGGAAGTCCAAGAGCATGATGCTGGCATCTGGTGAGGGCCTTCATGCTATGTTAATCCACAGCAGAAGATGGAAGGGCAAGAGGGTGCCCCAGAGAGCAATGGAGGGGGCTAAATTATCCTTTCGTCAGGAACCCACTCCCGTGAGAACCCACTCCCATGATACTCCCAAGATAACAACAATTTATCCATTCATAAAGGCAGAGCTTTCATGATCTAATCACCTCTTCAAGGTTCCATTGCTCAACACTGTAGCATTGGGGATTAAGTTTCAAACACATGAAATTTGGGGGATACATTCAAACCATGGCAAGCACATAGTGGATGGGGCTTTCTACAAGCCAGGAAGAGCACCAGGAACCAAACCAATGGGCACATTGACCTTAGACTTCCAGCCTCTAGAACTGTGAGAAAATAAATTTACGCTGTTTAAGCCACCCAGTTTGTGGCATTTTGTTACAACAGCTTGAGCTGACGTATACACTACCCTCTTCCTGACTTTGTCCTTGTTCTTCTCCTTCCCCTTCTTTGCACTCCACTCTGCTCTCCTTCCCTCTTTTTTTATTCAGTCTCATTCTTGCCTATAGCAGACAGGATTCCTTCATCTGTCGTGGAAGGTGATTCCTAGCCTTCCGGCATTCCCAATCCACAGCCTTCAAATTGTGCAACTCAAAAAGCAAAGTCTTCTTCCCTTTTCTTTAAAATAACATTCAGAAAAGGCCTCCTGCATCCTTAGCTTGTGTCACATGCCTACCCCAGGCCTGTCCCTGTATCCAGGAGGGGTAGGGGAATGACTGCCCACCCCCAGTATCACATACTTATCCCTAGGACTCACAACACAGAGACCTAGGGCCAGCAACACAGAAGACTCAGACACAGGGACTGGGAAGGGCACCTCCCTGCAGGAGAGGAAGTGCTGTGAGACTGAGGCAGCAGGTGGACACTTTTTCCTGGTCTGTGGCTACTTGAGTTTCTTTCTGACACAGACAATACCATGGTAAGTGTGGACACACATGGCTGTGCAGATGCCTGGAGGATGGTGGTCCATTAGAGATCTGTGTAGGAGGCAGCAGAACACCAGAGTGCTGGGACACCCAGCTCTGTTACCTACTCACTCTGCAACCTTCAGCAAGCTGCTCAGCGTCCTCATGACTCACTTTCCTTCTGTGATGTGGTGGCAATAGTTGTCCCTACATTGTGGAGCAGTGGAGAAAACTAAATGAGGAGTGAATACGTGGGCGCAATGGCTGTGGCGTACTCATAACTGTTACTGCTAATGAAGTGTGAATGCTTCCTGGCCCTAGTAGACCAACCAATTCCATGATTATGAACATCTTGTGGGGCTCATGCTGCTCAGAACATATTTTTGAAAAAGATGGGAAGTGGAAAAAGAATAGATTTTGGAGTTGAATTCTACATCTTTGGGGAGTTTTTAGTTTTGGTGTGGTTGGTATATTTCATGAATTTTGTTTTTTGTTTTTTTTTAAAGTGTATGGTGGTAAAATCTCTTTCACAAGCAAAGTTGAACAATAGTTTGGCTGAGTGTAAGCTTCTAATATTTCCATGTTTTCCCTCAAAATCTCTACAATCATTGCTTTCTAAATGTAGTGTTGCAATGAGGACTCCAATGTCAGTCTAATTATCTTTCCTCTAAGTTACCTCACTCCCATTGGAGAATTGTAGTATCTTCTTCAATGTGGAATGAAAAGAATTTGCTGGTTTGCACCTGTATGTGTATCTTTGCCTAATATTCTCCCTCAGCCTTCGATGTGGAGACTCAAGTCTTTCCTCAGTGTAGGGACATTCTCCTGTATTATCGCCTCTCCAGTCTCTGCACATGGCCTGTTAAACTATCACCACATTTGTGCTTTGTAACGAACCACCCAAACTCAGTGGCCTGGGACCATAAGCACAAACTACCATGCTCAGGACAGCACAGCCTCGGGCTGCAGGGCTGCAGGTCAGCAGGGAAACTGCTCCCTGTGCCTCTCCTCCTGCGACCATGTCCACTTGGTATCAATGGGAGACATTCAAGAGTGGTGAGTAAAAACGTGAGACATCTTCTAAGTCCCAGCCTGAGAACGGGCACACTCATCTCCACCTGTACTTAGATGGCAAAAGCAAGTCATACAGCCAATATCTACACCAATGGGACCAGGAAATATACTCTGACTCTAATAGAGGAAAATCCAAAGTCACATGGCTTAGCATGTAGGTATAGGGAGGGGTGAGGAGCTGGACCAAAAAGGCAGCGTACTAATATGGATACACTAAATGCAGTGTGCTGACATGGACAGTGGGTTTCTTGGTCAGTGTCACCCATGACTCTTACTGTTGATATCCTCTGTCTCTCCCACCCCCTGCATCTTAATTTTGAGTGAATTATCTATGGTAGTTGCTATGGTTTCAATGCTCCCTCCCACACTCATGCTGAAACATAATCCTCAATGTGGCAGTATTGAAAGGTGAGGCCTTTAGGAGGTGGCCAGTTCATGAGGGCTCTGCTCTCATGAAGGGATTCATTCATAAATGAATAGATGAATGGGTTAGTGGATTAATGGGCTACCATGGGAATGGAACTGGTATGCTTACAAGAAGAGGAAGAGAGCCCTGAGCTAGCATGTTTGTATGCTCAACCCCTTACCATGTGATGCCCTGGACTGCCTCAGGACCAGGTAGAGAGACCCTACCAGCAAGAAGGTCTTCACCAGATGCAGCCTCTTGACCTTGCACTTCACAGCCTCCATAACTGTAAAAAATAAATTCCTTTTCCTTAGAGATTACCCAGTTTTAGGGATTGTGTTATAAGCAACAGAAAACAAACTAAAACGGTAGTCTTCTAGTTCAATAATTTGTTTTTAGCGCAAATGCAGGGATAATAATAACCTATAAACCAGAGAGAATTATTAGCTTTACTAATAAGCAAAACAAATAAAAATTACACATGTAAAATCAGATTGTCAGCTCTATCCAGAGTTCGAGGAAATAGGCACCCTCCTTTTCTCCTGGTGGAAGTGTGAGCTACCACAGATTTGCAGGGCATAGCTGAGTCAGCCCCATAGAAGGACCCATGGCTCCTTTCCCTAATGGCTCTTATCTCCTCCCGTTAATAGCTGCCTACCTAGTCCGTGCCTCTGACCAGTGCTGAAGCTTTTCAGTCCAGCATGTTGACCTGAGAGCCTCCACTTTTATGCTGAAACTGAGCTCTTCCATGAGGTCGCCATTGGCAGCCATGCATGGCTGTTACGCACTTGAAGTGGGTCAGTCCTAACTGAGCTAAACTGCAAGAGTGAAATGCACACTGTGGGCTTGAAAGACTTAACAATGATAGTAAAATGTCCCATTTGTAAGTTTTCTAACAATTACATCTAGAAATGATGATATCAGGTAACATAAAATATGCCATTAATACCAATTTTAGGTGTTTCTTTTTACCTTTTTAATGTGACTCCTAGAAAATATAAAATTCAGATGTGGCTTGCATTATATTTCTGTTGGACTCTGCTGCCTTACAACATTCACCAACCCTCTTATGTCTTTTAGATTTAGACAAAGGCTATGCTTGGAATTTTTGTTTTGTTTTGTTTTTAACAAACAATGTACTTATATTGTGCTATTGTGCCTCTCTACTTGACCTTTCATTTTATTGTATCTTACTGTCTTTTACGATGATGTATTTATTTTTATCTTTTGTTTACTTGAAATGGAAAGAGGAAATGACAGTGTAAACAGGGATAGTTTGTGTCCCAAAGAAGGAAGCCTGGAAACTTAAACTCCTCTAAGTGGCTTCCAGCAAGGACTTTCCTCAGCACACGAAGCACTTCCTGCTGTCCCCCAAATGAGTTCCCTCGGTTATGGGACGGTCCCTCCGTGGGGTCCCTGCAGCTCCCCCAGGGTCTCTAATTCTCACCTCCTGAGAAGACTTTCCAGTGCCAGAGACACTGGCTAGGAGCTGATTTGTGAGACTCTTTCAGGGACGTGGAGTGCGTCCTGACAGTGCGCAGCTTCCACTCACACAGAGGGCTTCCTAAGCACCGGGCCAGTGCAGAGGCCCTGGCTGTGCCCCACGACTGGGAGGAGAAGCTGTGCCAGGGCCCCCAGGAGCCTGTTTGAGATGGCTGCAAGGCAAAGCACTGGAATGTTCCATTTCTCAGTGACAGTTTCGTCCACCAACGTTTGTATCCTTGCACCTTCCCAAACAAATCTGTCCCTTCGCAGTCCTCCTCAAAATGCATGTCAAGTTGAAAACTCTGGTCATGGTGGCCATCAGGCAGTAATTCCCGTGACCAGCAAGGCCAACACCGTCCGGGTGACTCCGCTGACCCTGCCGGGTCACTGAGGCTCTGGGGGCTGACTGTGCTTATGCTGTCCTGCAATTTAGGGCAGGTGCTGCCCTGCTCCTGTGCCTGCTCAGGGAGTGGTGCCCCAGGAAGGACCCGCACCATTTAGGCCAAGTGTGATGTAAGATGAAGGGACAAAAGCCCTAAAGATATTATAAAGCACGTTCTTCACAACCAAAATTCCCTGTAGAATGCAACCAAAAGGGGGAGGCAAATCTGAGTTCCACCTGTACCCTGACATTTTCTCAGACTTTAGAAACCTCCACTGGCTTAAAAACCCTTCACATGGAATGTCTGAGGTCCTGGTATCACCCAGCATTTCAATCAGAGCTGCTCATTACTCCTTACAAGTGATCTTGGAAAAGGCCAGGATAGACTAGTTGTTGTGTATTTTGTGTGAATTCTGAGGGAGACGGTGGGAAAAACATAGAGTGAGTCGATCACAGGCCCCATTTTACATGGTCCCATCCAGCAAGACCCAGGCTTGATCTCACCTTACCCCTTTTGCTGTTGCCTTGCTTTCGACTCATTCAAAACTCTTGGTGTTTAAGAAAACACTCTTCCTAATGCATTCTCCAGTACCCATGACACACCCAGTCAGTGTAGTCAACCAAAATGAAAAAGGGTAAGATCAGGGGACCCTGAGCATAACGTGTACAAAAGACTGAGGGGCTCATTTGATGTCCCCACTGTGTGACTTAGTGGTGACACATTGGAGAAAACATGCAGGAGGATGTCTGGAGCCCGTGACACCCCAGAGGCCCCGTCAGCACCGTGGGGAGGACGCAGGAGCCTGGAGCAGGCCTAGGGCGCCCAACTCAGCTCTCTGCAAGGGAGTCCAGGGACAGAAACGAATAAAGCCATTTTGCTTTCATTGCTCAACCCAGCACGTTGAGGTGTCCCCAGAACCCCAGTGTACATGGCAAAGATGTGAGGAAAAATGACGTTAGGGTATTGTCACCATGTAGTGGGGGAAATTCAACACTGGATGAAGGACTCATCCAATGTGCGTGGTTAGGTTTAAGCCGGGTCATCTGATGTTTACAGGAGGTGAAGCAGAGCCGCTGGAATACTTCTCTGATCAGCAAGGAAGCCATGTGGAAAGTACAGGAGGACCCTGGGAGTTTGGGGAACAAAAGGAGGCCGGGAGGGCCTGGTGGACCCAATGACCCCTCAGGGCTCGGGACCGCTAGGCCCGAGGGGTGGGGTCACCCTACCTTTCTTTATGGCTGTGGTGCTCCTCCATGGAAACCCCAGCTCTGACCACAGGGTGAATGCCTCTCTCCGGAAGTCTTTAGTAGACAAGAAGCCGCCTGGCCTCGGGGCTTAGGTGACGCGTAGGTGACCAGGGCAGGAGGCCTCTAGGGGTAGGGGATGGGGAGGAGGCAGTGAGGGCAGGCCCAGGGCCAGGGCCGGGGTGGGAGACCCCGGCTGAGAAGCCGTGTGAGAATGGCTGGAAACGCCCAACCCTCCCAGCAGGGCTTCAACCACTCACGGAACTCCTGGCTCCCCAGCGGGTGAGGAGGAGCCACGGCCCTCCCCAGGAGCCCCAGCCAAGCTCCGAGAGTACTGGAGCCTCCCAGCTCTGTGTGGGGGAGCCGCCGGGTGTGTGTGTGGGGGGAGGGCCGTGTGTGGGGGGAGCTGCTGTGTGAGGGGGAGTCACCGTGTGGTGGGGGGAGCCGCCGGGTGTGTGTGTGGGGGGAGGGCCGTGTGTGGGGGGAGCTGCTGTGTGAGGGGGAGTCACCGTGTGGTGGGGGGAGCCGCCGGGTGTGTGTGTGTGGGGAGGGCCGTGTGTGGGGGGAGCTGCTGTGTGAGGGGGAGTCACCGTGTGGTGGGGGGAGCCGCCAGGTGTGTGTGTGTGGGGAGGGCCGTGTGTGGGGGGAGCTGCTGTGTGAGGGGGAGTCACCGTGTGGTGGGGGGAGCCGCCGGGTGTGTGTGTGTGGGGAGGGCCGTGTGTGGGGGGAGCTGCTGTGTGAGGGGGAGTCACCGTGTGGTGGGGGGAGCCGCCGGGTGTGTGTGTGTGGGGAGGGCCGTGTGTGGGGGGAGCTGCTGTGTGAGGGGGAGTCACCGTGTGGTGGGGGGAGCCGCCAGGTGTGTGTGGGGGGAGGGCCGTGTGTGGGGGGAGCTGCTGTGTGAGGGGGAGTCACCGTGTGGTGGGGGGAGCCGCCGGGTGTGTGTGTGTGGGGGGAGGGCCGTGTGTGGGGGGAGCTGCTGTGTGAGGGGGAGTCACCGTGTGGTGGGGGGAGCCGCCGGGTGTGTGTGTGTGGGGAGGGCCGTGTGTGGGGGGAGCTGCTGCTTACGTGTGGGGAGCCACCGTGTCGGGGGAGCCGCCGTGTAGCGGGGGAGCTGCTGTGTGAGGGGGAGCCACCGTGTGGGGGGAACCATGGTGTGTGGGGGGGGAGCTGTCGTGTGCAGGGAAGCCACAGTATGGGGGGAGCCGTCGTGTGTGTGGGAGCTGCCCTGGGGGGGAACCCCAGTGTGGTGGGGGGAAGCCACCATGTGCGGGGGAGCCGCAGTGTGTGTGTGGGAACTGCTGTGTGTGGGGGAGCCGCCGTGGGAGGGGGAGCCGCCGTATTTGTGGAGGAGCCGCCGTGTGGAGGGTTGGAGACGGGAGCCGTGTAGAGGGGGAGCCGCCAGATGTGGGTGAGCCGTCATGTGTTGGGGGGGAAGCCGCAGTGTATGAGGGAGCCGCCGTGTGTGGGGGGGGAGCCGCCGTGTGTGGTGGGGGGAGCCGCCGTGTGTGGGGGGAACCGCCGTGTGTGGGGGGGAGCCGCCGTGTGTGGGGGGGGGGAGCTGCCGTGTGTGGTGGGGGGAGCCGCAGTGTATGAGGGAGACGCCGTGTGTGGTGGGGGGAGCCGCAGTGTGTGTGGCGGGGGGAGCCGCCGTGTGTGGTGGGGGGAGCCGCAGTGTATGAGGGAGCCGCCATGTGTGGGGGGGAGCCGCCGTGTGTGGGGGGGGGAGCCGCCGTGTGTGTGGTGGGGGGAGCCGCCGTGTGTGGTGGGGGGAGCCGCCGTGTGTGTGGGGGGAGCCGCCGTGTGTGTGTGTGGGGAGCCGCCGTGTGTGGGGGGAACCGCCGTGTGTGGGGGGGAGCCGCCGTGTGTGGTGGGGGGAGCCGCCGTGTGTGGGGGGAACCGCCGTGTGTGGGGGGGGAGCCGCCGTGTGTGTGTTGGGGGAGCCGCCGTGTGTGGGGGGAACCGCCGTGTGTGGGGGGAGCCGCCGTGTGTGGGGGGAACCGCCGTGTGTGGGGGGGGGAGCCGCCGTGTGTGGTGGGGGGAGCCGCCGTGTGTGTGGGGGGGAGCCGCCGTGTGTGGGGGGAGCCGCCGTGTGTGGGGGGAACCGCCGTGTGTGTGTGGGGGGAGCCGCCGTGTGTGGGGGGGAGCCGCCGTGTGTGGGGGGGGGAGCCGCCGTGTGTGGGGGGAGCCGCCGTGTGTGGGGGGAACCGCCGTGTGTGTGTGGGGGGAGCCGCCGTGTGTGGGGGGGAGCCGCCGTGTGTGGGAGGGAGCCGCCATGTGTGGGGGGGAGCCGCCGTGTGTGGGGGGAACCGCCGTGTGTGGGGGGGGGAGCCGCCGTGTGTGGGGGGAACCGCCGTGTGTGGGGGGAACCGCCGTGTGTGTGTGGGGGGAGCCGCCGTGTGTGGAGTAGCCGCCGTCTGGAGGGTTGGAGACGCCTTGCGTAGTGGGGAGCCAGCATATGTGGATGAGCCGCCGTGTGTGGGGAGCCCGTGTGTGGGGGGGGGAGCCGCCGTGTGTGGGGGGAACCGCCGTGTGTGGGGGGAACCGCCGTGTGTGTGTGGGGGGAGCCGCCGTGTGTGGAGTAGCCGCCGTCTGGAGGGTTGGAGACGCCTTGCGTAGTGGGGAGCCAGCATATGTGGATGAGCCGCCGTGTGTGGGGAGCCGCAGGCTGTGGGGGGAGCAGCCGTGTGTTGGGGGAGCCGCTGTGTGCGTGGGGGAGCGGCAGTGTTGAGGGGAGTCACAGTGTGGGGGTGCCTAACACAAATTTAAAATAGACGTATGTAAAGGCGGAAAGCCAGTGGAGAAGCGGAGGTGAGGATCCGCGTGGGGGGAAAACAGCCCAGCCCAGGGCAAAGTCTATCTCTAGCACCGCCCTGGCATAGCAAGAGCAGCTCCCGCTTGCGCCTCTCTCCTGCCCTTTGGACACAGAAACCTGGAGGCCCCGGCCCAGCGCCAGCCAAGGCAGTGGAGGCACCGGGTGACCGGGCTGCGTGGGGATTGGAGCGGTGGCGGGTGCAGGCACGGCTGTGGCTGATGTCACCTGCGCTCCGCAGGCGCCCTGCTCAACGCAGGCAAAGCAGCTGCAGCTCCAGGACAGAAATGCTGGCAGAGAGGGCTGAGAAGCGCGCACAGCACGGGAGGCAGCACAGCACCTCCACCCGCCCAGGGGCTCCAGGGGGCCTGGGAATCAAATGGACATTAAGGCAGATTAACAGGAGAAAAGCTGGGATTGTACGTGCACATGGGAAACCCCTTGGGAAAATGAAGACACAAAGAAGCAGCGACAGCTGAACACTTGCCCACCAAGTCGCACAAAGCATAGTAAATTGTTTGAATATGACAAGACCCGGGGGCCCGGGCCGGCTCAGGGAATCGTGGAAGTAACTAGGCAGATAAGGGTCCGTCTGTCTAACAAGCTGGGGTTGCTTTATACACAGTCCCCTCAGCGCCTCAACCCTGTCTCTGGTGATAAGAAAGTTTTTTCCTCCTAGTACAGGGTGTACCCCTTCCACAGAGGTGGGAGGGGGGCAGGGGTGGTTAATCTCCTGCTTTCAGGAAGAAAAAGAAAGGTCGGGCGTCCTTCTTTCATCTATTGACTTCAAATGCCTTTAGCTCAAAATAAAAGTGGCATATTTTGATATTTTGAGGTGGTGTATTCTGCCACCCTTCAACAGTATTTTTATTTATTTATTTATTTTTTAATGCACCTGGCCGGGCACGGTGGCTCACGTCTGTAATCCCAGAACTTTGGGAGGCCGAGGCGGGCGGATCTTCTGAGGTCGGGAGTTCAAGATCAGCCTGCCTAACGTGGTGAAACCCCGTCTCTACTAAAAATACAAAATTAGCTGGGCGTGATTGGTAATCTCAGCTACTCGGGAGGTATGCACCCAAAAGTCAGTGTATTGCAGACACTCCAAAGGATGGAAGGCAGGAACTCAGTTATCTGTACACCTGTGTTCTCAGCAACACAGTTCACTGCAGACAAAACATGGCGACAGACCCAGTGTCCACCGGGGGTAAATGGATAAGGAAAACGCGGGCGTGCACGATGGAATATTATCTGCTTTGAGACCGGCTACTACAGGGCTAACCTCGAGGACACTGTGCTGTATGGCATGAGCCAGTCACGAAAGGACAGACCCTGAATGGCTCCGCTTCTGTGAGATCCCTGGAGGAGTCAGATTCCTAGAGACAGGAAGTAAAGCGGGGCTGCCAGGAGGGGGAATTGGGAGTGAGTGTTGACTGGGTATAATGTTTAAATTTGGGAAGACAAAAAGTTCTGGAGATGGATGGTGATGATGCCTGCACTACGATGTAAATGTGCATGATACCACTAAACTGGACCTTTGAAAGTGGTTAAACTTGTGAAATTTTAACGGCCATGTATATTTTACTACAGTTAAAAGGATAGAGTACTACACTATTCTGAACCTTGTTAATTTTTGTCTAAAATTTATTTTGTGGAGATCTTTCTTACTGATTACTTAACTTCTAAGGGACAGAGAATTCCTTATTTTATACAAGATATTCCAGAAAAGGAAAAACAATGAAAGCTGACCACCTATTTTATAAGGCAAACATAACCTCGATCCTAACTGAACACAGGCAGAATAAAATAAAATATGTGTAGGCCACTTTGACTGTTGAACAAACATCTATTGGTAAATGAATCCATCAATTTTCAAACTAGTTAAAATTAATTTAAAAATACACCATGATTGAATACGGTGTGTCAGAGAGCTATCAAGATGGTTTTTCGCCAGAAAATTTATCAATTTAATACATCACATTAATGAACTAAAGAAGAAAAATCATCTGATTTTCTCAAGAAGTGCAGAACATTTTGATAAAATTATCTAGCAATTTATAATTAAAACTCTCTTTAAAAATCTGCTTACTAAACATGTACAGTAAACACACTAATGGAGAAAGATGGGAAACAGGACAAGGTGTATTATTTAGAAACATGGAGAGAACTATCAGAAGAAACAGTAGCAAGAGCTGAAAACAGTTGCATCTGAGAATGGCAGAACTTTATTGATTGGCCCTCGACTGATAGACAAGTAGGTTGTTTCCAATCTTTGGCTATTATAAATTCTTCTGCAATGAAAAATGACTGTGTAAACAACATTCCACATGTGAGCATGTGAGCAAGGCTATCTCAAAAAAAAACAAAATCCTAAAGCGAAATTCTCAAATTTGTACTTGCAAATTGGGGAAATACTGCAAATTGCTCACCATGGAGTTTGCAGCAATTTATATATGCACCGGGACAGCATGAGAACTCCCGTCTGCACGCCTCCCAGCAGCTTCACCTGTTGCTTTTTACCAATCCAACAGATTAAATACACCTGTTCAGTTTAATTTGCTTGTGATCACTATGAACAACGTTGAGCCTCTCTTCATATACTCAAGAGCCATTGGTATATCATTTTGCAAAATTTTTATTCATACTTGTTGCCAATTTTTTGATCAAAATGTTGAATTTTTTCTTCTTTTTTTCTTAATCAATTTGGTCTTATATATTAGGAAGTTCAGTCTCAGTTGCTATTTGTCTGTTGACTTTTATGTATGACATTTTTCTTGCCTTGAAGGTTTCAAAAAATTCGTATGTGGTCAAACTTACTAATCTTGTCTTTTATGACTTTTCAATTTCAGGAAATAATTTAGAAATCTTTCCACATTCCAAATGTATAAAGGAATTTTCTTTCATATGTATATGTGTGTGTGCAAAGATATATATCTTTTAGCCAAAAAAAAGTTATTTTAAATAATATATTTCTGGATTAAACTTCTCTTATTGGAAGTCTGTATTTGCTATTTTCTAGAAGCTGTTTTTGTCCCTCTGAGCAGATAGCTTTGAGGGCAGTGATGACTGGGTGAAGAAAGAAACAAACTTTTTAGCAAATAAAAAATGGCCTGTTGAAAGTTTACCATAAAAAAAAAAACGATATTTGTGGAAGTAAGAAGAGAGTCTGGTGAGAAGCTTGAAGTTGAGACTCAGTTTTGAGTTCAGGTCATGTATTGCTTATGTAACTTGGACGAATGTCAGTTCCCCTATCATCGACAATGTAAGGGTCTTACATACGTAGCTCCCCTACCTCATCTTATCCAAGTGCCACGAAGGAGACAATTTTTCCTAATTCTGCTATTAGAGATCTTCTCTCATGAGTGGCCAAGGATATATGAATAGGCAACATCCATGATGGCCAAAGATTTGACAGTCATCCAAAAGACTGTCAAAAGGAGAATGGAAAAAAACAAAAACAAAACAAAAAAAAACCTGTTTTTTCCAGAGGATATGATGGTGTAAAACTTCTAAAATCAGAGAAGCACATCCACATGGACTCGAATTGCAGGATTATATACTGCAAAACTAAAACACTACGAAACAGAGCAAGTTACAGAATAGCATCTAGAAAATGATATTTTTGCATTTTAAAAAAGTTTTGAATGGACTCATTGAATGGATAAACCATAGGGTGATGAAGGGTGGAGAGGAAAGGGAGAGAGGGAGAGGTAAGCTGTTCAGGGTAGTTGGCAACCCTGGGCAATGAACATGATGTGGAGTGAAGAAACATAGGGAAGATCTTAGACTTTATTTTTTACAAATGATCAAAGATTGTACATTTCTTTTAAAACCACTTTGTTGAGGTATGGTTGACATGTAAAAAGTTGTGGCTATTTAATGTATATTAATATGTACATTTAATATGCATTACTTTTTTAATTAAAAAACCCACATTTTTCCTAATGGTAAAAGCAAATTCCATAAAGAGTTAAGGTAGTTTTGTAAAAGAAAAGGAATGGTGTTCACACTGCTGGTCGGTAGTCTCCTGCGTATAATAAGAAAGTGAGATGACGGCCCAAGAATATGCAAGATGCCAATGAGACCCAATAAGAAGTCCAGAAACCTATTGCACAAGGGAACTTGTTTGGAATATTTGTGGCACAATCACAGATTAATGGGAACAGAGTGATCATTTAGTAGATGGTGTTAGGAGGCACATCTATAGAGAAGACAATGATTCAATTCCTTTTTCAGCCCATATATAGAAGTAAACCTCAAATGGATTAAAGATAGAAATATGAAGGGTAACACTTTAATAGAAGAAATTGTGTGCAGGCATAACTGTAAAGTTGCGATGGGAAAGGTATCTTAAGTAGGATGCCCAGGTTACAAACCCTAAGTGGTAAAAACGATGGCTTGATGACATCATAGTCACAAAAGATACAGATGGGCAAAGTGAACAGATGGGCGGCAGATGTCTCGCAATACTGAAAACAACAAGTAATTAATATTTTCAATGCACCAGGAACACTTGCTGATCAAAAAGAAGACGTTCAACTCAGAAAAACAGGCACATTTACAAAACAATTGGTTCCAAAGGAGGAAGCATCAGCAGATAACAGCAGAGGAGGACGTGCTCATCTCACTAGTGATCAGAAAAAAGCAAACTCACACACCCATGAGAAGCCAGACTGGCAAAGACGTGGGCATTGCATGGGACATCTCACGGCACCGAATCGTGAAGCCCAGACACTTGCTCCTGGGGTCAGCAGCCTCATGTCTGGCACAAACCCAGAGGAAGCCGTGTCTAGCCCTGTGAGGAAGCCTCCCAGGAGGTGCCCTGCTCTGAGGGAGCAGGAGCCCCAGGCAACTGGGTGTCCATCCATGCTAGAAAGTAGGGGGAACACACTGTCTGCAAATAGTGGTACATTTCACAGAGGAGCATGAAATAGATTCGATGTGCAAGGAACACCACAGAGATCATAAAACACAGGGTGAATGGGAAACAGGAAGAACAGACCCATATTTAAAGCACACACTTAATTTACATACATTGAAAACATGCAGACAGATATCATATAATCTATCTTCAAGGACCCATACATATGTAAGGATATAAAACAAAATAGCTGGGGCCTGTGACAGCAAAGAGAATGAGAGAGGCTGGTGTAGGAAGAAAACAATACAAACAAAAATGTCCACTGCCCTCTGTCAGGCGTTGTTCTATGTGCTTTGCGGCTCCCAACACAGAAGCCACAGTTTCATTCTCACAGTTCTTATTTGGTAGAAATTATTAAAATGGGCACAGATATCAGGTTCACTGAGAAAATATATTTTCCAGTAAGAAATTGTTCGAAAAACTATTTAAATAAAAATCCTAACGAAGGGCTCAAGGGAGGAAGTTTAAAAGCTATTTTCTTTAAAAATAAAGTTTCTTTCATGTTTGATGAGTCCCATTACAATGTAGGTCAAGGCAGGTGTGAAGATGTTTTCTCCACGTTCCCTCAAATGAAAACAATCCAGGTGGAATGCAGCCACCCTGACCATCTTCCCCAAGGTCCTGTTTTCCCTGTTCTGGGGCCTCAGGCAGCCCACCAGCCCCCCCACGCGGGACTGCTCACCTGCCCTCCATCACACTGCCCCAGTGCTGATAATGCAGCTTGTTTGGGAAGATGAGAGAGTGGAACAAAGCTGGACCCCTGGAAGGAAGAGGGACCTGGAGGCGAGGGGCAGGACACAGCCAAGGCTGGGCCCAGTTGGCCTTTCAGGCAGACACGGTGCCCCAGCCTTCTGCAGCGACCAGAACTGCAGCCCTGCAGAGGCGGGAGGCCCCCGCTGCCCACCCAGAGCAGAGAGGAGCACTGAGTCCCTGTGGCTTCCCTGGCTCCTGTGTCCTGGCTGCCTGGCCTTTGGTTTCTTGTGTCCTCACCAGCTGAGACGGCTGCTTCCCTGCTGCGGCCATGTCCTTTCTGCTGGAGCACAGCTGAGGCTGCTGGCTCTCCTGCAGCGGAAACCCCAGGCTGCCCCGGCTATACGCAGGCCCGCTGGGTGTGAGCCCTGGACCGGGCCTGGGAAGGCCATTGGTCTGCAGGGCAGGCTCTGCCGTGCAGCAGGCTCTGGCCGAAGCGGTGGCATCGTGCGGGCCCTGCCCACCACAGGCTCCCCAACCCTGCCTGCCCCCTCCGTGCCTGGAAGCCCAGTAAAAAAAAGCCTTGCACTCCAGAAACAGGTGCACGCATCCCTCATCCCAAATCTCCCTCATTTTCCTCCCCAGGATGCGTCTCCTCGCAAAACACATTGGGAAGAAAGCTACATAGTGTTTTGAAAAGAGAAAGAACCGATGTTCCTTAACATTAATGTAGATAACTTTGAGAAAATGTGATGGAGAGGAGGACCTAGGCAGCAGAGTATGGCTGGGCCGGAATGGCTTCATTTCTTCACTCAGCCTCTCTTGCTGCCATGGGTCGGGGGAAACTGGACGACCGAGGAGAGACGTGTGGGAACCTCCGCACTTTCCATCTTTGAGAACGATAAGAAATTGTCATGCAGGACAAGAGAATTCTACATACCACAGTAATTATCCCAGACCTAGGGGCTGTCTTAAGACTATCAAGGAAAACAGCAAGAACAACAAATGCCTTAAAACCAACCTGTTACAGCTTTGGTGTTTCTGCAATAAGCCTTTGCAGATGTCGTTTACTTACTCGCTTGTGGATTTAAGAGTGCCACTAGTTAAATATTAATACAAGAAATGTTCTTTTTAGCAGTAACCATCCTTACTCTTTTCAAATGAGTTATTTTAATGAAGGCTCACAATTAATAAAAAGTCAGAGCTGAAACCAAGTTATATATACTGCATGAATTTCAATCATCACAAAGGAAAATTTCCTTTTTAAAATTGTAATGTCTGGAAATAAAACCTGTGAAAAATGATAACATTTTGTATAAGTCAAAACACACTGCACATAACTTGCTTATTCTTTATGAAGGTAAGACAAAAATTAAAGAATTGGGTATCACTATACAGAAATGTAATAATTCAGCTGTTTTACATTTTGTTTAAATTGTGAAATAATTTGTAAGTGTGCCTCGATACACAATTCATTAATTGTAAGAAGCTCAGAGTAGATACAGTTTCATCTGAGATTAACAAATGAGATCTACTTTAAGTATAATAATGTAATAACTAATAATAACGATGTTATAATTCTTTGGTCGCTAACCTGCTAAGTTAGTTATATACATCGATAATCTGCTTCCATAGAATAGAGTCATGGGTTGCTTAATGATGGGGATGTATTCTGAGAAATGCACCCTTGGGTGAGTTTGTCATTGTGAGAACATGGCAGAGTGCACTGCCACACACCTGGGTGGTGCAGCCCGTCACACACAGAGGCTGCCTGGGGGAGCCTGTTGCTCCCGGGCTGTAAGCCTGCACAGCATGTGACTGTACTGAATACCATAGGCAGTTGTAACACAATGGTAAGGATTTGTGTATTTAAACATAGAAAAAGTACAGTGAACATAGGGTATAAAATATTTTTTAAAGGATGCACCTGTATAGGGCAGTTGCCATGAATGGAGTTTGCAGGGATGGAAGTTGCTCTGCGTGAGCCAGCGAGCGAGTGGTGAGTGAGTACGAGGGCCTCGGACATTACTGCACATCTGTAGACTTTATAAACACTGTGCACTCAGGCTACACTCAATTTATTTTGAAAGGTGAAGTAATTGTCCTCTAATGTTACGATGGCTGCAGCATCACAGGCGACGGGAATGTTTCAGCTCCGTCATAATCTTATGGGAGCATTGTTGCATGTGTGCTCTATTGTTGAGTGAAGCATCTTTATGTGGCACGTGACTGTACAGTTGAAAGTAAAGGGAGACAGATTTGTCATAGGAAAGAGGTTTGGGGAAGAGCTTTGTGTTCTCTGGAGCAAGCGTCCTGCCCACACTCCCAGAGGCCATCATCGGTAAGAGGCTGGGAGGATGAGCCATAGATCTCCATGGAAGCAAGGAGCTTGTAGGACGGGGTGATTGTGGTGTGTGCCCCGTGACCAGGTCACATTCAGAATCAGTGTTCCTTGTCCTACATCACCCAAGAGTCACCAGGCAGAATTCCACTAGCTGTCCTGATGGACACCATGACCTCTGTGTGTCTGCTCAGAACGTGGGCTCTGAACGTGCCAAGAGCATCACACATTTTTAGCAAGTTTGGAAACTCTGGTGTGATTTGTCTGAATCATCACCGCCCTGTCTTGATCATGTAAAACACTTTTTCCCTTTGGTCAAGTATAGTATAAGTCATAAGACCTGGCCCCCTCCTAAGATGGCCCACCTTAGGGACAGCCATTCCCTTCAGGGCCCACTTTCTGCGCCCACGGACTCAGCAGGCCTCTCACAAGCTGCCAGGTGCTGACATTCACCAGGGTGTCTTGCCACAGTGGCCGCCATGACCACCCTAGACATACAACGTCCTACCCCAGTACATCAAAAGCATTTCCACCTGTGGCACTGTCATTCATAATGGCTGAGTGTGATTAAGAACTGCCAATAACAAACCACTCCTCTTGCAGTTTCTAATTTTTCCTTATTAAAAACACCTCTGATATGAACATCTTACCTATAGTTTTTTAACAAGAGAAAAGCACGCAAATTTATTTAATATAGTTTTACATGACATGGGAGTCTTCAGAAATGAAAGTCAAAGAAACAGGGAAACCTGTGCATTTTTAGAAAGAAGAGCGTGTGGAGTCCTCATTAGGGAAAAAGAACCAGGCTGGCAGGAGCAAGGAAAAGCAGAAACCGAAGGCAGATAAGCCACAAGTCTGCCTTTCTCCATGGTCCAGGATACACAGCTCTCCTGAGCAAATAACTCACAGTCTTCCTGTGTCTAGCTATGCACGTGAGCTCACTGCAATCCTGGAGTGATCCATGCTGCACAAAGCCGTCTTCAACACGCAGCTTAAACACCATCCTGGACAATCCCAGCAAACCCTGGTCTCCTGGGAGTCAGCTTTTCTCTTGCCAGTTACTCGTTGCCTTGTTGCATGTTCCTACTTTCTCTAATAAATCTGCCTTTCTTTACCTACAGCTTTCTTGGTCAATTCTTCTTCCCCCTGCATCACTGGCCCTGACAGCTGTCACTCACCTGCAACAGAGTGGACAGTTGTGGGGAAGTATGATGGGACAAAGGCGGCATGCTTTAATGGTGATAAACCGGGACAACCTGTCAAGGTCTGTGCGTTCAGATTCTTCTCTGTGTCCCTTCGTCGTCAGAGATAAAGCTGCTCCTTTCCTGTGGGTAAAGGAAGATCACCTCTGGATTGAAGGGCCAATGAATCACCTGCTTCAGGGAAGAAGGATGGAAGTAGGTCCGAGAGTGATCATAGGTTTTGCTGTTTTCTCAAATGCCAAGGGGCCATATTTTGGGGTAGCATGTCCTGAACCCCATCAGTGGTGAAAACTTGAGTTTCTACAAAGTTCCCAGGCAATGCTGCTGCTGCTGCTGGTTTCAAGGTCACATTTTGAGAAATATGGCTTTAGTGTAATTTGTATCTGACCACCGCTGCGGTATTCTCATTTTCCATAAGCATCGAGAACACTGTGACAATTCCTGTCAAACGTTAGAATCTTCAGGAAGTCCAGTTTCATTTGAGGTCAGTAAAGATGGGAAAGGGGCATATCTTAGTAATCTTTGCATAATCTTTGGCACATTGCAATGATGTTTTGCAAATAGTAGGGCTCAAACGTGTGATGCATTGAATACTCGTTAGAATATCAAATAATCACATGGTAAATATAAGTTTCTTATTTAATCAGCCCTTAATAAAATAAAATGGATTATGTTCTTGAGTTAGAAAAATGTATAGGAAGGGCCGTCAGAGAAAAATTAACTTAAGTTCATCAAGTCCATCAACAATCTTCCCTCATGAACGTCTTACATGTAGTTTTACTTGTTATGAAAAGACTATGAAAGTCTCTTTTATACTTTGTTGATTTTTTTAAAGAAAGATGACAAGAGGAGCATCTAACCTCCATCCCTTTTTAGCATTGATCCTGTGGTCATCTCGACACCCTGCCTGGCTCGCATTTCTGCTGAATCTGATTATTAAAGCAGAACATGTGGCTGAAAGGGGTCTTTATTGCCCTGGGATTTCCTGGGTAGGGTATTCAGACCCACAAAGGAATAGGATTTCTGTTCTCTCCTTTTAATGGCTATTTCTCATTCTCCTGTCCCTAGGAAACATTTTCATTCTTATTCAACAACTCTCTGGGTAAACTGAGGCACCGATTATATTTACATTAGCAGAACTTCAAGTTGTGTAAGCAAAGTAAACTAGAAAATAATCTGGCACTCTTGACAAATTCAAAATATAAATCTCCTAACACTTCCATTATGTACACAAAATAAGCATTCTAGCCACTCACTGGCCCAGCTGAATGCCATTAGGTTATCAGCTAAGCAGGAGAGTAGAGCCCAGGTTGTATTTCAGAAAAGGGTGTGGCATAATTCAAAAGCTGTGAGCAAGTTTTCCAAATTTCTTGAAACTGTTTTCACCTCTGCAAAACAGCCATATAATGTCTGCCTCCTATAGTTATACCTAAATTACTTTGTTATGAAACTGCCTAACAAGGGACTAATTCAAACAAACACAAAAAGGTGGTTTCTTTCCTCCTCTCCCTTTTTTCTCCATGAGAGTGCAGAACAATGAGTAGAGTTCATGCTTTAAAAATACAAATACCAGGCCAAGAACAAAGAGAAGGCACTTCTGGAGGATGGGGTTATATCGGTGTGTTTAGAGACATTGTGTAATGATGGGGTCTTTGTGTCCACGCCCGGGGTCGCCTACCTGTGTCCCATGTGGGAGGGGCCACAGCAAGGACGTGGAATCTAAGGGAGCTGTCAGGAAGGTGAGCTGTCTGACTGTGAACTTGCCATGCAGAGCGCACTGTTGCTGAGAGCTCTGGGCTCTCCTCCCCAGCCAGCCCTGCCTTGCTTTCTGGGCGGGACCTTCACTTCCTATTCTTGCCTTGAGCGTCTGCCTCACTGATGTCAGAGCTCCCTTGTTTCTTGTTTGGGTGGGAATCTCCCTTAGACCCTGAGTCCTTCACACCAGGGGATGCGTTTTACTCCTTCCATGTGACTGTCTCTGCTGGATGGGGTATTGGCTCCATGCCCGAGAGGGCTTCTCCAGTCTATAGATGCGAAACGACATTTGTGTCGCAAGATTCAAGACCAACTGGGAGTGTAGGGAAATGTTTCTGGAGGGGATGGGTCTTCACTTATATCTCCGTGAGGGAGGGCTGTGGTGTGGATGGAAAGAAGGCTCCTGTTCCTCAGAGTTAGTGCTTTTGGGATCAGAGTCTATGGTACCGGAGTCCAAGGGCCTAAGAACAGCAACCAAAATGTGTCCATGGCCTATCTTGGAGCTAAAGTCTTATCTGACACTCACAACAACCACCAGGAGAAGGGGAAAGGGAGCCCCATGGGACTGAGTGAGGTGTCCAAGGACGCAAGCTGGAGCAGGTCTAGACCCAGGCCTGCTGTCCCTGAGCACCTGCTGTCCCTGAGCACCTGCTGTCCCTGAGCACCTGCTGCCCCCTGAGCACCTGCTGTCCCTGACCGCCTACTGCCAACTGAGCACCTGCTGTCCCCTGAGCACCTGCTGCCCCCAACACCTGGTGTCCCTGAGCACCTGCCACCCCCTGAGCACCTGCTGCCCCCGAGCACCTGTTGTCCCTGACCATCTGCTGTCCCTTTGCACCTACTCCTGTTGCTGTTCTGCCCGGCCTCCTTGGAAGGAGGAGCCACAGGGATTGACAATGATGACAGGGTTGAGGCCAGACCCTGAGCATCCTCGAGACCGAGCAGGAGAAAGCTGATCCCTGTAAGAGTTTGGGGCATTGGAAGAGGAGCCGCCAGGTCCTGGAATCTATTAGGATGATCCTGTGGGAATACTTGGCATGGGAGGCTGTTTTCACAGGTGTGGGTAGAACAAGTCGAAACCCTTGAGCAGGAGGTGAAGCTAGCCCAGGAAGAATAATAAAAGTCCACAGAAAGGGTGAAATTCCACAACAGTGCCAGTCTCCTGGAGCAGGCCTTGCCATCCACCACAGCGAGGGCTGGCTGTTCCCTCCTGCCATCTGGGGAATGCCTCCGCTGCTGCAGGAGACGCTTTACACGTAAATCCACCCTGCAGTCATCCCGTGGTGGGCCTTTGCCGAGGCAATTGTGAGAACTATTAAGGTTCAGGGTAGGATCCTTGATGGAGTGCATCACGGAGGCCTCAGAAGTGAAGACGCAGCACTGATGATAACGTACAAGCAGAGAGCGCCTGGTGACAGGGCAGCCGAGGGCACACACAGGAGTCACTGTATTGTGGAGCAGGCAGGAGAGCATGGAACACAACCCTCATTTGCATCCCACACCCTAGAATCTGCAAGGACATGACAGACTGGAAAATATGCTTTCACAAACCCACCAGAAGTGAAGCTTAGGCAGCAAAGCCCGCAGCTTCCGGGACAGTCACATGAGCCTGAGCCCAGATCGCAGCACATCCAGAGACCAGAGCCAGGCCTTGGAGTTCTGTGACAGCCACTGCAAATGACTGTGGGCACCGCAGGTCTCCACCAGCCCTGTGCCAAGCCGGTGAGGATGCCCTGCCATCTTCAAGGCTCACTGAGGCGGCGGGCTCTGGGTGCATTCACACATGGATTCAAAACCTGCCTCCGGGTTAGTAGCTGTGCTGGATAAGATGCCATGTCTCTGTAGGCCTTGACTTTCTTATTAATAAAATGGAGATGGCAATGGCACCTGCCTCACAGCATCGGACAGGACTATTTTATATTAGAAACTCAAAGTGTTCCATTAAAAGCTTTTAGTTTTAACTTCCACTCATGTTGGACATGGGTTCCTGGCTCGAGAAGCGAGAAAGTGCACCCGGGGCTCTTGGCTGCAGAGGTGCTCCCCAGGCCTAAGCTGCTGTTTGTCTCCAGGTGGAGACGTGTCGAGGCTGTGGTGGGAGCTCAGGGACCACCCCTCACCAGCATGCCGCATCCTGTCTTGTGGCTGGGTGCCAGCACCTCCTGGGCAGAAGCTGGCTCTCCACGGGGCGGCCCGGGTCCCAGGCACCTTCCCAACCCACACGGAAGTGGCCCGCCCTTTCTGAAGGGACCAAGGGCATTTCAGCACAATGGTGGCTGCTCATCTGGATTCATTCAAGGCATCAGTTCTCTTGACCCCTCCGGCCGGTCCACGCACCTGCTCTTTCACGGAGCCTCTCCTGGTTCGAAGGCTGCAGGTGAGCTGAGACTTCCTGGGAAGCTCCCTGCACCGTGAGTGAGGGTTAGGGCAGTCCCCATGCTCCGGCCTTCAGCCGAGCAGCCTCAGGTTGTTCTTGTCCACGTTTATTTCCCTCTGGCTGCTGCTGGAGCCCCCTGCAGAGCCCAGATCATTGCCCACAGAGAGCTTCTCATTAAGAGCTTTCAGTTTATAATTTCTTGGTTCCTAGAATTTTGTAGAGACTTAGATTGACAGGATTCTGGCATGAAGTTGTTTCTCAGCCATTCCCCGGCGTGGACTCAGCAGAGGTGACATTAGGGAAAGTCCTGTATTGCTTCTGAGGGGCAGTTGCTAAGGAAGAAAACACGCAAGCTGGCGGGGGCTCCCCCATCCCCCAGAACGGCTTCCCCAGCCTGGCGGCCACCACCTCCCAACAACAATGCGCCTGTGTCTGCTGCTCCAGCACCACTCACACCACGGTGGTTTCTGTGTGCCCTGGGGGTGCTGGGCACCGAGCCTGGAGAAGTTAGCAAGGCTGGGTTCCCTTCATGGCATGGAGACCTCTGCTACGGTCATCCTGAACACCCTTGAGCTTCCAGGGCACTGACCTGTGCTCTCGATCTGCACTAACGAAGCCAGACAGCAGAGAGGAGGCAGAACAGACAACAGCCACGATATTTACCTTACTGCAGAAAACAGCAGAATGCTTCTCCTTCACCGCTCTGCCTGCCCTGCACTACCCCCACCCATAGCCTGGTGCATGGTTGTCTGAGGTCTCAGAGGGATGAGTTCCCCCAAAAGGAAGAGGAAGAAAAGAGGGGAGTTTGAATTAGAATAAGCCACTCCACACACGGCAGCCAGTTCTGCCTCCTTCACCTAGTGTCCCGCAGGCCTGCACCTGCCCCGACCAAGAACCTGGGGACACCCTCCCTCCCCCATGCCATAAGGAGCTGCCCCACCCGAGCCCCTGAGCCCCGGGGAGCATGCGGAGCCCTGGAGGAGGGGCGTCCAGATGTCCACTTCATGTTGCATTGCATTCAAGTAGACCCCACTTCTCTCTGGGATTGTTTTATTTTTTACATTTTTATTTATTTTTGATTTTTAGCTGGACTTTCTTTAAAGATAATGTAAATATTGAAATACAATTCTATGAAAATACTTTTGGCTTGGGAAATCCCAAATCTGAAGACTTGGCCATTTTGATGTGGGGCATGAGCAGAACCAGAGTTCTTCAGAACCGGCCATGAGCTCAGCGCCCGAGTGCGGGAGTCAGCCCAGCCGTGAGGTCCGTGCCCGAGTGCAGGAGTCAGCCTGGGTGCCCAGGGCTGTCGCCTTGGTGCAGTGCTCGTGTCAGGAGCAGAGAGAGCCAGAGGGAGGAAAATCCATGGGGGAAGGGGAAGGTCATCTCATTCTCATTCAATCACTTCCTTCTCATAATTTGAATGGAAACTTGATTGTGGGCAAAGACTTAGTTTCTACACGTCCTAAATTTTCTTTTCCCTCTGGAAAGCTGTAATGGCTTAATCGGCTCCACTGTGCTGCAGAATCTCCTCGTGTGCATCCGGAGACAAAGCTCGTGTGGGGACACTCGGTTCCACTGAAAAGCCCTGCAGGGGCAATGGTTCTGTGCTCCCATGCAAACACAGCACCCTGGGGAAGGGAGAACCCTCTGGGGCTGAGGCTGACTCTTCAGGTGACTCAAAGTTACCCAAACTAGGCCAGGCATGGTGGCTCACACCTGTAATCCCAGCACTGTGGGAGGCTGAAGTGGGAGATTCGCTTGAGCCCAGGAGTTGGAGACCAGCCTGGGCAACATGGTGAGACCCTGTCCCTACAAACAAATAAAAAATTAAAAGAAAATAGCCAGGTGTGGTGGCGTGTGCCAGCTACTTGGGAGGCTGAGGCAGGAGGATCTCTTGAACCCAGAGGTCAAGGCTGCAGTGAGCTGTCATCGCACCACTGCAGTCTAGGAGAACAGGTCTGAAGCCTGGGTCTGCATCAATTTCACCTGCAGCATTGCACCCCTGAAACACAGTGGCAAGGGTCGCAGTGGCATCACGAAGTGGCACAGCTCTCAGGGCCCTGCCGCTGCCCCTGCCCCATCCCTGATGACACCACCTGAGCCCTGGTGGAAAATGCTCTCCCCTTCGCACCCCTTAGCATGGACCAGGCCCGGCTTTCAGCCCCTCTCTGCTCACAGGTCACAAGGAACCTACGCCCACTGCCCTCCTGCCTGACACCGCTCCTGACTTCCTGCTCCCCGTGGACCAAGGCCACACCCTAAGACAGGGTTGTAAGGGGTGGCCCTGATTCTCCATCCCCAGTCTCCTTTCACCCTTCTCCCTGCTGCTTTCTGCAGATGAACTGAGCCACTGGCAGCCACTTAAGCCGACCACAACCTCACCCTGTCCCAGTCCAGCTCTTCCTCCTTCTGGTCCCTCTCATCCTTCTGGTCTCAGCCTGGGCATGCTTCTCCTGCTGTGGCCTCTCCACCTCCCTGGACAAGGCTTCCACCCTCTCCCCACACCAGCAGAATGGTCGGGCTCTGCTCCGAGTCTCTGCCTTCCGTCTTCAGCTTGTTTACTCACTGATTTTCCCCATCGTCTCTGTGATTCCATCAGTAGCTTGGGCAAAGGACCATTTTTACCCCAGAACCAACCTAGCCCATGCCTGGCACATGGTAGGCCCACAGGAAATACCTGATGAATGAATGAATGAATGAATGAATGAATGTTATCAGCCAGATTACAGCCAGGCTCAAGGGAGCAGGCACAGTGAGTGAATGAATGGCTGCTACGTGCCACGTAGTGGACCTCTGAATCTGTTCAGCTGTTCTCTCTCAGTCCTGGAGGCTGGAAGTCCAGGGTCAAGGTATTGGCGGGACTGGTGTCCCCTGCAGACTCTCTCCTTGCTGTGTAGACAGCCGTCTTCCCCTGTGTCCTCCTGTGGCCGTCGTCCCATGTGTCAGTGTCCTCATCTCCTCTAATAAGGACCAGTCACGATGGATTAGGGGACACATATGACCTCATTTAACTCGATCACCTCCTTAAAGGCCCTGTCTCCAAATGCAATCACATTCTGGGGTCCGAGGGTTAGCACTTGAATTTGGGAGGGAGACACATTCAGTCTATCACAGATTTCAGACGTAGACGTGCCTAGGTGTGAATACCACTCTAACCCTCCACAAAAGGGAAAAAGAGAACCACTCCAGATACGACCTGCGTGACATTTCTGATCCTGTTGAGAACAGAGGAGCCAGGTTGCGCCTTGGTCTAAAGGGGTCCAATAGCAGCCCTGCTGACGCCTGCTGGTGAACAAGGAGGGGACGGGAGGCAGCCTCCACCCTCACCAGCGAGGCTGAACCAAAGGTGCTTCCCACGAAGCTGAGAAAGGCAGACCATGCCCTGGAAATTACCAGTCCGGAGTGCAGAGATTTCCCCGGGGAGGGGGCTGGGCTGTGAGCTCCTTAGGTCCGTGCAGAACTGTCCTGGTGTGGTCTAGGGAGCAGAGGATGCTCTCGCGTAGGTGAAGGCATGGATGACAGGCGTTTCTGTAGAGAGCTTTCTCCAGTCACCACGAGAAATGACCTGCAGGGACCAGCGGGGACAGGAATGCTCTGTGAGCAGGCAAATGGACCAGGTGCCCCAGCCCACCCAGATGCCACAGCCCTAGGGGGAACGTAGCCCGACATGAAAGGGTGGCTGCATGAGACACTTAAAGAATGATGGGAGGATTGCTGTGTTTGGGACATGCTTTGTAACACAGTTTGGGTGCTTTTCCCTCCAAATCTCAAGTTGAAATTTGAACCCTAGTGTTGGAGGCGGGGCCCGATAGAAGGTGTTTGGGTCACAGGGGTAGATCCCCTGTGAATGGCTTGGTGCCTGTCCTTGTGGTGATGAGTGAGTTCATACTTTATTAGTTCCCGTGAGAACTGATTCTTAAGAAGAGCCTGGCACCTCCTCCCTGTCTCGTTTCCTCTCTCACCATGTGATCTGCGCACGCCAACTCCCCTTCCTCTTCCAAAGTGAGTGGAAGCTTCCTGAGGCCTCCCCAGAAGCTGACACTGACACCATGAGCCTGGTAAAGCCTGCAGACACGTGAGCCAAATAAACCTCCTTTCTTTATAAGTTTCCCTGCAGCTTCAGGTGTTCCTTTACAGCAACACTAAGGGACTAAGATAAGGATGAGCACCATGAGCTCCATGACCAACCTGAGAGACGGACCAGCATGACCAAGACCTATGGAGCCTGCCGATGTCCCCCAGGAGAGCACTCCATCCACCCTGAACTGTGCTGCTCTCTTTGTGGTCTTCTCGGTGTGTGCATGGTTGCTTTGCCTGGTTTTGATGAGGGACTGCTTGTGGTGCCAGGGGACAGCCCAGCAGCGTTGACCATCCTGGGATGATGCCCCTCCCTCCCTCCACTCTGCCTGGAACTGTTCACGAGTTTGGAAGTGCCATATGCCCACTGCACATTCCACCTTTTCCTTCTACCCCTGCAGATTTTATTTTAGTCATTCCATAGTGTCTTTCTGTAGCTAGACAGGCGGGAACAACTAGGGACAAATCCTCCAGGCTACAATTTCAAAAATGATTCTCAGATCTATAAAAACATGAGGCACAAAGAGAGAAGTGAGTGTGCATCTTGGGGAGCAGAGGGGCAGCCTGGAAGCAGCAGTCACAGGGACAAAAACTGGAAAGTGGTCATGAGCGTTAGAGGCAGCAGGGCCTGGAAGGCTGCCTCCCACTGTGTCCCCAGCAGCTCACCTGCGTCACGCCCCCAAGCACCTCTGCTGGGGAGAAAGGAGGAATTGACTGCATTGAATTATCAGGTACAAATTGAGCACAGGGGTCCATTTATCCAACAGAGGTGAACTGCTTAGCATTTAACCAGACGGAGGATTTGGTTGTCACCAAAAAGCAGGATCTGGAATCCTCATCTGAAGTGGTAATGTCCATGCATTTCTCCTACAGGCGCAAAGCGGAGTCCCCATCTGTCTTATGCCATAATTGTTTCTCTTCTTTTCCCTCCCTCCCTCCTTCCTTCTTCTTTCCTTTTCATTCCTGAAAATAGAAAGACTGGCCAGATATGGGATGGGGGGATTTTCAGATAGTTACGTATTGAATTTTGAGCCACTATGGACTTCTGACCATACTATTTTGCAATCCTTTGTAGGGATGGCACTAGTTCCATTATTTTAAAAATATCTTTCTTTCTAATTATATACACCTAGAACAATTAAGGATTGTTATTATATACCTTCCCAGTATTGTAATAATATTGGGACAGTTGAGCTGGGAGGCTGAAGGACAGGGTTGGGGAGATATGTCACTGTAATTCCCTTTGTACATTTTGAATTTTGTTCCAAGTCAGTGCATTTACCACAAGCCTTAGTCAGTTGTGTGCTGCATAACACACAACCTCAGGCTCACACATAACACACAACCTCAGACTCACACATAACACACAACCTCAGGCTCACACATAACACACAACCTCAGACTCACACATAACACACAACCTCAGGCTCACACATAACACACAACCTCAGGCTCACACATAACACACAGCCTCAGGCTCACACATAACACGCAGCCTCAGGCTCACGCATAACACGCAGCCTCAGGCTCACGCATAACACGCAGCCTCAGGCTCACGCATAACACGCAGCCTCAGGCTCACGCATAACACGCAGCCTCAGGCTCACGCATAACACGCAGCCTCAGGCTCACGCATAACACGCAACCTCAGGCTCACGCATAACACACAACCTCAGACTCATAGCGGCTGGTGACAATTGGCCCTTCTCTTTCTCACCTGGCTCAGTGGGTTGACTGGACAGCGTGGCCTCAGGCTGTGGGTCAGGAGCCCCAGACCCCAGGCTGGGCTCAGGTTTCTCCACGTCTCGTCCGGACCCACCCGGAAGGGACAGCAGCTGTCTGGGGCATGACCTCCTTGTGGTGTGCTCAACAACAGGAAAGGTTGACCTGCTTGTGCTGGCTCGTTTCTGGCCCTCCCCTCTCAGGCCAGCACAGCCCATTGGCCAAACATTAGGAGGTGAGGGGTATGCTCCCCACGCTCACAATTGCAGGCCCCCTAGCCGAGGGAGGACATGGAGAGGGGAGGTGTGTGAGCCATTCTAGCATGTGCGGTAAAATGAAAGAGCACAGAAGTCAATAAAAAGCTTAAACAATTAGGGGTAAACCGGCAGCAATGTTAATAATGTCCCCTCACCTTCTCACCGCGCTCCTGGGCCAGCCCTCACCAATGATGCCAGAATCCCAGTGACTTAGAATTGATAAATGCCCCTCCGGTTCCTCCTTCTCCAGAAGGAAACCCATGCTCAACTAAGCCTCACTTCCCTCTGCCCGTCCCCATCCCTGACGGGTTCTGTGAGTCTCCCTCTCTCCCCCACCAGGATGCAGCAGAACTGAGGACTGGGAAGTTCCCATGACAAACGCTCATGTGAGGTGAAGCCTGCAGCGAGGCCGTGGTGAGGAGTCCCCCAAAGGCAGGGGTCTCTCTCGGAACAGAGTGCCCTGGCATGTCCCCGGGACAGAGATAGCACAGACTCCGCAGTCCGGAGGTGGACTCCAGGCAGAGCCAGCATGTTCGAGGGGAAGTGAGTAAGTGCTGCTGTGAGGGCAGCCGACTGTGGCTCCCTGTGTGCAGAGGCCTGGCTGCTGGCTGCAGCCTTCCTGAGTGGGTCACGTGCGCCACTTGCCTGGCTGTTGGCTGCAGCCTTCCTGAGCCGGCCACCTGTATTGCTTTCCATAAAGCACAGCCCCACCTGGTCACACTGGGTAAACACGGGTTCCTACCAGCTCCTGCCAATTGCCCCCAACACGAATTTCATCAGCTAAAGGTCGGGAAATGATGCTCACTAAACACTTTATAGCAGCAATTTGGAGGAGGTCACAAGGGCTGCCTTTTCCCAGACTCTTCTCTCGAAAACTCATGTGTGTTTTTGTACCTGATTTTAGTGCAATCCCACCCTGACGCATTAGCAAAGGAAAAGGCGTCAATCCTATAACTTTCTGCGTGCTGACGGCATGAGATCCTGTCTCTCAAGTCAGATTTTTTGCATGCTGTGGGAAACATTATGAAGTAAGCAAGTTTTCTTTTCTCCCCAACTTCCTAGATCATAGGAATCAGGTAACTGCCTGAAAAACAGCCGCGGTCTGCCGCTGCTGGACTTCAATGTCCCCCCGGCTGGAGTCTGCCTGTGCACATCTCCAACCAGTTCCCAGGTGGTGCTGTGTATGGAGAGGGGCCGTCTGTGCCTCTGGAGCCTCCGGAGCATGTCTCCTGACCCCTGGAAAACAGCTACCCTGGTGCAGCATCTGCAGGCGCTGGGTCCAGCACAGGTTTCTCAGTTCCAGGCCACACAGAGTACATCAGAGCATCTTGCGTGAAGCAGACAAATCCGCATCTGCAACAGGCTCCAAACACGACCCACATCCCGGCCCCAGGCATGGGGCTAGGGCCCAACTGAGCTGGGCAAGATCAGTTATTCGTTGTCTTCAGAATTCATGTTTGTAAAATGCGGGACCCATGTCTTGGAGGGGTGACAGGAGCAGTGTTTAGAGCATAGCACAGGGCCCGTGCCCATCAGGCGTTATTGCTGTGAGCTGCCTTTATTCGTGCTCAAGTTATCGAATGTGAACAAGTTTAGTGTCAAAAACAAGAAGTCCAACACCGTGATGCAGGATTCATCGAATGTGGGCGTCCCTGCCACCTCTCCACTGGCCCCTGTGACAGTCGATGCCTGATGTCACCTGTCAGTTCAATGTGTAAAAGCACAAAAGTAGATTCCTGAATTGTGTCAATGCCACAGAACGGAAGGGGATGGTGCTGCAGGTTATTCCTGTGTTTCTAGGAAGGCAACAACTGGATAGAATCGGGCAGAATGGATTTTGTCTAGTGTTTGATGGAAATAATAACCCCACATGGCTTGTCATACACACAAAATGCAGAGAAATATGCAGCGTTCTGGAGTGTCCTGCACGCTGTCACATGGGACCCCCATCCACTCTTCCTATCAAAAGGCTGATGGATCATGGTCTCTGCAGATGCAGGAACTGAGCTCAGAGAGAGGCCGTGTCTTCTCCAAGACCCCCAGCCAATGAGAGGGACCCAGGCCTGAGCACAGGTTTCTGAATCAGAGTCCTGCCTCTCACCTTCTCAAACGTCCTTGCTTCCCTTCCCACCAAGTTTTAATTGAGTGCACCAGGATTGCGGTCTTCCAAAGGCATTTATGTGATTGCCTTTTCCTCTTCGATTTCTCACCAGTTAGCTTATAAATGACAAAGTCTGCCCCGTGGAGAGAGCGTTCTTTAGATTTTAATAGAAAGACATCAACATCGCCATGAAAAGATGAAGACAATGAAAATAATTATTTAGTAGGATAATAAACGGAATCTGGGCAGAGTCGTGCTGAGCAGCTATGACTTGCATCAGCGCATCATGGACTGGCAGCAACTCACTGCGCAGAATGTCCGGGCCACAGGCTTGGGCTCCCCCGACACCCCGTTTCCCATGGGCATTTTCCCTACTGGGGACTAACATCAGATGGGTTCACACTCGTGAAAGACGCTCGGCACCAAGAAACAGGTGCCTGCAGGGCTGGTGCGACACAGGGACTCTGTGGTGTAGTATGTGTGGCTGGTCGGTGTATTAGCGAGGATGGGGACACGGGTGTCCAGTAAGGAGTGCTTGAACGAAGGTCCTTGATTCACAAAACAGGAACAGTGCTGACCGCCCGCCCTCCTTTATCCCAGGAAGAACTCCAACTGACATAGTTACAAACAGCATGGAATCCAAACCTTACCCTCATCACACCGTAAATAACATCTTTGTACAGCACTTTATGATTTTTAAGTCACCTTGGCATATAAACATACATTTCTTTTACATAAACACATGTGCATATGAAGAGGATATGTGTGTGTGTTCACAAAAGTCACGTCTATATATAGGACATGGGGCTGGTTTTGGTAAAGCCCCTTGGAGAAGGGCCTAGGTGGGAGTCCTGGCTCAACCCCCAGGTCAGCTACTTGTCTTCGGGTCTGACCCTGAAGCCAGCTTCCCACATCCCCACCCTAAATTGTATCAGGGATCCTGAGAAGACTAAGGCAGTATGGGGCTCTCCCAGCAGGGAACCTGTTCCTAATTCAGAGCTTTGCACCCAGGGCCTTTGGGCGTCTGTGTGCCTGCTGTGGATGGGAGACCCTGCCCCTGCATCTTCCACGGAGAGGGTACGTAGCTTTCGGCAGACCACAAGACGCTGGAAGTGAAGGACACCCCTCCTTTATTTACTCTGAAAGTTCTGTTTGCCTCACTAGAATTCTGCATCATAAGAACTCCCGGACTTGTATGGCCCCACTGTGATGGCTGGATCTCAGCTCCCCACAGCCCCTCTGAGGCAGCCAGGGCAGGTGTCCTTATCCCCTTTGTATCTGACTCCTCCAACAACCCTCAGGGTCAATGATCCACTAGAAGGATTCACAGAACCTTACCATTTATTACAGAAAAGGACATAGATTAAAATCCGCAAAGGGAAAACGTACTTGGGACAGAGTCTAGGAGAGACCAGCTGTGAGCTGCCCACTGTCCTGTCCTGAGGGAGCCACGAATGCACTTCATTCTCACAGCAACGACTGTGCCAGTGTGCACACAGCACCACCTGCCAGGGGAGCCCCCGAGCCTTGGGATCCAGGGCTTCTCCTGGGAGCGGGTCACATAGGCCTGCATCATCCCGCTGGCTAATCCTAGTCACCCAGTCCAGCTATCCCAGAGGTCACACTGATGTAGCGTGGCTCTAGGCTGCACACAAATCACTGTTAACATGAACTCCATGAACTCTTGGCCATGGATGGAGGTCGCTGGTAAACAAAGACACTCTTATCAAGCAAGATAATCCAAGGGCTCAAAGGGTATCCTCTGGGAAGGACAGGGCCAGACCTTCCTCTGAACGTGCAGGGTTTGGACACCCCAAGCCTGCTGAGTCAACCCTTTACTGCACGTCCTTGTGCAAATGAGAAGGCGCACCAGGAAGTGTAATCGCTTTCCCAAGTAACACAGTTCTTGAGGCCAGTAAACAATAAGGCCACAGATACTCCCAATGCATATTTAGGAAGGGTGCAGTGTAGGATGCCTTGAGGTTTTCCATGAGCATTGCTGAATACTCTTAAAATCCAGAGACCTGTGTCAGCCGGGGTATTGTTTCCCGAGGCTAGATATAAGGCTGACATAGTCAAACTTGCTGGCTACCTCTCAACACAGCCTGGGCCCAGGTGCGCACGGTCCTAAAACAAAGAAGTACGAGCTACTCTTTTGTAGTAGAGGAGGCTTCTAAGAAAGTAAAATATAAATGACTGTATTGGCATTTTCAGCATCTGTTGTGAATCTAGTAGTTCCCACAATGGGAGACCACCACACACCTGTGCAGGGCAGGGCCGATGCTTCACACCTGGAGAACTGAACCAGGTGCCAGTGGGAACTGGGCGGACAGGGACGGCAGCCTCACTGGGGCTTTAGAATCCAGAGAAGCCCATCAGGCCAAGGGAAGGGAGTCCCAGTCCCCAGGCCTCATGTGGGGCTGTGGTCAAGGCACACCCTGGAGCTCAAGGGTGAAGGGTACAGACTTTGGGATGGGAAGTGTCTGGCTTTCAATCCCTCCTACTCCACCCCCAAGCTGCACAGCCCTGTGCCATGGCTTCCCCTCTTTAGCCACAGCTTTCATCTCTAAAATGAGTGTAATAATAATAATAATACCTGTGTCGTTTTTCTGAGAAATAAATGAAGTAGACTGCATGCCAATGTGGAAGACAGCCGTGCTGGGAGGGTCGTCTGCCTTCAGTCAGCCCTACGCGGCCCCTTGGACCCAGGCCTCAGCAGCGTAAGACCAAGGCCCTGAGTGCTCACAGGAGATGGTCCAGCCAGCCTCAGGCCTGTTGGGCAGCTGCCCAGGCTCAGACAGGGCATAGCTGCTCGGGCAGTGAGGACAGGTGGTTGGAGCTTTTCTCCAGACACAGGTGCAGTGAAGGCCTGGGTTACTATGAAGCATCTACCGAGGGGCAGGTCTCAGGGCCTCCAGGACCTGAGCTCTTCCCTGGTGCGGGCCCTGGAGCTGGTGTCCATCGAAGACTACGGGGCACACGCCCTGGGAGGTGGAGAATTAGCCCCGCTCCGTCATGCTCCTGTGTGTGTGGTGCGTGTGACTTCCTTTTAAAGAGAAGAGTGTGCGGAGGGGAAGCTTGGCGGGCATGACCTCCACCAGGTGGACAAGGTCAGCATGGTCAGTGACAAGTCACATCGACAGCACTGCCCTTGACTGCCTGTGACAGGCATAGAGCTCATCTTTGGGGTCCTCCTCCCCGAAACCCACAGCCCCAGTCCGATCTTGAGAAAAAACATCAGACAAAACCCTCCTCCAAACAGCCAAGGTCATTAGAAACCAGGAACGTCTGAGAAACGGTCACAGCCTAGAGGAGCCCAAGAAGACGTGGTGTTAAGCGTCGTGTGGGAGCCTGGACAGGACCCTGGGACAGGAAAAGGACATTGGGCAAAAACCGAGGAGATCCGAATCCAGTGTGGACTTCAGTTAATATCAGTGTGTAAATATTAGTTCAACAGCCACAAGTGTTTTATACAAATAAGCTGTTAGCAGGGAAGCTGAGAGCGTAGGGAATGTGGGAACTGGGTTAGTCCTACGACTTTTCTGTCATCTAAAACAGAAACTTCATTTCCAAAGCTTGTCGAGCAGATGCCAGGTGATAACAGCACAAACTGACCCCAGCCAGGCTGGGACGGTCTCGGGGTGTCAGGGTGGGAAGGCTCAGCCAGGAGGCCGGGCTGGACCTCCGGACATGAGGCTCTGGACACAGCGTTTGCTCCTGAGACCACTCAGATTTTATATTTTACAGATTTTGCCACTTTCCAGGTGGTTGCTTTTTGTCCTCCTGAGCTTGAGCCTCACTCCTCGAGACCCCTGGCCCAGAACCCCAATCAGCTCAGGAACAGGCTTCTGGGGGCGAGCCCGGAGGCCGTGGAACGAGAGATGCAGTGAGCAACTTAGTACCATCAGCACAGTACAATGCACATCCGTCCAGCCACGCCTTTGTTTATTTCATTCGCTTTGCTTTATGAACGATTTCAAGAACTGGAATTGTGTGCAAGGCTCTAGAAGAATTTTTTGCACCTGTTTGATTTTAATTTTCTCTGTTTGCATTTCAGTAATTAAGTGTAAAGTCAACCAAGAACATTTTACATTCCTTTTGTTTTCTTTCTACGCTTGCTAGGCCAGAAATTGAGGAAAGAAAACAGTACTTTGGAAGAATTTGCTGAAGAACGACTTAAAGTAGATTCTCCGACAATAGAAAATTGCATCTGGCTACACAAGGCGCAGGTGCAGCTCCTTGGTGTAGACGGGATATGGGGTCGTTTTGTCCACCCATTGGGAATATGCTTGTATCCTGTACAAAGTGTGGTCCTGTCACCTTGTCAGTAGCCTTAAGAGTTGCAGCACAAAGAGGGATGTTTTAAATTCTAATTGAAACTGACTTTCTGTGAGCCTGGATTCCGTGAGGTGCTGCCTGATTTCCCTCCAGTTCAAGTCCCTTAGATCCTGCATTTTAGGGACAGGCCCTCATTTTTGTTTCTCCGGCTCACGGCTGGCATTTCTTCCCCAAGCTGTGATGCTCGATGAGTCAGGCCCTTGCATGGTTAAGTGGTGGGTTCCCACAGGGGTCGGGAGGAGGGAGGTCAGGACAATTTTTAAAGACAATCAGATTTTATCAATCAAATATTCCTTTTTCACGTATCTATAGTCATACAAAAACTGAAATGACACTCACACGTAAGTCCCCACAGTTTGGGAGGCTTAGGGAGAAGGAGACTCTGATTTGATACTCAGAAGGCAGAGAGGTGACATCTGGGGGAGCTGGGCCTGCCCCTAATATGACCACTCCCACAATAGAGAGCTTCACTATCACAGAGGGAAGGAGAGGAGAAGAGGAGCTGGTGCTCACAGAGGACCTCATGTGGGGCCAGCAGGGCCGCTCAACCTGAGATCTTCCATGGGGTGGGGGAGTCAAGGGAGCATTTTAGATTATGCCCTAAAATACAACATCTTGGCTACAGTAAACTAGACATTCTCCAGTACTGGAATCCTTGCGCTGTCCCTCTCTCCTTGTAACTCCAATAACCCGATCTAACTTTTTCCCCTCGACTATCAAACTTGCGCAGCGAACTCTTACTCTGTATCTTCAATACCCCGCTCGTAGCTTAGCTTTGAGCCCACAGTTTCCGATGCCTCCTGCATTAGGGCACCTGGTCAGCCATGCCGCAGACCCAGTGCGTCGGAGAGGAGACTCTCCCCTCTGCGGGCCTCTCCTCTGTGCAGCCACTCAGCCTCCTCCTTCCTCTCTGGCTGGAAACGTGAGACCCATCCTGACGCAGGTGCCCCTTCGTCATCAGAGCCTCATCGATCTCCGGAACCATTTCTGTCCGCGTAGAGTTAGTAGTGGTGGCTCTTTCTTCATATTTCTGTTGCTTACCGGCAGCCATGTTTTCTTAAAGTCATTCTTGGCACCTGGTCAGAGTAACTTGGGGCACTTGGTTACAAATTCACATTCTCAACCCAAAACTATTGAATCAGAATTTATGTGGGTAAGGCCTAGAAATGGACGTTTCAAAAGAGTTTCTGCCGTCACAAATTACCCAAACTTAGCGGTTTAAAACAACAATCACGTGTTCTCGTACAGTTCTGTGTGTCAGAATCCTGGCTGAGTCTCATGGAGCTACAGCCCAGGCCTTGGCAGGCTCGTTCGTTCCAGAGGCTGGAAGTGGGCTCTGCTTTCTTGTCCTTTCTGGGGCTGAGAGCTCCTCGGCTGCTGCTCCCTTCCTCACTTCAGGCAGGAGTGGAGCCTCTTCAAACCTCTCTGCCCCCATCTTCCTTTCCTTTCCTTTCCTTTCCTTCTTTCCTTCCTGCCTTTCTTTTTCTTTCTTTCTTTCTTCTTTCTTTCTCTTTCTTTTTTTCCTTCTTTCTCTCTCTCTTCTTTCTCTCTCTCTTCTTTCTCTCTTTCCTTCCTTCCTTCTTTTCTTTCTTTCTTTTCTTTTCCTTCCTTCCTTCTCTTTTCTTTCACTTTCTTTCTTTCTTTCTTTCTCTCTTCTCTTTCTTTCCTTCCTTCTTTCTTTTTTGAGACAGAGTCTCATCACTCACCCAGGCTGAAGTCCAGTGCCACAATCTCAGTTCACTGCAGTCCCTGCCTCCTGGGCTCAAGTGATCCTCCCACTCCAGCCTCCTGAGTAGCTGCGACTATAGGAGTGCACCACCACACCAGGCTAATTTTTGCATTTTTAGTAAAGACAGGGTTTCGCCACATTGGCCAGGCTGGTCTCAAACTCCTGGCTTCAAGTGATCCCCCCACCTCGGCCTTCCGGAGTGCTGGGATGACAAGTGTGAGCCACTGCGCCTGGCCTCCCTGCTTTCATTGTCACATCGTCTGACTCTGACCCTCTAGCCTCCCTCATGTAAAGATCCTAGTGATGACATTGAGCCTGCCCAGATCATCCAGGATAACTTCTCCATCTCGAGATCCTTGACTTCATCACCCCACAGTCCCTTTTGTGAGGTAACATATTTCCAAGTTCCAGGGATTAGGATGTGGACATCTCTGGGGGCCATTATTCTGCCTATCACACATTTTATGGACTCAGTATGTAAACTTGGTAGCTTAGACCTTCTTCCCACATGACTGGGTTACTAAATGGTTTCCTAACTGGGCCTGGCTTGTCTCTCTTCCTCCTCTAATTTATTTGTATGCTTCTGCCAGAATCATCTTTTATAATCTACAGATTTCATCACAGTAAACTTAAAACCATTCCCACTGATGATCATGTTAAGTCCAAGGTTGAGTGTCTGAATTTTGAAAGGACCATCATCCGACCCACACTATACCTCCAGGTTTATGTCCTGAAGAAAAGTTCCTCTCCCATCAGAACAGTCTTTGCACAGCTCCTTGCAGGTGAGGAGGCGCAGGTGAGGGGGCACAGGTGAGGGGGCACAGGTGAGGGGGCGCAGGTGAGGAAGTCAGGTGAGGAGGCGCAGGTGAGGGGGTGCAGGTGAGGAAGTCAGGTGAGGAGGCGCAGGTGAGGGGGTGCAGGTGAGGGGGCGCAGGTGAGGGGGCGCAGGTGAGGGGGCACAGGTGAGGAAGTCAGGTGAGGAGGCACAGGTGAGGGGGCGCAGGTGAGGAGGCACAGGTGAGGAAGTGCAGGTGAGGGGGCACAGGTGAGGGGGCGCAGGTGAGGAAGTCAGGTGAGGAGGCGCAGGTGAGGGGGTGCAGGTGAGGAAGTCAGGTGAGGAGGCACAGGTGAGGGGGCATAGGTAAGGGGGCGCAGGTGAGGGGGCGCAGGTGAGGAGGCACAGGTGAGGGGTGCAGGTGAGGGGGTGCAGGTTTGGTACCAGGTGAGGGGGCCCAGGTGAGGGGGCGCAGGTGAGGAGGTGCAGGTGACGAGGCACAGGTGAGGAAGCGCAGGTGCAGAAACACAGGTGAGGAGGCACCCACTGCTTCCTCCTGGGCTTTGGTTGACCACCTTCCTTTGGAAATATCCCTTCTCTCTCTCTGATCCTACAGAAAGCTGCCTCAGCTTGACCTGGAAAGGTGTTCCCTCTTGTGTGAAACACTCTGCTCAGCACCATGCTATTAATATCTAGGTGCTAATTGTCCTAGTACAGTCTCTTCATCTCTCTCACTATGCCCCGACTTCTCAGGCACCTGGGACCATGTCTCATACTCGTCTTTAAGCCTTGCAACGGGCTGCACAATGCTAGGCACTGGAGGTTGTTGATTAGTTTATAGTTAATGAATTAGAAAATAATAAGGAACAGAATAGAAACATGTTGTGTTAAGCTTTTACCTTCACTGATGACTCAAAAGTCCCATGATTTTGTACTATTTAAAGAATGGTATTATGAATATGAGTGTTCATTTTTCTGGCAATTATTTAGTTCTGGCTAACAGAGCTCTGACTGGATAAGTATCAGGTCACAAAATATTTACTATGGGTTCATATGATGCAGTAAACCTGTGTCTTTCATGGGGTTTTTTTTAGCTAAAGCAGTAATTAGAGGTATCTGTAATTTGAACCCCTTAGCTAATTGTTAAGCTGTACCTGACTCTCCCATGAAGACAAGCATTCAGATCCTGACGTCTCCCGTGAAGACGAGCAGTCAGATCCTGACGTCTCCCAAGATGACAAGAGTCAGATCCTGAAATCCATGACTGGTGACTTGTGAAAGTCTAGTGGATATTCTGCAACGACATGCCATGAGCCTCTGTCATTTCACCTCACCATCATGCTGCAAATTACTACTCACAGCTTAGAGTTTAGACCTAAAAGGGGCAATAAAATCGGGTTCAAATACTGTATTAAGGGACTTGCCCCAGATTACATAATTCTTTTGTGTAAAGGCCAAATTATACAAATCCTCAGATTCCAAGGTCGGAGTTCTTTTCCTATAACGTGTTTCTTCACACATGGCTTTATCCATGTTTCATATCAAAGGGATCCAGGAAAAATTATGAATAATCAGATAGCATGATATGGACACAAGGTCATGAGCAATAGAGGGTTCCAATAGAGCTATTAGGAAGAGCATGATGCTCACGAGTGGTAGGAATGTTGTTCTATGTATTTATTGGCCTTGTAACTATGGTTTAGAAGTGGTAGGAATCCACAGAGATATACCTACAGAAAGATTTAAAAGAAGTAAAACTCCCAGCCTCAATGTGGTATTATCCCACCCTCAGTACCACTATCTCAATCTTGGCCTTCATACACATATCAAGAAACTTTCCACTTCTTTTAATACAAGAACTTTCAGATATTAGAAATGTTTTCAAGATTCTCTCTCCTCTGTGGCCTCTTCAGCATTGGTATTGGAAGTCATGGGTTGATGTTTTCTGGCTGAGGGGCTTATCTAGAAATGTCTCCTGACCCCAGGTCCCTTTAGGTCTAAGTTAGCTTCTTCCCCTGTCCGTACTCAGTCTCAGCTGGTCACTGACTATGTGATTTCCTTTCTGATCACTTGCGTCCTACTGCAAAAACAAAATAACACAACATAGAGTAAATACATTATCGGGATGGCTAGCAATCATTGGACATTTTTCTCCGTTCATTATCTTGAAGAGCATAATGTACTCCCCCAATTTATTTTAAACAAAAAAACTTTAGAATGTAATTAATGGAAGCACTCACTATTGTGGATTGAGTACTTTTTATATGTTGTCTTACCACCTTGCTTAAAGGGGCAATGTCTTTCCTTATTCTCAATTTTTACAAAATATTGTACAGAGAAAATGCTTGAAAAGTGTGTAATCCCAGCACTTAAGAGGCTGAGGCAGGTGGATCGCTTGAGTCCAGAAGTTTGAGACCAGCTAGTGCAACATAGCGAGACCTGTCTCTACAAAAAATTCAAAAATTAGCTGAGTGTGGTGGTGTGAACCTGTAGTTCTAGCTATTAGGGAGGCTGAGATGGGAGGATTGCTTGAGCCTAAGAGGTCAAGGTTGCAGTGAGCCGAGATAGCACCACTGCACTCCAGCCTGGGCAACAGAGCAAAACCCTGTCTCGCAAGAAAAAAAAAACGAGTGTGTCACTTACAACATTCAGACTCAGCTCATAAAATCCAAAAGAAACGTGGAGTTTGGGGAGTGCTAAAATGCACCACTGAGGGAACAACTAGAAAATGACTAGAAAATCCTTCTCTTTTTGTTCTATCATTGTACGCTACAGCTACTGGTGATAGTATTAAGGCATGTTTTACAATTCATATTTGGATTCGATCACAGGGCTCATACTCTCTTAACTCCACCTCTCACAAGTTTTACCATAAGAGTTTTGTGGTAGTTTGAGGAACTCAACACAGCTGCAAGTGTTCCGCTGGAATCTACTATGATCTGTGTCACTTGAGGCACAGTGTGAGCGCACGTCATTCCTTGGATGACACGCACCCCTCTCCTAACTTAGTATTCCGACATTTAGTCATCCACGAATTCGCTCAGCTGCCTCCAGTGGGGTGGGTTCCAGTCTCAATGGCATCTCACTAGTTCCCCGTCACATTGCTCATTTGCAGCGATGACATTTACAAAAGGTGATTTCTTTTGTCAGGGGTCTGTACCACTATCGAAGTAGTCCTTTGAACCAGAAATTTAAACAGCTAAGCTACTTTAAAAAGTGTATCTGCTGCTACTCCAAGCAGCCGACTCTGGAACTGGCTTCTGACTTTAAAAGATGAGTGAAAAGATGTGTTGTGCTTTCCTCTGCAGAATGTTCAAACCAGAAGGCCCCTGGAAGACTGTGCCTGAAACGCGGCTAAGGCACCACCAGGCTGAACAGAAAACGGGGGCCTTATCAGAGAGAAGGGAAGGGCCCCATAGTCCAAACGCCCAGGAGGCTCCGACCTGACTAGCGGCCACGAGTATTTGCTGCAGGACGAGAATCTGGGGAAGATGCAGCCAAGAAAATGGCCTGGCCGGGCCGGGAAGAGCAGCCCACAGAGACCCGCAGCACAGAGAGGGATGCGGGGAGCCTGCCCTGGGAGCCACCCCGGCTGAGGCTCAGGAGGGGAGCTGCGAAGCCTGAAACCCATCGATGATGGCTGGTGATGAAAACATGTGGGTGGACCTGCTTTGATGGCGAGATGGACAGGTCTGAGCTCACACATCCTCGGGATAACAAATAAAACTCTGTGGAAATGGACATGAGACACTGGGCCCTCATTCCCCAACTTGTAGAGATGACTGAGAAAAGCTTCCAGAAACTCGAGGACATCACAACTTCCAGCTGGGTCAAACTCAGGGTGCTGTGAGGCCTGGGCAGAGAGACCCCCAGGGTTTCCCAGGGATGGCGGAGTCTCTGGAGGAAGGAGACACCATGAAGATGGGGATGGAAGCTGCCTGCCCCATGGAGAGGGGAGGGGGCCGGCCACTCTCACCCCTCGAACAAAAACCGGGTGGAACCTGAGAGGAGCAAAGAAACGAACACAACCCTCACACACCTCAGGACACACACACAACACCTCACACACCTCAGGACACACACACAACCCTCACACACCTCAGGACACACACACAACTCTCACACACCTCAGGAAATACACACATAACCCTCACACACCTCAGGACACACACATAACCCTCACACACCTCAGGAAATACACACATAACCCTCACACACCTCAGGAAATACACACAACCCTCACACACCTCAGGAAACACACACAACCCTCACACACCTCAGGACACACACAACCCTCACATACCTCAAGAAATGCACAACCCTCACACGCCTCAGGACACACACACAACACCTCACACACCTCAGGACACACACACAACACCTCACACACCTCAGGACACACACACAACCCTCACACACCTCAGGACACACACACAACACCTCACACACTTCAGGACACACACACAACTCTCACACACCTCAGGACACACACATAACCCTCACACACCTCAGGACACACACAACCCTCACATACCTCAAGAAACACACAACCCTCACACACCTCAGGACACACACACAACCCTCACACACCTCAGGACACACACATAACCCCTCACGCACCTCAGGAAACACAACCCTCACGCACCTCAGGACACACACACAACCCTCACACAGCTCAGGACACACACACAACACCTCACACACCTCAGGACACACACCCAACTCTCACACACCTCAGGACACACACATAACCCCTCACACACCTCAGGACAAACACAAAACCCCTCACACACCTCAGGAAACACACACAACCCTCACACACCTCAGGACACACACAACTCTCACATACCTCAAGAAACACACAACCCTCACACACCTCAGGACACACACACAACCCTCACACACCTCAGGACACACACATAACCCCTCACGCACCTCAGGAAACACACACAACCCTCACGCACCTCAGGACACACACACAACCCTCACACAGCTCAGGACACACACACAACACCTCACACACCTCAGGACACACACCCAACTCTCACACACCTCAGGACACACACATAACCCCTCACAAACCTCAGGACACACACAAAACCCCTCACACACCTCAGGAAACACACACAACCCTCACACACCTCAGGACACACACAACTCTCACATACCTCAAGAAACACACACAACCCTCACACACCTCAGGACACACACAACTCTCACATACCTCAAGAAACACACAACCCTCACACACCTCAGGACACACACAACTCTCACATACCTCAAGAAACACACAACCCTCACACACCTCAGGACACACACACAACCCTCACACACCTCAGGACACACACATAACCCCTCACACACCTCAGGAAACACACACAACCCTCACACACCTCAGGAAACACACACAACCCTCACCTCAGGGCACACACATAACACCTAACACACCTCAGGACACACACACAACTCTCACACACCTCAGGACACACACATAACCCCTCACAAACCTCAGGACACACACAACTCTCACATACCTCAAGAAACACACAACCCTCACACACCTCAGGACACACACACAACCCTCACACACCTCAGGGCACACACATAACACCTCACACACGTCAGGACACACACAACTTTCACACAACTCAGGACACACACACAACCCTGACATACCTCAGGACACACACACAACACCTCACACACCTCAGGACACACACACACATAACACCTAACACACCTCAGGACACACACACAACTCTCACACACCTCAGGACACACACATAACCCCTCACAAACCTCAGGACACACACAACTCTCACATACCTCAAGAAACACACAACCCTCACACACCTCAGGACACACACACAACCCTCACACACCTCAGGGCACACACATAACACCTCACACACGTCAGGACACACACAACTTTCACACAACTCAGGACACACACACAACCCTGACATACCTCAGGACACACACACAACACCTCACACACCTCAGGACACACACACAACTCTCACACACCTCAGGACACACACACAACCCTCACACACCTCAGGACACACACAACTCTCACATACCTCAAGAAACACACAACCCTCACACACCTCAGGGCACACACATAACACCTCACACACCTCAGGACACACACAACTTTCACACAACTCAGGACACACACACAACCCTCACATACCTCAGGACACACACACAACACCTCACACACCTCAGGACACACACACAACTCACACACCTCAGGACACACACATAACCCCTCACACACCTCAGGACACACACGCAACCCTCACACACCTCAGGACACACACAACTCTCACATACCTCAAGAAACACACAACCCTCACACACCTCAGGACACACACACAACCCTCACACACCTCAGGGCACACACATAACACCTCACACACCTCAGGACACACACAACTTTCACACAACTCAGGACACACACAACCTCTCACACACCTCAGGACACACATACAACATCTCACACACCTCAGGACACACACAAACCTCACACACCTCAGGACACACACACAACCTCTCACACACCTCAAGAACCTACACAACACCTCTCACACACCTCAGGACACACGCACAACACCCCACACACCCCAGGATACACACAACCCTCACACACCTCAGGACACACACAACTCTCACATACCTCAAGAAACACACAACCCTCACACACCTCAGGAAACACACACAACCCTCACACACCTCAGGACACACACACAACCCTCACATACCTCAGAACACACACACAACACCTCACACACCTCAGGACACACACACAACCCTCACACACCTCAGGACACACACACAACACCTCACACACCTCAGGACACACACACACAACCTCTCACACACCTCAAGAACCTACACAACACCTCTCACACACCTCAGGACACACACACAACACCTCACACACCTCAGGACACAAACACAACCCTCACACACCTCAGGGCACACACACAACCCTCACACACCTCAGGGCACACACATAACACCTCACACACCTCAGGACACACACAACTTTCACACAACTCAGGACACACACACAACCCTCACATATCTCAGGACACACACACAACACCTCACACACCTCAGGACACACACACAACTCTCACCTCAGGACACACACATAACCCCTCACACACCTCAGGAAACACACACAACCCTCAGGGCACACACATAACACCTCACACACCTCAGGACACACACAACTTTCACACAACTCAGGACACACACACAACCCTCACATACCTCAGGACACACACACAACTCTCACACACCTCAGGACACACACATAACCCCTCACACACCTCAGGACACACACAACTCTCACATACCTCAAGAAACACACAACCCTCACACACCTCAGGACACACACACAACCCTCACACACCTCAGGGCACACACATAACACCTCACACACCTCAGGACACACACAACTTTCACACAACTCAGGACACACACACAACCCTCACATACCTCAGGACACACACACAACATCTCACACACCTCAGGACACACACAAACCTCACACACCTCACGACACACACACAACCTCTCACACACCTCAAGAACCTACACAACACCTCTCACACACCTCAGGACACACGCACAACACCTCACACACCTCAGGACACACACAACCCCTCACGCACCTCAGAACACACACACACAACCCCTCACACACCTCAGGACACACACACAACACCCCACACACCTCAGGATACACACAACCCTCACCTCGGGACACACCCACAACACCTCACACACCTCAGGACACACACAACCTCTCACACACTTCAGGACACATACACAACATCTCACACACCTCAGGACACACACAAACCTCACACACCTCAGGACACACACAACCTCTCACACACCTCAGGACACACACACAACACCTCACACACCTCAGGACACACACAACCCCAAACGCACCTCAGAATACACACAACCCTCACCTCAGGACACACACACAACCCCTCACATACCTCAGGACTCACAACACCTCACACACCTCAGGACACACACACCACAGCCCCTCACACACCTCAGGACACACACACAACACCTCACACACCTCAGGACACATATACAGCCTCTCACACATCTCAGGACACACACACCACAGCCCCTCACACACCTCAGGACCCACAATCCATGGTTAGAATGACGCGCAGGGACAAAAGTGCTTCGTTTCCTCTTTGTGGTAGTTTCTTCGTTCATTCACGACGTCGGTGTTTACTGCCTATTGCAAGCGAGTCGCTTGAGGAACTATCCGAGTGACACACAGCACAAGCAGCCTCAGGGGAGCCCCAGGTGTGCTCTCCACAGGCAGCACCGTGGATGAGAAGGATGGCCAGGGCTTAACAGGAACATGGACTCTCGCTTGCGCCTCATTCTCTTCTCTATCACAAAAATCACACGACAATTCAGATGGAGATGCATTCTGTGAAATGATGAAAATTTGAATCCTGTCTCCTATTTAAACTCACATATATTATTTTCCCTTCATAAAAATGTTTTTTCTAGTAAGTAATTTGACATCCAAAGAGAGTTTATATTTCTTCAAGAATGTATGCTCAGAGAAATGAGCTCTTACTACACGTTGGGTATTGAAGACTTGATATTAAACACATGGTTTTTGTCAATGGGGAGGAGCAGTTTGACTCTCTCCAGTGTCCTTTGTGGATGGATGGACTCCACTGACAATGAGCTCCTATGTTAGAATTGCGGGTTTGGGATGTTTAATTATTATCTGAGCTGGTCCAGTGGTGATGCTGAGTGGGACGCTCATGCCCCTTTAAGACAGAAAGTCCGTTGGAACCGTCGGCTGCTCTCTGGTCTCTGGAGATGAGGCGGGAGGACTTGGGGACAGCTGTGGGGACACGGCCCAGATGCTCTGGTCCCAGCAGAAGTGACTGGCGGGGACCAGGTGAGGTGATGAGGTCTGTTAGTGGGGCTGAGGGAAGGGGTCTTCCCCAGACTGAGGGGGTCACAAGTTTGGGGCCGAGGACACTGGGGTATCCCCTCGGAGGAGCGGGAAAGAAGAAGCTTTCTCAGGGCTGTGAGGACCGCGGACCCTTGCCCACTTCCACAGAAACTGTCCCAATCCCCGCGGGGAAGGAACAGCCAGGGATCCGGTTACTGGTAGGTCTTGCTCTTGACCTTCGATTTGCCTTCATCAGGAGACTCTCTTTTAAACAGCATTTCTCCAATCACTGTGGTTAAACTGTTCATTCTCAGGTTTGTATACAGTGAGAAGTTTATGAATAAACAGCTGGGGTTTCGTTGGGGGCCATTCGCTTCCTAAAACCGAGAGGGTGAGGCAGGGTTGGGAGCGGCTTTCAGAGAGGACCCTGCAGGCTTGCAGGAAGCTTTGCGTTTTCTCTTTTGTTTTAGTTTTCTGATTGCTGTGAGCTTCCTAGAACTGGCATAAATGCTGTACCTATAAAAAGGTGTTTCCTTTCCACGTCTTCACCATGAATTCACAAATGTCATCCCGATGGTTCAAGACTCAGACTCAACACAGTATGGGGTCTGCCTGTGCACCTCCAAGTGGGTGTTGATCCAGTGGTGCTGATTAAAGGGCTAAGAGTTCCCTCAGGGCCGCAAGCGACCATCCACACACATCCCACTCACACCCCGAGACCATCCTGCTCACATCTGCTCACACCCATTCACATTCCCCTCACACCCGCTCACACCCCACTCACATCCCACTCACACCGGCTCACACCCCGCTCACACCCTTCTCTGGATGACCAGAGTGCATTCGGTGTCAGGCTGATCTTCTAGGATCTAAAGCATTTTCCACGGAGGATGATGGACAGCCAGGTGTGGACCGCTCAGTCCCTCCGTCTGTGGATGGTGACAGTGTGTTAGGTGTCAGGCTGATCTTCTAGGAGCTGAAGTGTTTTCCATGGAGGATGGTGCAGAGCCAGGTATGGACCACTCAGTCCCTCCATCTGTGGATGGTGAGAATGTGTTAGGTGTCAGGCTGATCTTCTTCTAGAAACTGAAGTGTTTTCCATGGAGGATGGTGAGAGCAAGGTGTGGACCGCTCAGTCCCTCCGTCTGTGGATGGTGACAGTGTGTAAGGTGTCAGGCTGATCTTCTAGGAACTGAAGTTTTTTCCATGGAGGATGGTGGAGAGCCAGGCGTGGACCTCTCAGTCCCTCCCTCTGTGGTGTCCTTTCACCTGGTCAGCTTCGGGCTTGGGAATGTGTACAGGACCCCGGGGGAGAAGAGAGGCTGTGGTTCCTGCTCGCCCTTAGGTTGAGGCTGGGGCCTTCAGCCCACACTGACGGGGTAGGGGGCTGCATTCAGGCATTGCCATAGCTCTTCCCTTCCCAACCAGGATGCTGGAGGGTCAGCTCGAGGCCGGGTAGCCCAAGGAGGGCACCCACCCAGAAGACCCGTGCCCGGGAGCTGGGGCTGCCATGGAGAAGACACCTGCAGCAGCCGAGGTCCCCAGGGAGGACAGCAATGCCGGGGAGATGCCGGTGAGCTGACCTCTGTGGGGACAGAGTTAGTCCCACCAGGTGGGACCCTGATTCCTGTCCCTGTGGTCTGTCATTGGACTTTCCCTCGCCAGACCCCTGTAGGAATGCGCCACCCTGGGACGCTGATGCTGAACTTCCTCTCAGAGGGGCACGTGGTTCTTTTCCCCTCTGCAACCTTCTCTCTTGGTGGATGGGAGCCAGGATGGGGAGTTAAAGAAAATATTAACATTCCAGCTTTTCTCCTCTAATCCAGGAGAAGGCACCAGACTTTAAAAACTTCATTAACGAAAATCAGAAGGTTGACATGCCTCACATCATCCCAGCAAGCTTCCTGATTTTTACCCCTTCCTCACATCATCCCAGCAAGCTTCCTGATTTTTAGCTCCTTCCTCACCAGACCCTGTTGGACAGTGCTTGCTCTCAAGAAAGTGCCATGGGTCCCTGTGGCCAGAGCCATGCAGTGAAGGGCTGTACCTCTATCACGATCCCACTTATTCTCAGAGCAAGGCTGGAGGCTCTACGGTCCAATGAAGGATGCCAGGGGAAGGCTAACATGTCAGGTTGAAAATGCAGTGGCTTCCATAATTTTTAAACTGTTGACCACACATCCATGCCACCATGGTGTTTGAGACCAGCCTGGCCAACATGGCAAACCCTCGTCTCTACTAAAAATTCAAAAATTAGCCAGGCATGGTGGCGTGCACCTGTAATCCCAGCTACTTGGGATGCTGAGACACCAGAATTGCTTGAACCTGGGAAGTGGAGGTTGCATTGAGCTGAAATTGTGCCACTGCACTCCAGCGTGGTTGACAGAGCAGGACCCTGTCTTAAAAAAAAAAAAAAAAAAAAGAAGGAAAAAGAATAAAAGAATGCCAGCCTCTTATTGCTGTAGTAGTGTTTTAACAAAGAATGATAATTCACTGACCATCTATATCTGGTTATATCATGTAGACTAACTCATAATAAACAGTACTCAATAAGAATAAAGCTGTGGCCAGGCATGGTAGCTTATACCTGTAATCCCAGCACTTTGGGAGGCCGAGGCAGGTGAATCACTTGAGCCCAGGAGTTTGGGACAAGTCTGGGCAACATAGTGAAACCCCATCTCTACTAAAAATACCAAAATTAGCCAAGTGTGGTGGCACACGCCTGTAGTCCCAGCTACATCAGAAGCTGAGGCAGGAGGATCACCTGAGCTCATGAAGTTGAAGCTTCAGTGAAGTGAGATCATGCCACTTCACTCCAGCCTGGATGACAGAGTGAGACTCTGCCAAAAAAAAATAAAAATAAATAAAAATTAAAAAAGAAAGAAAGAAAGAAAGAAAAAGGCTGCGGTAGTCCTGTTTATCTCATCGGGTGTCCTTTTGTCCAGAAAGAGTGTTGGTCTCACTTCAGAGGGGGCTTGAGTATTTTGCAGATGAATGTGCCGGTTGGGCGTCTGAGAGGTTTCCTGGTGTTCTCTTCCCAATGACAGTCATTACAGCAGCAGATCACCAGCCTCCACCAAGAGCTCGGGAGACAGCAGTCGCTGTGGGCTGATATTCACAGAAAACTCCAGAGTCATATGGATGCCTTGAGGAAGCAGAACCGGGAGCTCCGAGAAGAGCTGAGAGGCCTGCAGCGGCAGCAGTGGGAAGCCGGGAAGAAACCCGCAGCGTCCCCACACGCGGGGCGAGAATCACACACTCTGGTACCAAAGGCGCATTTGTGTTTTTGTATCATTTGCGTCGTGTAAATATAGCGTCCCCGTAAAGATGTGGGCTTTGTTGCTGGGTGACGTGGTATCTCTCACGTTCCAGGTGGTGGGAGGGCTTGCTATCTTTCCATCAGCTCCATTTCCCACAAGTAAAGATTAAAGAACTGGATACATCAGGCATCTCACCTGACACTCCAGCAGACAGAAGCACAGCCGCCTCCAGGCTGCGCGTCTCACGTCTAGAATTCTAAGACAACCCATGATGTCTCAGGACAACAGCAGCAAACCCTTACTGTGGACTTTACATGGGCTAGGTAGGGAGCTTTACCATCTTACTCTCTACGACGACCCTATGAAATGGATCCTATAACTAACTCCAACATGGCCACGGGTTGGAGAATGCGGAGCTGGGATTTGAACCCAGGGTGACTCCAGAGTCAGCTCAGTGGCCCGGTGTCCTTCTGTTCATCTTCTAGGACAGCTGTGTAGAATGCAATAGAGACCTGTTGAAACGGGAAAAGTTCCCTTGTCCCCCTCCCAGGGTGTGCGAAGGGGATGTGGCTCGCTTGCTCATTGTCCCACAGCTCAAACCTCTAGGGGAGCGTAGAGACGGGCAGCTGTGCAGCTCCAACCCCACGGCAGTGTCTAGGGGTGAATGTTTACAGCTGAAGCCCCAGTGGGCGTGTGTCACAGGGCGTTCTTTCAGTTTAGCTCTCTGTAGGCAGCTTGTGTTTAGCAGCTCAGTTAGACCCTCTGCACATCACTAGGACGGAGGGCTTTCTGTATCCTGGGTTCCTGCCTCGGTGTACCTGAAAAATCAGATCACATGTGGGCTTGGAGGATGGGTGCAAGGTTTTTTATTGGGTGATGGTAGCTCTCAGCAGACAGGGGAGCCAGAACCGAGATGGAGTGGGAAGGTGGTTTTCACCTGGAGTTGGGCAGCCCAGCCGCCGGGCTCTCCTCTGACTGCCCTGATCAATCTCCCTGTCATTCTGACAGTCAATGGCTTGCTGATGTCTGCCAGTGTGTTCCTCTCGATGCCAGCCACTTGTGTCTCTGCCCACTAGGGTCTCGGGGTCTTCACAGGCACAAGATGGGAGTGTGGCAGGCCAGGGTGGTCTTGGAAATGCTACATTTGGGCACGACAGCAGAAATGCCTAGGTCCCTGGGCACAGGCCTGGGGGTGGAGCCCTAGCCAGGGACCTGCCCTTCTCTACCCAGGACTTTCCTGCGCCCGTCCCATATCACCGCCCTGCTCTATCCCAAAGGAAGAACCAGCATTCTCATGCTGAAATAGTCGGTGCCTCCCAGCACCCACCTGCCTTTATAGAACACTGAGCTTTCGAGTTTGATCACACGGCTCAAAGACCGAGCCTAAGAGAGTGTGAATGTGGCCAGTGTTATCACTGCCTTGTCTGGGTTCTGTCTCCCGCACATGGGTGTAAACAACTTGAATCATTAAAATTATATGTACAGGTCAGGACACGCGGAACCACGTGAACACCCTCCAAATGTAAGTGGGGATATTTCTCAGTGGGTTAAGAAAAGTACCAACGTTTCCTATCTGCACTTATTGCGTGAACTTTTAAATCGGTACTTCCAGGACTTAGAATGTTTCCGATATGACACAGTGATTACAACACACACGTGTGCACACACACATGCACACACACACAGAGGCACCCACAGAATACATTCCAGAGGAGCCTGCTCTGTGGTCGGTTCTCCCAGCATGGCAAGAACAGCCACAAATTCCTCTACAAGAAATTACGGGAAATCTTGGAAGTCATTCCCAGTCTTCGGGAGCTCTGCGAGAGCTTTGTTTCCGTGGAGATGGCTTCTGCTGCCTCAGAAAGAAAGCGGGTTTATCCTCTCAACACAGCAAAGTGCCCAGTCCTTCTGCCGAACCACGAGCGGAAGCCGGGCAGGCTGTTCCTCCGTCAGAGGTAGAGAGGGAGAAATTGCCACAAATACTGGCCGGGATTGTCCACCTTCTGTGAGGAGAACCCATAAGACCCACAGGGATTTTTCCCTGCATATACTGTATGCCAGTTCCTAAAAAATAGTATCTACTGCCCCATTTGGGTCATTGTATGTTGGTCGAAATGTTACCGTAACAGTAACCCCAAGAGCCAATGAAGTCTCGTCCAGTCTTCACACTCCCTACAGCTTCCATTGTTCTCTTATTTCGAGGTTAGAGCTTGGGGAATTTCCAAACTTTTTTTTTGATTCTGTGCATTGTACTGGTCACCATGGGGCTATTTATAGGAAGAGGATCTATGCTCACAAGAGCATACCTGATTTGAAGAAAGGACGGGATATGTGAATTCCACACTTCAAATTTGCGTAGGTGTATCTGTGTGTAGTCGCAGTTTTAGGGAGTGAGCATCTAAAAGGCTGAGGCATGAGCACCCTCGGAACGCGGGCACGGCTGTGTGGGTGAGCCACTCTGGATCTGGTATTAAGGGTTCGTTCATAGCAACCCTCTCCCCTTCTCACTCCCTCCTCCTCCTCAGAGGGGAGAGCGGGGAATAATTAAACATTCCAGACCTAACACACCTCCTCCCACCTGCAGGATCACGCTGTTCCAGGTCAGTCTGCTGATAACAGGGGAAGTTGGGAATTTGCATTTCGAATCTTAGACAAGTTGTAGAGACAACACTAGAAGGAGCATCACATTTTCCTCCTCCGTTGCCACATTCCCCGTTGAAGACACATGAGCCTGAAGGAAGATATGTTGGGTATTGATCATTCTGTAGCCTTTGGGATCCTGTGATCAATTTGAAACAAGGAACCACAATAAGAAACACAAAGCAAATACGGGCTCCACAAAGCTTCCTTCACAAACGTTGGGTGAGGGTTTCTGTTCTTATCAACATGTTAGGGGAAAAACCCAGGCCAAGTCCCCCCACCTCGTACCCTAATTTTTTCTAGGACATTCCAATTATTTTGGATTTTATTAAAATTTGAATTTATCTTACCTTTGAAAATATGAACATTTTCCCCGCATTTTGTCTTTTAGGCATTGGAACCTGCTTTTGGAAAAATTTCACATCTGTCAGCTGATGAAGACACAACGCCCAAATACGCTGGCCGCAAGAGTCAGAGTGCCACTCTCCTGGGACAAAGATGGTCATCTAACCACTTAGCTCCTCCAAAGGTGACCCTTCGTGCTTATCGTCTGTAAAGAGCAGCAGAGCTTCTGTACCCAAACACACACATCCCATCAGCTCCTCACCACACAGTTTCACCTCCCTGGGGGAGCATGGTGCTCCCTGGAGTCCTGCGTTTTTCCAAGGACATGGGTGCATGCCTTTCAAACAAGATCCTAAACCACAGCACTTCCTGCTGTAGGGCAGATTCCAAGTCCTGCCAGCTGCTTCCCTCTGAGCTCACTCACGGCAGCAAATGTCTGGCTGGGGCCGAGTGGACTCGGGGGCTTTGTTTCCGTGGGTGCCACCCACGGAGGTGATATGTGTGGCGCTCTCGCCACATGCCATGGCCCGTGCGTCTGGGGGCTCGCAGCCTCCCACGATCCCTGCTTCTGCACTGCGGTCTTGCACCTGCTGCTTGTCAGCGTGGACTCCTCTGAACAGGGGCTGTGCCGCTTGCTTGGGGGCCACAGTGCAGGATGCTATTTTGTCTCCAACACATTTTTCCTTGTTAAAATTAGCTCCTCTTTAGAACCTTCTGCTGGCCAGTGTGTCTCTTCCCATCCCAGCTTTGTGTCACCCTCACACTCGGGAGGCAAATCTCGTGAGTCCTGAGCCAGCAACTGATACTGGGTCGATGTGGATGGAGAAGACTGCCCCCCCAACTCCTGAAGATGATTTATCCCCTCGCTTCTTTCCCAAAGCAACTGCTGAGCAGATAACACTTTATTCCCTGAAGGAAGATCAGAAATCTACTCCAAGCATTTGTCACAAGTAGGAAAATAGTCCTTTCAGATCCTATGAGTACAAAACATCGAAAGTCCCAGGACGTACTGCATAGGTCCAGCCTCCTGTGAGACACGGACTTCTCTCACGCTTCTGCATTGACCTGAGTTAATCACACGCGTGCTGGACAATGTACGAGTAAATAGATAACTGAATGGGTGGCTTATCCACGCCTCCAAACCCTGAATTTTTAAGCAGCAGAAAAGGTAGAACATTATTTTCATTATGCATTTTTGAATTGAGTTTCAAGTACTTTATTTCACTGTTGACTATTCTACAACGTCAGCCATACCGTCCCTGAATTCCTCAAGAGCGTGGCTGTAAAATGGGGAATGAGAGCGTGGATGCCTCATGTGTCCTTCTGTAGGAAGCGGGGGTAGAATCCTCTAGATTCTGTGGCAGCTGGTGTGATGTGTTGCTCAACATTTTAAAATAATATGATGGTTATTAATGCAACCACATTTATTTTCAGCCAATGAGTTTAAAGACAGAAAGAATTAACTCGGGGAAAACACCACCACAGGAAGATAGAGAGAAAAGTCCTCCCGGGAGACGTCAAGACAGAAGTCCAGCACCCACTGGAAGGCCGACTCCCGGTGCAGAAAGACGGGGGGTGTCTGAAGACGGAAAGGTGACCTCGGAAACCTGGGTCACTCTACACTGGCAGCATGGAAAATTCAGATTCAGATGAAGTTCCACTTAGGTCTCATAAGAGTACTCAATTTGTTATTCGAAATAGACCTAGTAATTTATTAACCTAATTATGTTTCTATAGATAAAACTTTGAATTTCTGCAGACATGTCTTTAATGCTATAAAAGCAAATAAATTGAATTGGGTTTTAAAAAGCAAACAACTTGAATTGGGTTTTAAAAATCAATTACTTTCCCGAGCTCCGTAATTGGTATATTTCTGCAGAGTCTTTAAAAGAATTGATCTACCTTGTAGTGCTGAGCTCAGGGCTGTTGGGTGAGCCCTGGGGTCTTGCTGGAAATTGTGGATGGCTGAAGATGGCTTCGTGCTCCCAGCCTTTGGGCTCGAGGCATTGCCGGCTGCAGGGACCTTGTGACAAGGGGGGCCTCTGACTGTCTTTGCCCCAGATTATGCATCCATCTTCCCGAAGTCCGCAAAACTCCGGTGGCAGAAAATCACCAGTGCAGGCTTCCCAGGCCACCACGCTGCAGGAGCAGACGGCAGCAGCCAGAGGAGCTGGTGAGCAGGGTCGAGGGCTCCTAACTGTTTCCATGCTTCCTGTAAAGTGGGGGGCTTTCTTGTGGATACGCGTGAGCAGAACATCTTACTACGGCAAGGACATGTCCTTCATGGAGCTGCCTAATTTCTGACCACTTTTGTCCGATTCCCTGGTTGGGTCCTCACCTGGGAGTCTTGCCGACACCCCTAGCCCTCCACCCCACACACAGCCCACATGCCGGTCTCCAGGGGCCGTGGCTGGAGATTCCGAATCCTACCGGCCACTTCCCCTGAGTACACTCCCAGCTGAAGGCGTCTGGCTGGGCCTGGGCGGACTCGGGGGCTTTGTTCCCTTTTCTCCGTTTGCCCGCCCATGGCGTTGCTGCCACGCTGATGGAGCGCCCTCTCATCCGGCACCTGCCCGGCCTCTTTCCTGAGCCCAGCTCTGTCCATGCAGATGTGGGTGCTTTCTGCATTGGGGGTCCCACCGGGAGGAGCCAACAGTACCCCTGGTAGAGTTGGGAAAGAACTCCTTCCTCACGTTACTGCCAGAAAATGACCATAGCAGCTTCACAAACCCCGCAGGAACCTGTCTTCCTAAAGAAATGGAGCCCATGAGGTGGCCGAGCCTCAGGTGTGGTCCTTATGCACAGCACAGCCCAAGCCTGTGGGCACAACTCGCCCTGGGCTGCCTGGCACCTGGACTCTTTCCTATCCTCGGCCCAGGCCTGTGTGGCCCTGTAGGGCCAAACCCGACACTGTCTTCCTCCTGGGTCCGCTCCCTGGGCCTCCTGCACCCCAGACTGCTTCATGGCCTCTGCAGGGAGCTTCACAGAGGTGAGACTGGTGCCATCTGTCTGCTTCAGACCACCCCAGGCTCTGCGTACCCTCACAGTCCCCTCTGCGCTCCTCTACGGGGTGGGGAAGCCCTTCCCATCAGGTCAGCACCAGCCTGGCCACCTTGTTTCTGCTGCCCCCTCCTCTTCAGGCCCCCAGACCAGACTTTAGTTACTTGCTGCTGCCGGGCAGAACTGGAGGCCTTGTCTTGCACAACCTCCACAACCTCCAGGCATCATCTCAGCTGACAGTGACGCCATCCTGGGGAAGACCCCCCGGATCCCGGGCTCTCCTGGAAGCCTGTGATGCTCCTTCACCACAGCCCCTGTCCCTTCATAGGTCCCATAAGCCAGTGGTGCAGGGATCTGGCCTTTCTCTCCTGTGTCTGCCTCCTGCAGAACCATGAGCAGCTTCAGGGCCGAGGCAGTGCCTTTCCATCCGTGAATCTCCTGAGCCATCAGAATACTCGAGAGAGAGTGATGCCCAAGAAATACTGACTGAGTGTATTCATGAAAGAATTAATGTTCTTACAGGATCACTTGTTGTTGAACTGACCTGACATGTGTATAGTGATCTCATGAACAAGAGGGAAGCTGTGCATCCATTCACTTCAATTGGATTTAGCAATCGCAGTAGGATAATGATATTTCCACAATGTATATGCTCTGTCCCTTTAAATTTAACTTTTTGCTTTTTAGACAGAAGCTCATCAGTCTTAGGGAGTTCTGAAGGCGGATTTCTCAGCCGCGTTCAAGCTGACGAGTTCGCCAGTTCTGCCCCAGACAGTGCAGAGCGGCAGGTAGGTGGCTGAGTGGCTTCTGTGAGGGCGGCCCACCCGGTTCCCCTCAGGGAGACCTGAGAAGGTGACCTTTTCGTCCTGGGGAAGTGAGATTCGGAGCCGGTGTCATGAGATGGTTGCATCTTCCCATCTTCTCAACAAGAACAGAAAATTAAGATGATTCCAAATGTCTCTTTATTTCCTGAAGTTCAGCCTTTCAAACAGAGACTTTTTTTTATAGATTTAAGTTGGTTGCATTTAGCACAAACAAGATTAATGTTTTTTATGACTTAAGAGTTCCCCTAGTCAGAGTTTCATTTTTTATCATTTTGATTTACAGTTCTCAGTTGACATTAATAGACTCGAAGGCAAGAATAGCAAACATACTTCTAAGCCCTAGCTAGGGGCCGACTTGTAACATGCTATATTTTACAAAAAAAAAAAGTCAATAAAATAAAATTATTTTCTCTACGCCAGGAAATTTGGGCTGTGAACTTACGTATGATGTAAAACTAGGCACCTGGCGGGGAAGTCTCAGAACACAGGTCCCGCTTGTTTTCTGTTCTCCTGCGAAAAGCCCACATTCTGTTCTGCCCTCTCCGACGTCTTCAGTGGGGGGACGAGTGGGAATATTTTTCTTGGGATTTTATTTTGTTTGGGGATCCAGCTAATGAGTTCACCTGGAAGCCTCCGGGCTAATGATCTACATTGAGAAGCAGTGCAGCAGCCATGGCAGGTGGTGTCTCTGTGTGGTGTTTGTATCAGGTGTTAAATGTGGCAGTTGTCATTGTGGCCACCCTGACTCCAGACCAAACATACAAGTGGGAGATAAGCACTTTAATAAAACACAAAACATGGTCCAAAGTCCCGGTGCTGACTGTCCGGGGCTCAGCCGCGCCCACTGACTTAGAGGCAGAGGCTGCAAAATGCCAGGGCAAGGTGCATTTCTCCCACCTCATACTGCAGTGTTCATGGAGACCACGGGAGATTAGGATTATGCTCTTTCTGCAGAATCTTCCTGTAAACCCACCATCTTCCCTGGAAATAGCACAGGCCATGGACACTAAGATGAAAAAGGAGGAAGTACAGGAAGAAAAACGACATCCAAAGGGCAAGGCAGATGACTGCCGGCGGTCCGGTTTCCCGAGTGAATTTCCAGGAGCTCTGCACGCCGCTCCCTCCAGACAGGACATGGGGCCCTGACCTGGAGGCCAGGCGTTTCTAGCATTGTTGACTGCCAGTTTATTCCCAGTAAATAAAGCAATACGCTTTTCAGGAGGAAGATTTGTTTTAAATACTTAAAAAAAAACCCAAAACTATAGCCTCAAATATCTTCCAGCCACCACATTTTAGCCCTTGAGGAGAGCTCAGTTCCGGAAGGACGCGTCAAGGTGGCGGTGGTCGGCATTGACTCAGGAAGGGGTGGGAAGAGGCACCTGCTGCGGCTGCGGCTGCGGCTACAGTGTTTTGTGAGCTCCGAGGAGACCCAGTCCTGCCTGGGGCAGCACATCATCGCTGCTTCTTCAGCTCAACAGTTCGTTCATCTCACGCCTCTTGCTGGCCTGTTAGAAACTGGGAGTCGGCCTCAGGCTAGCTTTGCTGAGGGAACTCTGCCTCAGTAAAAGCGAATTCATGTCTTGCAAGCGGGTAAAGCATTTGGATAAATGAACAACAGGGAATGCTACTTGCAGTAACAGTTTGAATTCACTGAAATGCTTTTGTCTTTAGCGCAGTGGTTGTAGTGGTTTGTCAGGGGAGAAGGAAACCCACATCATTTGAGCACCTGACCTTGCCATCCCCGTAGGCAGGTCCATGAGACATAAGTGATGCTCCTCCTTGGCTAAGTGCATGGAGGAACCAATCGCTGAAGCTCATGAAACCACGAAGATGAGGACACAAGAACTAGGTAACGCGCTGTGCCCTCTGCTAGCGCGATCCTTCCTTTCTCCCCACAACCAGCGGTCACCCACCTCTGCCTGCCCCTATGTCTCTGGCTCCCCCACCCTCCCTCCCAGGTCTTCAGCACTTTCCTCTTCTCGTGACTCATCTTGCATCTACTTCTTGTGTATCTTGCATTGGATATGCCAAAGTTCTTTCCTTTTTTGTGTTTTCTTTCTTTTAATAATATAAACTCCAAAATAGATTGTTTGATTCTTTTCATGTGGAACATTTAAAATATTATTTGTGCTTTATTACTTCTGAGAGTAATTGATTCTTTAAACATTGTCGGAGCTGTTAGTGTTGGTTAAAAGTTCATCTTCAGATACGGAACTGAACACAGCCCTGCTTCATTCACCGAGTTGGTTTGGGAGCAGGTGGAGTCATCTTAGTTCAAACCCCATCAAACAGGAGGCTGTTGTCCCGGCCAGCAGGTGGCGCACACCGTCAAGGTTTGTTTGGTGGATGGTTGAAGACAGTTTAAGAAGCCCAGCATTCGCTTCTATTCCCTTTGTATTTTCTCAGCTGAATTAACACCTATATTTCTGAGCTATGGTTAAGAGGGACAGTGTGACATAAATAACAAAAACACATTTTGCCATTTGGAATTTTCACATGCACTTATCTTAACTCCCCAGATCTTGAGATTATTTCTCTCAGATATTTTCTTTTGCTAATCTTTACATGAGTAATATTTTCAATGTGAAGACAAAGATATTCTTTCTACATTCCTTGTCCAGCATTATGCACATGAGGTTATATAATATTTGCTGATAGTTAATTAAAATCAACACATCTTTGGGATGGGCCGTAGGAGCGTAGAGGTAAGGAGATTGGGATGAAAAGGAAAGAAAAAGCTTCCAAGAGTAATTTTTACGTAGTAATTACCACAATTCCCATGGCCCAGGACTCTAAACTCACCAAGTCAGCGGCCGTGGAAGATCTAGACTGATGGCCACTGTGGGACACGAGCTTATGAAAGACGAATGTTGGTGGGACAGATCATAGCACTTATTCATTACTGATAACCACATTCGGGGATGGGAATTTGGACCTGATCTACTCAGTCAGTACAATTTTGGGGGAAATATCACAGCCAGTGTCGAGAATGCCATGTAGGCGATAATCATATGATAATTCTGAATTGGAGAAAAAATAATGAAACCACAATAATCAGGCTTTACATCATTTTTCATCTTGGAGCTTTTGTGTTTCCATAAAGGTAGAACAGGCACTGAGCGAAGGTTGTGCCATCACCACCTTCCCCGAGGCCAGCCAGAAGGAGCCGAGCATGGATAAGAAGGCGACCATCATCCGGTTTTCTTTTATTTATTTATTTATTTATTATAATTTAAGTTCTAGGGTACATGTGCACAATGTGCAGGTTTGTTACATATGTATACATGTGCCATGTTGGTGTCCTGCTCCCATTAACTCGTCATTTACATTAGGTATATCTCCTAATGCTATCCTTCCCCCCTCCCCCCTCCCCACGACAGGCCTGGGTGTCTGATGTTCCCCTTCCTGTGTCCAAGTGTTCTCATTGTTCAATTCCCACCTCTGAGTGAGAACACATCATCCGGTTTTCTAATGGTGACGTGAAGAAGATCAAACCCAGTCGGAGAGTGGTGTGTACAATGGATCTTTTTTGAAAAAAGATCTGTCTTTTTTTAAAAGAAATCAAAACTAACTCAGTTATTAGGAACGATTTTGCACATCTGTACCCCCTTTCCTCTGGGTGTTCAGGATGGGTTGGTGGGGACGAGCAGAGCACAGGCTGTGGAGGCGGGCAAGGCTCTCTATGAGCCAGGCTGTTCTGCTTCCTCGGTGCACTCAGGCAAGTGAGACCCTGTTGTCAAGACCCTCCGATCTGCACGGTGACACAAGAGTGCACCAGCACCCCTCCTGGCTCTGAGTTCAGTCATTGTTTTCAGCTTTTCTAAGCCTCTGCAAAATGTGGCTGATAATTAGGACCTAAGTCAAAAGATGGTTATGAAAGTTAAGTAACATAGTCCATTAAATAATGTCTCTTCTGTAGAACTCTCTAGAAACACAGTGGTAAACACTTAGTACATGTGCATTGATTGTAGAACTAGCATTAGTATTGCAACAAAGTTAGGCAGAGTCAGGAGCTAATCCCTGGTACAAGCTGGAGGTGAGATCCAGGGAGACGATTTTTACAGCCGGGAGGAGGCACTGGGCCCGGCAGCCACCTTGCAGGTGGAGCAGAAAGCATGGACTTGGGCTTCACGGGCTCAGCTGACTGGCAGCTCTGCCAGACCAGCTGTGCCAACACCAGCCAATTAATTCATCTCATCAAGCCTCAATTTCTGCATTAAAAAAATCAGGAAATATTCCCAGGTCTGGTTCTCAACTGGGGGCAATTATTCCCCCTGCCTTGAGGACATTCGCAATGTCTGGAGACATATTTGGTTGTCACAACTGGGGGTGGTGGGGGTGCTGCTGGCATCTAGATAGTGGGGCCCGGGGATGCTGCTGAACATCCCAATGCCAAGGACACCCCCCAACCCCACAGAGTTATCCTGCCCAAACTGACAATAGTTCTGAGGCTGGGAAAGCCCCCTGTAGGTTGTCATAAGGACCAAAGTTATGCCATGCATATATTGCTTGGCACCCATCAAGTACTCAGCAGCTGACAGCTGCTGTTACCTTGACGATCATCACTGGTAAAAGCCGATGATGTGTTTGTGGAAGAAAGCCACAGATCACAGTACCTGGGGGCCCACTTGATGCTGAGGAGCTGTGAGGATGCTGTGACCCCCTGGTTCAAACTACATGTCTCTGTGTGTCTAGGGATCATGTATGGAAAACACAGATGCTGAGCAATCTGGAGGTCTTCTAGGCAAGGTCTCCAGGGTGGCAGTATTTTTGTCCAGATAATTCAGGGTATATAACTCGATTCTAACTTAAGAAAATTTGGATAATTTCCAAAACCGATTATAAATAAGGTGAGATAAGGGAGGTCAGGGCAGGGTTTGTAGTGCATTGAGAATAGTCTCTTAGTACCCACACATTACCAAATTGTATTCTAAACATTTCCTTCTTTAGAATGATCAGTTTCCCTGTTGTTAGCCAAGCTTTGGGTACAAATGTAGAGGCACAGGGTCCAGGAGTTCTGAAAGACTGCAGAGCGCGCCTCTGTTTTTTGTGTTACTTGCTTTAATGAGAGGCGCCTGCTTGTGGCTCTGTGATTTTATCCCAGCGAAGCCTCTTGACCCTTCCTGAGGGTGGATGTTAGAAGCCCCGAGCGTGGACACAGGCGTGGTGTGCCCACCACGTGCTCTTCCACCGACCTGAACTAACTTGCATGCTCCCTTTTTTGCAGGGAAATGCAGACAAAGAATTTGGATGACCCCCTTTAGACGGTGGCCTGTGTTACGCCACTGCCCAGTGGAGGAATCTGTGATACTGATCTCATAGCCTGCCCCAGCCTTTCATTGTGAGGTCTAGCTTTCCGTCACTTTGGAGTAGGAAATAGCCGTTTCTTAGCCAGATGTGGGGGTGTAGGGAGGCAGAGTGTGACAATATAAGAATTGATGCGGTGAGGATGAATCAGCGGGAGAGAACAGGGCCTGGCACAGGCCTTGGAAGGACATCCTCCTATTCTGACCTTCTGCGTGGTCAGAGGGAATGGCCACTGCAGGCCAGCGAGTGTGCACCTCCCCAGGTCTCCTGAGGGCACCTCTGTTCCCCTCAGACCTCTCTGGTCTCCAAAGGGAACCCTGACCCCAGCGAGGAGCCTGAGCTTGGACTTGATGATTATTGGGATGATGCAGAATTGAGAATTTGTGGCTTTCTTCTGACATTTGGACAAATTTCCCCCATGTGAAAAAAATGCCTTTAAAATAATGGCACGGAAATAGTCCCTTCGACTTCAGTGTCATGGTTTCTCTAAATAAGTCACCTCTCCTATTCTCTCCTGCCTTCTCTCAGCCTTTCTTTGACGGGCAGCAATGCTGTTGCTATGATAGATGGCAGACATGCAGTGACACACCGGGGTCCCAGAGCTCAGGAGAGACTGGATGCCTGTCCTCTGTGGTCCCACTTCAAAAGAAACTTGTACATCCTACAGTTTTCTAGTTCTGGACCCTTAATTTTTTAATAATTCCCCCTTCCCTACTTATAGTCAAGGCTCGCTTGACCATAAGGAATGTCCCCTCCCCTCCCGGATGACTGTCCTCTTCCAAAGCAGCTCCTTCCCCTCTTCTTTTCCCCACTTTATTGGAAACCAGAGGGGGTCACAATGATGGGAAACTTCACAGTAACGTGACAATTCAAGAGGCACAACCCAGGGAGTGTTTCTGTTGTTTGGAGCTGCTGGGAGACCCTTGGTCTCTGAGCTGTGGGGTTTGGGTCTTGGGGCTCCCCACTGATATTCACTATGCTGGACCTGGACCTCCTGCAGGCCCCCAAGGCTGCCAGGCCCAGCAAACTCTAGCTCAGAGCCCACCAGGTGAAGGACCGGGAACTCCACCTCGGTCCAGTCCTCTCTCCCACGAGCCTAGAGCCACAGTGTCTTGACTTTTGGGCTTGGGTGACAAGCCCTCCCCCCATGCCCCCTTGCTGTGGAGGGTGCCCATGGACAAGGTCAGCCCACTCCCACCTGCTGGGACGGTGCTTTTACCCACCCGCAGGAAGGACTTTACTAGATTAAATCCAGGTTCAAAATGATAACATAGACTGCCTCCCAACGTAGGTGTTTCTGGAGCTTACAGATTTACTATCACGCAAATGCTCAGACAATGCGCACGACCTACCCTGACGGTTTGGAAGTTGTGCAGTTTCCTAACAAGCAGACAGGTGAATGACATCACCAGGAACCCGCGTGGGTAGGTGCCTTTGCATGTCAGTGTGTAGAGGTGTGGAGACTTGCAGGTTAGCAGATACCTGAGCCCTGTAGGCAAGTTCCCCATAGCAGCAGCTGTCCAGATAATTTGGGGCTTACCCTGCTTAATGCATGTTTTCCTGGTTCTTATCCAAGAGCTGTGAGCTTGCAGCTTCCATGCGGGTGTGTAAGTGCACCCAGGTCTGGATGCCTCTGTAAACGCCGTCAGACCTCAGTCAGGGGCTTGTGTTTCAGCTTTTCAGGTGGGCCTGGCTACATGGCTCGAGCAACAACCAAGATAAATGGGTGTTACTTATTCGCACAGCCCGGTCAGCTCATTGTCCTAAAAGCCACCACATTCTTTTCCAAAGTCTCGCCTGGACTCTAAAATGCCATCCTCTGGGTAACCCCTGGGTCTCTTGGGAACTGGGCTGCACAGCAGGAGGTGAGCGGAGGACAAGCCAGGGAAACTTTATCTGTATTTACAGCCACTCCCCATGGATCCATTATACCTGAGCTCCGCCGCCTTCAGATCAGTGGCAGCATTTGATCCTCACAGGAGCGCAAACCCTACTGTGAACTGCGCACGCAAGGGATCTAGATGCGTGCTCCTTGTGAGAATCTAATGCCTGATGATCTGTCACTGCCTCCCTTCACCCCCAGATGGGACCCTCTAGTTGCAGGGAAAAAAGCTCAGGGTGGCTGGACACAGTGACTCACGCCTGTAATCCCAGCACTTTGGGAGGCCAAGGCAGGCCGATCACAAGGTGAGGAGTTTGAGACCAGCCTGGCCAACATAGTGAAACCCCATCTCTTCTAAAAAAACAAAAAATACAAAAATTAGCCAGGTGTGGTGGCAGGCACCTGTAATCTTAGCTACTCGGGAGGCTGAGGCAGGATAATCGCTTGAACCTGGGAGGCGGAGGTTGCAGTGAGCCAAGATCGTGCCATTGCACTCCAGCCCGGGTTACAGTGTGAGACTTCATCTCAAAAAAAAAAAACCTCAGGGCTCCTACTTGTTCTACATTGTGGTGAGTTGCATAATTATTTCATTATGATGTAATAATAATAGAAATAAAGTGCACAGTAAATTTAGTGCAGTGGAATCATACAATCTTCCCACAACCCACACCCATGCCAGTCCGTGGAAAAATTGTCTTCCACAAAACTGGTCCCTAGTGCCAAAAAGGTTGGGGACCACTGCACTAGATAATGAGAGAACTGTGTTAAAAATATCCCAGTTTGGGCCAGGCGCAGTGACTCACACCTGCAATCCCAGCACTTTGAGAGGCTGAGGTGGGCGGATCACCTGAGGTCAGGAGTTCGAGATTAGCCTGGCCAACATGGTGAAACTCTGTCTCTACTAAAAATACAAAAATTAGCTGGATGCAGTGGCGGGCACCTGTAATCCCAGCTTCTCAGGAGGCTGAGGTTGGACAATCGCTTGAACCCAGGAGGCAGATGTTGCAGTGATCCCATATCACTGCATTCCAGCCTGGACGCAGAGCAAGACTCCATCTCAAAAAAAAAAAAAAAAAAAAAACCAAAAAAACCCTAGTTTGGTTATGAATTTACTAATATTTATTTGTAATTTCTTTTAGTTAGTTAATATATGCCTGGTATATCTGTTTCTATTCTTTCTTTTGCTATTTTTAAATCTTTACCTTTAAATACGATCTTATAAGAAACAGACATTAAGAAAAATATATAATCTGAAAATAACTTTCCTTTTAACCTGAGGTTTTATTGCATAAACAGAAAATGTATCAGTGTCCTTACTGTCCTCTACAACCAAATCAAGAGTCTTTTAGTCCGAATTCCCCTCCCTAATCTTTCACGCCATTGTGTTGGCTTCTGCCAGGATTTTTACTCTAACTTGATTTTCACCCTCAGTATTAGTTATGATTATTACCGTGGTGTTTATGTAACCAGTGTTTACTTTAAACTTTCTAAATTTATGCAGAATTTGGGGCTCTTCTTTCTTATATTTTGGGCCTTTCTTCTTGGCACAATTTCCTTCTACTTGACGAGCATGAGGAGACGGGGGCAATCAGCCCTTTTGGCTCATCTGAAAATGTCCTTTGTTTTGCCTTGTTCATGAGTGGTCGTTCGTCCTGATGCACCTTCTGACCCCTCATCCCATAGCTATTACATGGCCACCCTGTGGCAGGCATTGTTTTAGGGCTAGGGATACAGCAGTGAGCAAATTTGTGAAAAGTTCTTATTTCATGACATTTTATTGGAGGGAAGCATAAAATAATCAGGTAAAAATAAATATCAATATAAAAATCAGTCTCTATGAAAAGCTACAGAGAAAAACAAGAGGGTAGAAAGCAGGGAGGGAAGGTGCTGGGCTGCTGCCCTAGGGGGCCATCTGTAGGCCGTTGAGGAGGGCCTCACTGAGGGGGGATATTTTAGGGAGCCATGAGTGACGTGAGAGAGGGAGCTGTGTGCGTGTCAGGAAGAACATTCTAGAGTGAGAAAGAGCCGTGAAAAGTGTGTGGTGTGTCTGAGGAAGAGCAAGGAGGCCGGTGTGGCAGGGGTACAGGAGATGAGGTCAAAGTGCCAGGACCAGGCAGTGTAGACCATTGTGGAGAAGCCACTGGAGAGTATTGAGCAATGGAATGACAGTGATTTTTCTGAGCGTGTTGAGGACTTTATTCCACTCCCACACGGTGTCTGCTGGAGGATCTGACGGTGGACTAATTTCTTCCTTCGAACGTGATTTTTTTTTTTACTTGCTGCTTTTAAGGACTCTTCTGTCTCCAGTTACATTATGGTATGTCTAGTTATGGATTTAATTTTGTTCATTGTATTGGGGATTTGTTGTGCTTTTTTTTTTTTTTGAGACAGAGTCTCGCTCTGTTGCCCAGGCTGGAGTGCAGTGGCGTGATCTCAGCTCACTGCAACTTCTGCCTCCCCAGTTCAAGTGATTCTCCTGCCTCAGCCTCCCAGGTAGCTGGGACTACAGGTGTGTGCCACCATGCCTAGTTAATTTTTTGTATTTTTAGTAGAGAAGGAGTTTCACCACATTAGCCAGGATGGTCTTGATCTCCTGATCTCGTGATCCGCCCGCCTCAGCCTCCGAAAGTGCTGGAATTACAGGTGTGAGCCACCGCAGCCAGCCCGTTGTGCATCTTAAATATAATCACTGTGTCTTTCATAAGCTATGGTTGCCAGATTTAGCAAATAAAAATGCAGGATGCCCAGTTGAATTTGAATTTCAGGTAAATAATAAATGATTTTTTGTACAATGCAGTATGTGGGACATACTTACACTAAAAAGTCATTTGTAGTGTATGTGAAAATTCAGATTTAACTGGGTGTCCTATATTTTATCTGGGAACCCTATCAAGTTCAGGGAAATTCACAGCTATTATCTTTATCTATCTTACCTTTCCTCCACATCCGATTATAGCTGCATGACACCACCTCATTCTAGCGTCTTTCCATTTTCACATATTATATTTTCTTGTTATCATCTGGGTAAATTATTTATCTATTTCCTCAGTTTTCTCTTCAGCTGAGTATTATGTGCTATTTAATACATCATTTTAGCTTTAATTTTGAAGACTATATTGATTTTATTTGTTCTTTTTCAAATCCACCAAGAATTTTTTCTCTCTTTCATTTTTAATTTCCGACTTTAATTTTTAAAATATTCTACAAACATTTGCCTTGTCATCAGTTTCTGGTAGCACCACGCTTGCTGTCTCGGAGCTCCGCGTGACACTGGCTGCTGCTAGCTTGTCTCTGCTTCCAATACTTCTGGCATTTCCTCATGGTGTTGCGCTTCCTCACCTATTTCATATTTGTGCTGGCAGCTTGTGTTGGTGGCGATCCTATGGGGCCCAGTCTGGGAGATAGTATCCAGAAAGCTTTGTGTTTGCTTCTGCCAGGTGTCCCGGGGCACGACCAGCCTGGGATCACTTCACGTTAGCTTCTTAGTTTAAGGTGTCCCAGGTACAGGTAGCAGAACTGCAATTGCTAAGGGTAAATGAGGGTCACCCTGTAGTGACACATTCTTTGGAAAGAGCTCAGAGAGAGACAGCAACACTCCTTTGTGCTCTCCATCTGCCGGCAGGGAGATATTTTCTAGTTCCCTCTTTCCTTGGGGCTCTAACCTTCAGAGAGTGTCCTCTTTAAGCATGGATGCAGTTCCAATTCCCAGACAAAGCCCTTCATCCTATCCCAGCAGAGCGACTAAGGGTCAAACCTCCTGGAGACTGCAGAGGTCACCAGGGCAGCTGCAGGTCAGGTTCGAGTCTGCGTTCCAGCACCCTCTGGGATTTGTAGCCCCTTCCATGAACTTGGGTGCTCATTTCCCAGGGATTTTGTGATTTGCTTGAGCATTCCTCGGTATTTGTAGTGGATGTGTGGCTGGGATGTCTGATCTGCCCCATTGCCAGGGCAGAATCAAGGCCGCTGTGGGGCATCTGCTCCTCCGTGACACAACGGACCTCCAGATGGGCCCTTGAAGCTGCTGAGACTCACATTGTCCTGTGAATTCCTGGCTCCCACCCTTTTTCTTTTTGTCCTAATATTTCAGCCAGTGCAGCTGTGTGTCTTGTTAGAATTTTTGCCTTCACAAGCTGTCATTTAGGCTCTGACTGGGCACATAGCAGCAAAGTGGGCACTAGAGCATTTGTTTTCTTGAGTGACCTCCAGCAAACATTCGACAAAGAAAAATTACACTTGCTAGTTTGCAAAGGCCATGCTGAGCGATTGATTAATATTAACGCCAGTCTTCTGAAAAAGAAAAGTATTTATAGGTCTGTATTTTATTTTTGTTTAAAAGACCTAAAACTTTGACTGTCAGCTGGTCCATGTAGAAGGTCTCTGATCAGTTAATTTTCCAGCAGGAATTCTAAGTTCTGTTACTGTTCTTGGATATATTTATCAGACATTCAACAGTTCTGCCTATGGCTGATATTTCAAGAACAGAGTGAAACAGAAGTCCCATTGTTTCCCACTCCTTCCATTTTACAGGTGCAATTGTGTGTCTCATGCATGGTTCTTATACATTCATACAAATCAGCCAAGAGTCAGGCATTGATATGTACCAGGCAGAATTCAGTTGCTCTCAGCTGTTGACCCAAAGAAGAGCCCCCAGTTTCTGCAGGGTGTTCCATTAATATACAACCGGAAAACAATCTTTTACCATTTTGTGCTAAAAATTATTTTAAGGGGTAGAATTTTTCCTCAGTTGTCAGATTCTTCACTGTATTCATTTTGCTTAAATACAGTTTGTGGGCTGGGCATGGTGCTCACACTAGTTATCCTGGTGCTTTGGGAGGCCACAGTGGGAGGGTCTCTTGAGGCCAGGAGTTAGAGACCACCTGGGAAACATACTGGTGCTTTGGGAGGCCACAGCGGGAGGGTCTCTTGAGGCCAGGAGTTAGAGACCACCTGGGAAACATACCAAGACCCTATTCCTTCAAAAAATAAAATATTAGCTGGGCATCATGGCATGCTCTTATAGTCCTAGCTACTCGGGAGGCTGAGGCAGGAGGATCACTTGAGCTCTGAGTCTGAGGCTGCAGTGAGCCATGATCACACCATTGCACTCCAGCCTGGGTGACAGAGAGAGGCCTTGTCTCTAAATACACACACACACACACACACACACACACACAGAGACAGACACACACACACGTATATGTGTGTGTGTGTGTGTGCTGCCCCTTATCTGCCAGAAACTGCTAACAGTTGACAATACAAACGAAAAAGAAGCAAATGGATATTAAAAGAACAAATGGAGGCCATGTGTGGTGGCTCACGCTTGTAATCCCAGCACTTTGGGAGGCCGAGGTGGACAAATTACTTGAAGTCAGGAGTTCGAGACCAGCCTTGCTCACATGGTGAAACCCTGTCTCTACTAAAAATACAAAAATTAGCCAGGTGTGGTGGCGAATGCCTGTAATCCAAGCTACTCAGGAGGCTGAGGCAGGAGAATCGCTTGAACCTTGGAGGTGGAGGCTGCAATGGGCTGAGATCACACTACTGCACTCCAGCCTGGACAACAGAGAGAGACTCCATCTCAATGAAAAAAAGAACAAATGGAAACTCATCAATTAAGTTTAACTTGGCAGCTTTTCTTTTTTTCACAAACACATCAAGCAGCTGTGAATGCACCCCACATGCAGGCACTGTAATCACCTTCCTGTTCCTGTAATGAAATAGAAGCAGTGCAGCAGTATTTCAGCAGGCTCCACAGTGAGTTCCTCAGCGTCCAAGGGTTCTGTCTCCAGTACAAGGTGAAAATCACTGTTATTCATCCCTGGAGGATACCATAGAGGGTGAATTATGGCTCTTTCCTACAATTTATTATCCAGCTGAAAACTGCAAATCAATATGAAAATGTCAAGTTGAATGTTTACCATAGCAAGAGTCAAAAGCATTCAGAAGCAGAGGGCACCGACTGTGGGGTTCATAATGGAGATTTGACCTCAAACATAGGGACTCAGGGAGTCAGACAGCGTATGGGTGGGAAAGGAAACTTTCAGCCAGGGAGATCACTTGAGCAAAGTTGGGAGAATCTAAATTTTGTGCTTTAATGAGACCGAGATCATTCTGCCCAGAGCAAGATGTTCAAGTGTAAATAAAAAAATGATAAGAGCAGGTACAAAAATGCATGTTGAATACCGGTTCTTTATGGAGTGTGCCTTATCCTGTTCAGGCTGCCATAGCAAAGTGCCATAGACTGGCTGGCTTGTCAACAACGGTGTTGGGGCTGGAAGTCCATAACGAAGGTGCCGGCAGCTTCACTGTCTGGTGAGGGCTGCTGCCTGGTTCACAGACGGCATCTTCTCATTGCAGCCTCACATGGTGGAACGGGCGAGACAGCTCTCTGGGGTCCCTTTAGTAAATGTGCTGATCCCATTCACGGGGCCCCACCCTCATGACCACGCCACAGCCCAAAGGCCTCATCTCCCAACACCATTGCTTTGGGGATTAGGTTTCAACATACGAATTTGGGGAGGACACAGCATTCAGCCCATAGTAGAGCAGATCACCACAAAGTAGGTTTAAGCAGCTAAGTGACACAAGCGTCCTGGTTTGGAAATATAAATTTACTGAATTTGCAATGATAGGTGTGTATGTTGTTTACAACCGGGTTGAAACAGTGAAACACAGCAAATGTGCTCTCAGATGTTCACACAGTTTTTCTTCTTGAGTATTTTCATACAATATTGAAGTCCTTAAACTTTTATTATAAGTAGGATTGCCAGATTTAACAAATAAAGATTCAAGTCCCTCACTGAATTTGAAATATCAGATAAACAACAGTAATTTTTGGTATAAAAGTATGTTCCATGTAATATTTGAAATACACTTATGTTAAAAATTATTCATCATTTGGCCAGGTGTAGTGGCTCACGCCTGTAATCCCAGCACCCTGGGAGGCCGAAGCAGGCAGATCATCTGAAGTCAGGAGTCTGAGAGCAGCCTAGCAAACATGGTGAAACCCTGTCTCTACTAAAAATACAAAAATTAGCCAGGTGTGGTGGCGAATGCCTGTAATTCCAGCTACTCAGGAGGCTGAGGCAGGAGAATCGCTTGAACTGGGGAGGTGGAGTTTGCAGTGAGCCGAGATCATGCCATTGCACTCCAGCCTGGGCAACAGAGTGAGACTCTGTCTCAAAAAAATAATAATAATAAAAATAAATTATTCATCATTTATCTAAAATTCAAACTTCACTGGCCATTTTGTATTATACCTGGCAATCCTAGTTATAAAGCCAGATGATTAGAAAATACTCTCTGTAGCTCACGCCTGTAATCCCAGCACTTTGGGAGGCGTTGGCGGGCGGATCACAAGGTAGAGAGATCACAATCAGCCTGGCTAACACAGGGGGAAACCCCGTCTCTACTAAAAATACAAAACATTAGCCGGGCGTGGTGGCAGGCGCCTGTAGTCCCAGCTACTCGGGAGGCTGAGGCAGGAGAATGGCGTGAACCCGGGAGGCAGAGCTTGCAGTGAGCCAAGATCCTGCCACTGCCCTGCAGCCTGGGTGACAGAGTGAGACTCTGTCTCAAAAAAAAAAAAGAAAAGAAAAGAAAAGGAAAGAAAATACTCTCTATAAATCTCATGAATATTTTATAGATTATTTGCATAGAACATGTTTCTAAACAGATTCAATGTAACATATACTGAAAAACTGCATTCTGCAGAAAAATTCTACCCCAATGGCTCCAAAGAAATCGTGTTTCCCGACGGGACGGTGGAACATCTCAAGGATGGACAGGAAGAGACCTTATTTCCTGATGGGACAATCGTAAGGGTGGAAAGGTCAGTAATGTCAGACAATGCGAATTCGAAACATCCCCAGTTTTTGTTTGTGTATTTAATAATTTCTTTATATTAATTTAGATTTTTGCAAACATTTAAGTGCTTGTATAAAAAAAAAGAAAATAATGTCATTGACTCTAGAAGTTTTGTCTTATGGCCTTGATTTGAATCCCTTTCTACAGACTGTGGGTTTCAAATGGGCTTTTAGGTATTTACTTCACCAACATTAGCTTCGTTTGAATTATAACCGTAAAAATCACTCCAGTCTTCAGTGCTCACCTCAGACCATGTGGTCTAGAAGCCCGAGTCTATTGCAGAACATGTGCAAGCAAATGTTTAAGGCACACCAAGGAAGAGCTCATCAGAGCTGCTATTTCAATGCTAGTTTGTGCAGAAAGTAAAGATCCACTCAGCTGCCCGAGGGAGAGTGTGGGAAGTTGTTTTACACCTTCCCTTTCTTTCCTGATATCAAAGTGAACACGGAGCGCTGTGGGCTGTGTCTCCTCGCTGTCTCGCCTCCACCCTTTCTCTGAGATCTGAGGTCTCCCGCTCTCACCATTTCTCCCCTGGGCAATTACAATAGACTCCCCCAGCTTCCTCACAGCAGTCAGAACCTTCCCTGTCACCTCCGGGGCCACTTTTCTGAAATGATTCAATGTGTGTCTCTGTCACTCCCTGTGTCAACCCTGCCATCCCTCTCACCATCAGAGCCAGCTGTCAGCACAGGCTTCAGCCTGCAGGTGAGCAGATGCGGCTGACCTCCCGCCCTGCCTCCTGGCCCTCCCCACCTGCCCTCTCTCACCCACACCGAGTTTCTGCCGATTCCCTGAGCCCCCCGTGCACCTTTCCTGCCCCTGCCCGTGGCCTTCTGCACCCTCATCTAACGAGATTTGGAAGGAGGGCTCCAGACCCGGGTGGGGGCATTATTCTGTGCGCCCCCAACCCCCACTGGCCTCCACCCTGGCACAGGCCGCCTTACCATGTGTTTCTCCTCTCAGGAACGGCGACAAAACCATTGTGCTCAGCAACGGGCAGAAAGAAATCCACACAGCCCGGTTCAAGAGGAGGGAGTACCCGGATGGCACCGTCAAGACTGTGTATTGCAGCGGCTGTCAGGAAACCAAGTATGCCTCCGGGAGGGTTAAGATCAAAGATGAAGCTGGAAATGTCGTCCTGGACGAGAAGCAGATGAGCCCTCAACACGCAGCATCACATGGGAAATGCCAATTGCAGATTTTTGCTAAAACAGACAAAAACTAATAACATATTAGCTGCCCTAAATGATCTTGGAGAGCCACCAAAACTTTAGGACTACCCAAGTCATCTAGAAATTGCAAAGGAAAAGACATTCTCTCCCCTATTTAGGAAACTTGGTTAGAGCAGCACACGTCGGAGAACAGGAGGCTCACAAAAGAACGATTTTCAGTGCCCCCAGCAAGGCTGCACCCTCCTTGATCATCACAGGGGCCATTTCTGCCTTGTGATGGACCCAGGAGGTCTCTGCAGAGCAAGTGCCGTTGGACCAGCTGATTCACAAAGTGCTGAGCCCCTCTTCCCCGTGTGGCCCACCCCAGGCACGGCTCATTCCTCCAGAATTATAGAAGCTCAGCCTGGCCTGCTCCCCTCTGGTCACCGACACCCCTGTCCTCGCTGGGACAAGAGGGAGACAATTCTAGTCACTACAAGGACACCCAAGGGGTGTCTGAGTCAGGGCTCCAATAGTGCAGTTATCGTGGCCTCTCGCAGCCCGGGGAGCACGTCGCCTCTTGAAACTCGAGATTTCTTAAATCCCAATATAAAAATGATAACCAGTTACTTACTTCTTTTGTTGTTTTGCAGGCCACCTAGAAATACAAAATGCCAATTCACCTAATTTTTATACTGAAATGTAGATGCCCCCAACATGATTTTGGAAAGATATAATTTCTTGAAAATCTTATCAGAAGATGCATAGTTAATTTTTTTCCATTATGTACTCATGTTTTTATGAAATACAATACCATATTTTAGGGCCAGGGATTATTTTAACCTTAAAATTGTGCATGCATCATTGTAGCCCTCAATATTTGGTAATGCTATTTAAAGTGACTCAAGAAGCATGTGCTATCTGGCTTTGAAGGAAAAAAAAAGAATTCTGCAATTACAGTGGATGGAGGCCTTTTCTTTTCAGATGAATGCTAAAGCAATGCAAGGCTGTTTGTCAGGCACAACTGGCAAAACAAATCCATTATTAAAAAGCTACTTTGCATTTGGCTGAAAGAATGGACTTGCCTATTGCTTTGATTGTTTTGAATCAGCTTATACTAAGAATTGTCGCTGAAGCAAACAAAACGATACACAGCTGTACTCAAAAAATGCACTTCTCATTATCTGTGGGAGATCGAGGAAGAAAGAAACATGCAATTTTATCAGGAAGCCATGCTCAGGCATCAGATCACCTGCCTGACTGGAAGTTTTCATTAAATATCATCTGCGGTGCACTCTCCAATAGTGATGGGTGTAAAATCTGTCATCCAAATAGGATTAATTCAGTGTGCGCATTCGGCGGGAAGCCCTTCGTGGAATATACATTCTGTGATATTGGAAATCAGTACAAGCTTATTAAAACAACACTTCATACTGATTTGCAAAAAGCCAGAATTTACTTTTAGTTCTTAACAATCTCCTAAAGGCTTCTTATTAGATGTACAATCTGATTATATTTATTACATTAATTTTGAGGAGGGGGTCCGTATTTACCTATTTGCAGGCACATTTATGCACAAATTGTAAACAAGCACATTTACTTGTTCAAAAAGGTAGCATTAAGACAATCATGAAACAATGACAGAGTATAAAGGGCTGGAAGATGGGGTGAGTCACACCCATCTGAGCCACTGTCTACTGCCACCTTGGAAGAAACCCTCAGCTGTCCCCCACTTCCTTTTCCCTAAGTGGGTGACACTTCATCCCCTGCTTGGCTCAGGGATGCTGTGGGGATGGGTGACAAGGGACCAGGACAGAGTCATCTCGTCCATTCCACCCAGGTGCTGCTCCTGAAGGGAGTCTCGGGTGGGGCCCTCCTGTCTCTGCGCGTGGAGTCCTGTGGGCTCCATGTTTTCCTAAGGAGCACAGGTCCCTCTCAGAGCATGGGCCCCCAAGTTTCATGGCCATCAGGCGCAGCCCCTCCCGCCCCTTCTCTCCTGCTCCTCATGGCCGACATCAAGCAGAAGGCCCTCCCTTAGGTCAGTCCTGCTTCCTCCGACTCATCATTCCTTCTGCAAACCTTCCTTGGCTCACCCTGCTCCATCCCCAGGCTAAAGCCCCCAAGAGCTCCCTGAACCCTGCACCCCTCGGGTCCTCCTCACACTGTATCCCAATGACCCTGGGACCTGCCCGTCCCCATCTAGAGAACACATTGAGGATGGAGCTCAGTCACCTTCACCTTCTCTCCCCAGCAGCTAGAGTGGAGAGTGGAGCCTCAGAGGCTCTGGAGCAAACGAAGAGGTGAGAACATGGAGAGGGGCCTCGTGAACTCTGATTATTGGTGTTAAAGTGAAAGGGATTTCAACATGGAGGCTGACGCCCAAAAATGAGGACTCTGATGCTCAGTTTATCAAATTCACCTTTGAAACAACCTTTGCTTGAGCACTTAAAGATTGATTCTAATTAAGTTGTCTTAATGAGTACTGCAATTATAGTTTTAGCATGGCTGATTCTTTTGAACAAATACCTTATACAAGAGACACAACCAAACAATTCAGATTATCACCTACTTCTTACCTCCACTTTGAACCTACTCTACAGCATTAACCATTTCCTCATTATTCTATATTTAATTTTTATATTTTCCTAGAATTATTACTATAATTATATTTTGTTGTCATTTTTACTTCTTTCCCTGCTTTAAAAAGAAAAACAGAAATTCTGTAGTTCGTCTTGCTGTGGGTGTGGGTGTGACAGCGGAAACTGTGTTACTCTCTGGTTATTCCTCCTCCAGCATTTTAAACTCAAGTCACTGGACATCGTATTCAACATTTTATGGTTAAACCTGACATGCTACATTAGCATTCTTGTGTTTCTAATGAACGCCGTTCACAAATGTTTTAGTTTTTTGCAACCTGGGATCAGGCCACATCATGACTTTCATTGCCTTTGTGGGATCTTTTTTCCATTAAAAAATTTAAACACGTAAGTTTTGTTACTGCATTTGTATAAAGGTGGATATATCAATCGTGTATATTGAAACATTTTCTTATACCTAAGAGTTTATTTGTTTCCTTCTGATTTTTAAGAGAAATTAAAACATTTTCGTGGGTTCCTAAAAGTATCGTGGGCCCTCATGTGCCTGAGGGAGACGCTGGCCCTGCCTGGCCTCTCGCCTTGTATATTTGAGTCTCCCCTGCCTGGTGTTCCATCACGCGTGGTCCTGGCATTCTGAGACGTCAGGAGAGCTGGTGTTGGTGTTGGAAACACAGGCATTCTTCACTTTCCGAATGAGCAGTGGCTTCCCAGAGAAGGTTCATCCTGGAAAGGCAGGGTGGGGCTGCAGGGCAGCTCTCTGGACTCACGCTCGGGGGTCCTCAGCCATCTCTGCTGTCAGGTGGCACCAACGGGATCGACTCTTATTTTTTGCTCTTGGCTCAATGCCCATTTTTTCCCAGGCTACTTGGCTTTCTTGTGGTTTCCCAGGTTTCTTATCTGCATCTGCAGATAGATACAGGTTTATATCTATACTTTAGAAGCAGACAATGGAAGGAGTAAGACCACATTCCTCATTTATTAAAGGGAATAAAATTAAATGTGTCATTATATTCTTTTGTATCACAACCATCTTTGTATATAACTTTTTTCTTCTGAATATCATTTTCAGTTTGTAATCAACTTACTTCAATTAACCATATTTCATTATTTATTTTTTATTATGAGTTGATTCTCAAACGACCAAAACTTTTCTGTCTTTGTATCACTTCCCAAGTGTCCTTGCTTGCTGGGAACACACAGCACCTGGCAGGCTGCACTAGCTCCTAGGCTGCTGCCTCACCTTACAGGCAGGCCTTGGGGATACTGTGGATTTGGTTCCAGGCCACCACAATAAAGCCCATATTGCAACAGAGCAAGTCACACAAATATTTTGTTTCCCCAGTGCCTATAAAAGTTTGGTTTATATTATACTGTAGTCTATTAAGTGTATAATAGCATTATGTCTAAAATATGAACATATCTTAATTTAAAAATAGTGTATTGATTTAAAAAATGCTAATGATCATCTGAGCCCTCAGTGAGTTATAATTGTTTTGCTGGTGGAGGGCCTTGCCTGGATGTTGATGGCTGCTGACTGATCAGGGTGGAGGTTGCTGAAGGTTGGGGTGACTGTGGCAATATCTGAAATAAGACCACAATGAAATTTACTGCATTGACTGACTCTTCCTCTCATGAAAGGTTTCTCTGTAGCATGCGATGCTGTTTGATAGCATTTTACCCACAGTACAACTTCTTTTAAAATTGGAGTCAATCCCCTCAAACCCTACCCACTGCCCCATCAACTAAGTTCATGGAATATTCTAAATCATTTGTTGTCATATCAATAACGTTCACAGCATCTTCACCAGGAGTCAATTCTATCTCAAGAAACCACTTTCTTTCCTCAACCATAAGAAGCCACTCCTGATCTGTTCAAATTTTATCCTGAGATTGCAGCAATTCAGTCACATTTTTAGGCCCCACTTCTAATTCTAGTTCTTTTGTTATTTCCACCTCATCTACAGTTACTTTCTGCAGTGAAGGCTTGAACCCCTCAAAATCATTCATGAGGAATGAAATCAACTTCTTCTAAACTCCTGTTAATGTTGATATTGGTTCTCCTCCCGTGAATCATGAATGTTGTTAATGGCATCTAGAATGGTGAATCCTTTCTAGATGGTTTTTAATTGACTTTGCCCAGATCCATCTGAGGAATCACTATCTATGGCAGCTATAGCCTTTTGAGATGTATTTCTTAAGTAACAAGACTTGAAAGTTGAAATTACTCCTTGATCCATGGGCTGCAGAATGGATGTGGTGTTAGCAGGCATGAAAGCAACATTCCTCTCCTTGCACATCTCCATCAGAGCCCTTGGGTGCATTGTCAATGAACAGTAATAATTTGAAAATAGTCTTTTTTTCTGAGCAGTAGATCTCAACAGTGGCCTCAAAATATTCAGTAAACCACTCTGTAAACAGATGTGCTCCCATCCGGCTTTGTTATTCTACTTATAGAGCCAAGACAGAGTAGATTTAGCATAATTCTTTTTTTTTTTTTTTTTTTTTTTTTTTTTTTTGAGACAGAGTTTGACTCTTGTTGTCCAGGCTGGAGTATGATGGCATGATCTTGGCTCACCGCAACCTCCGCCTCCCGGATTCAAGCAATTCTCCTTTCTCAGCCTCCAGAGTAGCTGGTATTACAGGCACCCACCACCATGCTTGGCAAATTTTTTGTATTTTTTTTTTTTTTAGTAGAGACGGGGTTTCTCCATGTTGGTCAGGCTGGTCTCAAACTCCTGACTTCTGGTGATCCACCCACCTCGGCCTCCTGATTTAGCAAAATTCTTAAGGGCCCTAGGATTTTCGGAATAGTAAATGAGATTGGCCGCAAGTTTAAGTCACCAGCTGCATTAGCTCTTAGCAAGAGACATCCTGTCCTTGGAAGTTTGAAGATAGGCATTGACTTCTCCTCTCTAGCTATGAAAGTCCTAGATGGCATCTTCTTCCAACAGAAGGCTGTTTCATCTACACTGACAATCTGTGGTTTGGTGTGGCCACCTCCATCACTTACCTTAGCTAGGTCTCTGGATAACTTGCTGCAGCTTCTCCATCAGCACTTGTTGCTTCATGTTGCACTTTTATGTTATGGACATGGTTTATTTCCTTAAACCTCATGAACCAACCTCTGCTACATTCAAACTTTTCTTCTACAGCTTTCTCACTCCTCTCAGTCTTTGCGGAACTGAAGAGAGTTGAGGCCTTGCTCTGGATTAGGCTTTGGCTTGAGGGATCCATATCAGCAATAAAGCTGTTTCACTTTCTCGTCATTCATGTGTTCACTGAAGCAGCACTTTTAATTTCCTTTAAGAGGTTTTTCTTTGCATTCACAACTGAGCTAACTCCTGGGTGCAAAAGGCCTTGCTTTCAGTCTATCTTAACTTTGAACAGGCTTTCCCCACTAAGCTTAATCATCTCTAGCTTTCGATTTAAAGTGAGAGATGTGTGTCTCTTCCTTTTACTTGAACACTTAGAGGCCGTTGTAGGTTATTAATAGTGTAATGGGAATAGGGAGGCCTGAGGGGAGGGAGAGAGATGGGGGCAGCTGGTCAGTGGAGCATGTGGAACACACGTGACATTTATTACGTTTTCTGTCTTACGTGGGTGCAGTTGTTGGTTCCCCAAAACAATTACAGAGTAAAATCGAAGATCACTAAGTACAGATCACCATGACAGATATAATGATAATGAAAAAATTCGAAATATTACAAGAATTACCAAAATGTGAAACAGAGATATGAAGTGAGCACAAGCTGTTTGAAAACGGGACCCACAGATGTGCCCCAACGGAGTTACCACAAACTTCCAATTTGTAAAAACAAGTGCAGTATCTGCGAGGCACAATAGAGCAAGGCGCAACAAAACGAGGTCCGCCTGTGCGTGCGAACCCCTCGCAGGGAGGCTGTAAACACAACGCAGGAACATCATGAAAAAGCCCGTTCCGGCGCTGGGCTGCAGAGGGCGCTGTCGGGTAAACAGGTCATTTCGCGGCACAAAGCAGCTCACAGCGCATCTCTGAAGTAACGCGGTCAACGCGGTCAGATTCACCTTTCCAACATGTGCCATGCAACAAACTGGGTCACTGAAAACCGCGGAAGTTTATTCCTCACCCCCCCCCCCGCCCCCGGACCAGGTGGGTTGCGCCCTCAGGGAGCTGAGCCGTCCCCGTGAGGCCCCTTCGCTGCCAGCACAGTTCAGCTGTGCCGTCCCCAGCGCTGCGGTGCCTGTAGCTGGTGTGCGGAGGAATCGTGGTCAGAAATGTGCACACGTGGTCCAGACAGACGGCCCCGTGAGTCTCCGAACAGAAAAGAGGGGGGCGAGGCGGAGTCCTGAAGGCTAGGCTTGCAGAGGCGGGAGAACCAGGCAGGGGGCCACGGGCCTGCGGGGCTCCGGACAGCGACAAGGGCGGCGCCCCCCACCCGCCTGCGCTCCCGGAAGGCCGAGTCTGTCAGCGCTGCCTGCGGTGTGTGGCAGCTGCGCGCTCCTTCCCTGTGGGGCAGAGCTGGCTGGAGCCACCGCCTGAAGAAACTGGGCTCTGTCCTCCGCTCCGGGGAGGGGATCGTGGCCAGTGGATGCTGAGTTCCTTCTGTTGCCTGCCGCAGCCCACAGCGAAGTCACTCTGAAGAGCATCTCGCTGGCCTGCGCTTCTGCTTCTAGGCGGCTCTGACCTTGACACCCCTTTCCTCTTCTGCTTATGCCTTCGAATCCTACATTAAGGGAAATGGGGATCCTGTTTTGAAACCAAATGAGAAAGAACCACAACCCTCAACTTCAAAACACTTCCAGTCTCCTGAAGGTTTTTTAGATTCGGAGATCTCCACCCATTTCCCAGGGTCCTTGAAATGTTTCCTGGAGCCGCGCCTCTCCCAGTGCTCTGGCTGGAGACAGCAGCGGTGGCTGTCTTCCTCCGCGTCCTTGTGAGCACCCAGTTTGGGGTGGAAGAGTCAAAAAAAAAAAAACCCAGGAACGCCCCACCCTGTCGTTCTCAGGGTCCCCCGGCTCCCCCGGGCTTCCTCTCTCCGCCTCTCGTCTTCCTGCGTTTGTCTGATGGGCACTGCCCGAGGTTTCCGGTTGCACCTGCGGGACGGAGGAAAACGCACGCCTGTTCCATCTTCTTAGGAGGGGAATTCTGAGGCTTTTTGAATGACCACCGTGTAGCGCCTTAATTCTCCTTCACTTTCACCGGTTTTGTCTGCCCCACCTCAGGAAGACTGTCTGTGTTCTTTCCTCCATAGCCCGGGCACCGAAGGCACATGCCGTGCATACAAATTTCCTGTCTCGTCTCAGACTCCACGTGAGCTCGTTATTACTTCAATTTAATCTGCGCACGTTTCACCCTAGGAGAGATACTGCCAGATGTGGCAGCTTCTCCTGACAGATGGCCCGAGGCCATTCTTGCCCTAAAACTTCAAATGCTCACATAAAACCATCCTTCCTAACAACACAGGTTTTCCCATTTCTGTGAGGTTGACCTTTACACCTGAAGAGTCATCGAAACCCAGCTAGTGATAAAGAAGTGAAGATTTCAAAAAAACGGAGGGAGAATGGAATCTGGTCTCTGGTTTTCAAGCGATTCCAGTTGCTTGATTTAGTCTCATTGGAATGTTTGAGCATTTGAGGAAAAGGCCCTTAACTCTATTTGCCAAACCCCATAAAGTAGGAGCTGAACTGACATTTAAAATCGGAGCAGCCTTGACGGGCTTGCGTTCTTACTTGCGTCCTTTAAATCTTTCCTGGAACAGAGTTGAGAACGTATAAATGTATAAATGCGTGAAAACAGGCAATGAACAAAGTGTTCATTCCAGTCTCGTGTCTAAATTCCCCGGAACATGTTTTTTCTCCTGCCTTTTCTCTGAACTCCATGCAGGTCAAGTCACAGCCTTTTTTTTTTTTTTCTTTTTTCACAGACTCTCACTCTGTCTCCCAGGCTGGAGTGCAGTGGCGCGATCTCAGCTCACTGCAACCTCCGCCTCCCAGGTTCAAGCAATTCTCCTGCATCAGCCTCTGGAGTAGCTGGGACCACAGGTGCACACCCCCACGCCTGGATGAGGTCATAGGCTTTGTCAGCTGTACCCGCAGTCTCCCTGTGCACCCAGCCACGGTTAGAGGTCACTGTCTTGACCCTGGCGGTGACCCTTGCTCTTTGCAGTTGTGCCACCCACTCTGCATCCCTACTTGCAGCAGCTTAATCTGGCCTCTTTCAAAATAATTTCAACCGACGGTAATTGTATATATTTCTTAGGTACAATGTGAAGTTTTGATGTATGTTTGCATTGTGGAATGATTGAATGAAGCTAAATAACATATCCATTACTTTACAGGCATCATTTTTTCTGTGTGAAGAAAACATTGAAAATCTATTATTTTAGCAATTTCGAAATATACACTACATTATTATTGACTATCGTCACCATGCTATGCAACAGATCACTAGAACTTCTTTTATTCCAGCACTTTGGGAGGCCGAGGCAGGCAGATCACAAGGTCAGGAGTTCAAGACCAACACGGTGAAACCCCGTCTCTACTAAAATGCAAAAATTAGCTGGGCATGGTGGCACTCACCTGTAGTCCCAGCTACTCAGGAGGCTGAGGCAGGAGAATGACTTGAACCTATGAGGCGGAAGTTGCAGTGAGCCGAGATGGCGCCACTGCACTCCAGCCTGGCGACAGAGCAAGACTCTGCCAAAAAAAAATAATTAATTAATTAATTAAAAAATAATAACACGTTTAACTTTATTTCTTCATTTTTTACTTAAAGCTTGATTATATAAAATAAAAAATTTTTTCAAGAGTTCTACATCACAGGACATTAAACAGTAGAAATATCTGTTCCTTCATAGGTTCAAGTTATATAAATTAAATCTGTAAATTTATTAAATATGGAAAACTACATGATGAAATAAATGTCAAAAGGATCCAGTAGAGCAATATTGCATTGCTTATGGATTATTAGTTACTTTCAGGATCTAAACCAAGATTCTAAATATTTAGACTGCTTTCATTGTATTTTATATTTAAATATCTCCCTACCTGTGCTGAGTCAAGCCACTTTACCAGAATGTCTGATTTAAGGAAGCATTTCATTTTATAGCAAAAGTTTTTCCATCTACAGTTACCATCTGCAATGGAATTTACACTACGGTGCTGACAAAAACCTCCTGGTTCCTTTTGAACAATGTGCAATAAATTCATTATGTCAACCCCATGGTAAGCCTAACAGGTATCAAAAAAATTGACCAATTACACAAAGTTCAGTAAAGTATAATATTGGTTTTTCCCATGTCAACATTAACCAGTGAAATAAAACATATCAGCTATAGTTGACTTGGTTTCAGGAAAACCACGTTTGAAAATTACACTATCTTCCTCATGTCATCCTCGGTCATTGACAAGGTTTTGTGGGTCACCACGCTGTGAGCTGTGTGGATGTAGCAGCAAATGAATGAAGGGAGACTTGCTCGGATTGGTCATGAACTGTGGTCCCCACTCTTCCCATCTTCCAGGTACAACCAGATCTTTGCATAAATCATAGATCGAATGAACAAGAAAATTCAACAGTTGCAGAAATGTCACTAACTGTGGTTCATCTGATCGCTGGATGGATTTTGTCCTGGATAGCTTTCTGAGACTTTTCTCTGGGTTCAGTGTCCTCCTTTCTCTGGGTTACCTGTCCTCCTTTCTCTGGGTGCGCTCTCTGTTCTCTGGGTGCACCGTCATCTTTTGCAGTCTTGTCACACTCAGTATCAAAGTGCCTTCCTTCAAGGACATCACCACTTTCAATATTTGCAATGACTGTGGCGAATTTATGAACGAACATTTGTATAGCCAATCCTTTGGTTGTTCGAGCACATTATTTAGGTATTGTATGAGCACAGGATCTGTAGTTACAAGCAAGGTGAGTCTGTACTCTGCACTCCAATGAAGGCTTCAGGTGGGTATGTGCTGTGCTGATATAAAATGCTGTTGATACCAAATGGGAAGAACTCAGCCAGGATTCCACGCTCCTGCCAGGGTGATTCTCTGCTCCTGGGAGAGCTGCATCGCCTCAGCCAGGCCCACAGACCAAGGCACATGGGTTTCCACTTGGCCGACCAAGAGCGCAGCCGCTCCCCCGGCCCCTCCCGCAGCAGTTCCCCACCACGGCTTCATAGAACTTAGTTCTTCTGCCTCACTGAACTTTGTACCCTTTGACTAGCATTTCTTCATTTGCCACCCCTACCCACTCCTCAGCCTCTGGTAACCAGCATTCTACTCTCTACTTCAATTAACTTAACATTTTTAGATTACATGTACAAGGGAAGACCTGTGATACTTATTTTTCTGCGCCTGGCTTTCTTCACTTAGCATAATGTGTTTTAGGTTTACCCATGTTGTCACAAATGACAGTGTCCTTCTTTTTTAAAGGCTGAATGGCGTTTCATTGTAGATATACACCAGCCTTTCTTTATCCACTCATCTGTGGTTGGACACTTCGGTTGCTTCCGTGTCTTATGGGGAATAATGATGCCAGGAACATGGAGGTGCAGACATCTCTTTGACATGTTGATTTCATTTCTCTTGAAAATATACCCAGAAGTGGGATTGCTGGATCATATGGTAATTCCATTTTTTGTTTCTTGAGGAACATCCATACTTTTTTAAAACAATGGCTGTATTAATTTACATTCCTACTAGCAGTGTACAAAGACTTCCTTTTCTCCACATCCCCAGCAAAACACAAAGTGTGATATCACTTCATACCTGTTAGAAGGGATATTGTAATGGATCACCTTTTTAATAATATCCATTCTAACAGGTATGAAGTGCTCTAGTGGTTTTAATTTGCATTTCCCTGATGATTCATGATAGTGAGCATTTTTTCATGTATCTCTCGGCCATTTGTGTGTCTTCTTTTGAGAATGTCTAGTCAGGTCCTTTGCTCGTATTTGAATTTTTAAATATATTTTTGAAACTAGCCCCTTATCACATACAGAGTTTACAAATATTTCCTCCCAGCCTGGGGGTTGTGTCTCCCCTCTGTTGTTTCCTTTGCTGTGTAGGCGCTTTTAGTTTGATCTAATCCCATTTATTTTTGTTTTTGTTACCTACTCTTTTGGGGTGATATCCAAGAAATCATTGACCAGACCAATGTTGTGCAGCTTTTTCCTTATGTTTTGTTCTAGTACTTGCACAGTTTCAGGTCTTTTGTTTGGGCCTCTAATCCATTTTGAGTTGATTTTTGTATGTGGTGTGAACAAAAGGTCCAATCTCATCTTTCTGCACTTAGTTTTCCCAGCACCATTTGATGAAGAGACTGCTCTTTCCTGTTGTGTGTTCTTGGCACCTTAGTCAAAGATCAATTCCCTGTAAATACGTGGCTTGATTTCTGGCCTCTCTATCCCGTCCCACTGGTCGATGCGTATGTGTTCATGCAACCACCATGCTGGCTTGGTTACTCTAGCTTTGTAATCTGTTTTGAAAATAAATAGTGCTATGCTTCTAGCTCTGTTCTCTATGTTCAGGATTGCTGTGTCTATTTGGGGTCTCTTGTGGTTCCATACAAATTTTAGGATTGTGTTTTCTATTTCTATGAAAAATGATATTGGGATTTTGATAGAAATTGTATTGAATCTGTAGATTGCTTTGGGTAGTGCAGACATTTTAACAATATTCATTCTGACAGTTTATGAACACAGGATAATATTTTAATATGTGTCATCTTCAATTTCTTTCATCACATTTTACAATTTTCAGCGTACATATTTTTCACCTCTTTGGTTAAATTTACTGCTAAGTATTTTTATTGTTTTGATGTTATTGTAAATGAGATTTTCTTAATTTCTTTTTTATATAGTTTGTTGTTAGTGTGTAGAAATGCAACTGCTTTTTGCTTGTTGATTTTGTATCCTGCAACTTTACTGAATTTGTTTGAGTTTGCAACAGTTTGGGGTGAGATCTCTAGGGTTTTCTATATATAAGATTATGTCATCAACAAACAGAGACAATTTTATTTCTTTCTTTCCTATTAGTTTGTTTGTTTGTTTGTTTTCTTAATGCTGACTAGGACTTCCAGTATGATGTTGAGCAGAAGTGGTGAGAGCAGGTATCCTCATGTTGTTCCTGACCTTAGAGGAAAAGGTTTCAACATTTTACTATTGAGTATGATGGGAGCTTCAGGCTTGCCATATACGATCTTTACTGTGTTGAGGTAACCTCTTTGATTCTACTTTGCTGAGAATTTTTATCATGAAAGGTTTTTGAATTTGTCAAATCCTTTTTTTGTATGTGTGTCTATCAAGATGATCAAATGATTTTTGCCCTTTGTTCTGTTAATATGGGGTACTATATTTATTAATTTGCCTATGTTGAACCATCCTCAAATCCCAGGGGAAAATCCACTTGATTCTGATCCTTTGAAGTGCTGTTGAATTCAGTTTGCTAGTATTTTGTTGAGGATTTCTGCATCTATGTTCATCAGAGATATTGGTCTATAATTTTCTTTCTTGTAGTGTCCTTGTCTGGCCTTGTAAAATGAATTTAGAAGTATTTTCTTCAGGTTTTTGGAAGAGTTGAGGAGTATTGGTATTTGTTCTTCTTTAAATATTTGGTAGAATTTAGAAGTGAAGTCATCAGGTCCTGGACTTTTTTTAATGAGCAACTTTCTATTATGGATTCAATATCCTTACTTGTTATTGGTCTATTCAGGCTTTCCATTTCTTCATGATTAAGTCTTGTTAGGTTGTATGTGTCTAGAAGTTTATCCATTTCTCTTAGGTTATCCAATTACTTGGAATATAATTATTCACAATAGTCTCTTATGATTCTTTGTATTTCTGTGGTATCAGTTGTAATGTCTCCTCTTTCATTTCTGATTTTATTGTCATCTTTTTTTTCCTCAGTTAGTGAAAGATTTAACAATTTTTTTATGTTTTTAAAAAACCAAGTAGTTTCATTGTTCTTTTCTATTGTTTTTCTAGTGTCTATTTCATTTATTTCTGCTCTAGTTTTTATTTCCTTTCTTCTGACTTTGGGTTGAGTTTATTCTCCTACTTCCCTGAAATGCATTGTTCAGATGTTTATTTGAGATCTTTTTTTTTTTTTGATATGGACATTTATTGGTATAAACTTTTCTTTTATAACTTCTTTTGCTGCATCCCATAAGTTTTGGTATGTTGTGTTTCCATTTTCATTTGTATCAAGATATTTTAAAATTTCCTTTTTAATTTCTTCTTTGACTCAGTGGTTGTTCAGGAGCATATTGCTTAATTTCCACATGTTTGTGATTTTTTAAAAAAAATCGTCCTGTTTTTGATGTCTATTTTTATTCCACTGTGGTCAGAGAAGAAACCTGATATGAATCCAGTCCTCTTAAAGCTGCTAAGATTTGCTTTGTGGCCTCACCTATGATCTATCCTGGAGAATGTTCTGTGCATGACTGTTAGGTCCAGTTGGGCCAATGTGAGTTTCAAGCCCAATGTTTCCTTACTGATTTTCTGTCTGGATGATCTGTCTGCTGTTGAAAGTCGGGTATTGAAGCCCTCCTGCTGCTATCATATTGCAGTCTATGTCTCCTTTCAGATTGATTATTATTGGCTTTACATATTTAGGTGGCCCAATGTTGGGTACACAGACTTAAAAATTGTAACATGCTCTTGATGAATGGGCCCCTTTATTATTATGTAAGGACCATCTTTGTCTCTTTTTACAGTTATTGACTTAAAGTCTGTTTTTTCAGACATAAGGATAGCCATTCTTGCTCTCTTTTGGTTTCCATTTGCCTGAAATATCTTTTTCCATCCCTTCACTTTCAGTCTACCTAAACCACCTGCCAAGGAGTCCTGGAGAAGTCACGCACAGCAGTGCCTCAGCAGGCAGGTCCACCTACATGGTCCCAGCTGTGGATGTGAAAATTACCCTGTGCCTTGGCACCAGCCCCCCTCAGCTGTGGTTGCAGGTTAATCCTGCTCCTACGAGGACCCAGAGAGAGACCCACCCATCTGAAACACCCAGAGGCTTGCGGTGGGTCTTGTTCCACAGCAGATGCTGACGGGACCCTCTCTTGGCTCTAGGCCCTCTCGGCTGTGACCCAGGAGCCCTCTTAACAACACAGGGGCCTGCTGGGAGACTCGCTGGTCTAGGCCACCACGATAGGGTTGCTGGCCTCTGTCCCATTGCAGAGCCTGAACAAGCTCTGAATGCTGACTCCAGCCCCATTCTACTGCCACCCAGGAGAAGTTCCAGTCACATAGGGAACTGCTAGAGTCTCACCCACCAGTGCCCCTGGATGGAGCTTAATGAACTTGGACCCTTGCAGATCCTGACACAGCCCTGGGGCTCGGGTCTAGCCTTTCCTACCAGGCTATGATCTGGGAGAGTTCTGCCGAGCCGGGGTCCTGCCAGGAGACACACAATTCCGTCCCTGGAGTAGGCTTGCCAACCTCTGTCCTATGGCAGATCCTCAAAGGGCCCTGGACCTCGGTCCTGGCCCATCCTGCCTGCAGACTGAGAGTGGTTCTGTCCACCTGGGGACCCTGGAGGCACACGTCTAGCAGTGCCCCTGCAGGCTGACTTCTGACCTTGGTCCACGGGGGATCTTCTCAACTGGCTCCAGCTCTTCTCAGCTATGACCTGCGACCAGGCCTGCCCACCCAGGAACCTGCTGGGAGATACGCCTGTCTGCACTTCCCCATCCCTACCTTTTTTTTTAAAATAAAAAAATAATTTTTCTTTTTTTTAAGTGAGAAGAGTCTTGTTATGTTGCTCAGGCTGGTCTTAAACACCTGGGCTCAAGAGATCCTCCCACCTTGTCCTCCCAAAATGCTGGGATTGAAGGCATGAGCCACCATGGCCAGCTTTTAACTTTTTTATTGTGGTAAAACACACATAACACAAAATGTACCATGAGTGATACTTAGTGAATTCCCCGTGTTGTGCAACCATCACCTCTATATAGTTCCAGAACATTTCTGTCACCCCAAAGGGAAGCCCCCTACCCATCAGTAGGCACTCCTCATTACCCCTCCCCTAAGCCACCAATCTGCTTTTGATGGATTTGCCAATTCTGACATTCCATATCAACGGAGTCATACAACATGTGGCCTTTTGTATCTGACTACTTTCACTAGAATAATGTTTTCAAGTAACCTACTGGAATTTTTATGTCTTAGGACTGCAGATGCTTTTTATGTGGCAGGAATGACAGCATACTTTGATCTGGGAGGCCATGACCTCACATGCTGTGATGGTAAACAAATGGTGACAAGGCCAAGGGGCCACTATTTAAATACAGCCCAAAGATGCCCCCACAGGGAGCTCTTTGGTGCAAAGTCTGATTTCAAGCCCAGGATTTGTAAACAACAGAGTCATTAGGGCTTTCAGTGATTTATCTCACTCTGAATGATTGTCTGATCTTAAGTTAACAAAATAATTTTAACAAATAACTGGTTGATTTAAAAAAAAACACACAGAAAGTTAACTCCTGGCTTCTTTTGTACTGTTTTCACCTAATAATCCTTTAAAAATATTAGAATAATCTTTTTCTCCTCTTTAAATACATACATAGCATAATCGTAGTGTAGCACATTCAATTACTGGTGGGAGGCTGTGTGGTATTTGTAGAATTCTTTCAAGACACCTGAGCAAATAAACATGGGATGTAATGTAGTTTAATCACCACTTGAACATATTGTGCTTTGTCAGAGCTGTTATATTTATACATATGGCCACATCTTCAGTCCCAATGTCATAGTTAACATGCTGGTGGCACAGGTAGGGACTTGAACTATTGCTTTCTCTAGGACAGGATCCTTGGTTTTTAAAAATCCATGTCACTTTTTCTTGATTTGATTTTTTACCACTTAGGAATGTTGCTTATTCATTAGTTTCTGGAGCTCTTGGATTATTCTTTTGACATTTAATCCATTCCTGGAAGCTCCGAGAGTTGCTTCATTGAAAGGAAAAACAAGAACAAAGTTGCCTGCTTGGGGATCTGGAGCTTTGCCACGGTCTGACAGGACACACGGGGAGGTCTTGGTCTTGCAGGAGTGCGACTGGAAGAGGGACGCGTAGGGCATGAGTGTCTTGTGAGGCGTGTGCCTGCTCCGTAACTTGGGCTTGCTTTGTGGCATCTCCCTTGTTGACAGATGAAAATCCTGCCCACTCATCTCTCCTTCCAGCTGGGAGGCAGGTGCAGCTTCAGGACGCACACTCACAGCTTTCTCCACCACAGAGTCATCCTCGTTGTACATTCTGCTTGTGAACGAAAGAGAATCATAAGGAAGACAGTCAGGAGCATCAAGCCCACCTCTGTCACTTTTTGCAGCGTCGATGTTGGAATTTCCATGTGTGGCATTACTGGCTTCTCTCCCCTCATTTCTTAGACCATTTAAGTAAATCAGGTCAATAATATCATGGACAAGTTTTCTCTTCACCAACACATCTGTTGAACAATCCAAGGTCAAGGCTGGGCTGTAGTTGACCTCTAAAAGCCATGGTTTCAAGTTGTCATCAATCAAAATATCAAACCCAAAGAGCTCAAAGCAATTGGCAGCAAAGGGGACAGATGGTGCAATGGCGAGAATGGTGAGAATAACCATGCGGTGGATTTTCTTCCACAAAAGCAGATCGTCCACATCCCAGCTACGAAGGTAGGAAAAAAATCTGCTGAGCGTCCATTTACAACCATGACCAATCACTTCTTTGATCTTCTCATAAGAGGCCCCGGATTTATTGATGCTGCTGTTGGTCAAATGGGCATAATTGTTTTGCAAATTACTGAGGTCAAACTTTTCCGTGGCAAACCGAACCAACCCTTCCTGATAAACATAAATGGTCAAAGGCTTAAAGCCAGTAACACAAACATAGATGCGGAGATCACATTTATATCTGCCAATAAGTAAAGGATTGGAGATATATTTCTGCACTATGTACATATCATCAAAGATGAAGTCTTTAAAGTCACTGAAAATTAGTATCCCCCTCCCACGAGATAACTCAGCAGGCTTGCAAATCCAATAGCTATGCTTGGTGCCCAGCATCTGCCTCTCCTGAAAGTATTCAGCCACGAACTTGGTATAGTCATTGGGCATGACGAACGTCAGGGGGATGAACTGGTACAGGGAAGTGCCATACATCCTCCTCATGTGCTTCAGGTGTTTGGCCAAACAGTCTTTCCTGGTAAGCTTGGTGGTTCCAGGGTGGTGGTTTAGCTGCTGCCACGGTTTAACACTGTTGTGTTCGGTCATTCGGAAAGAGGATGTCCTCCAGTACAGGTTCCAGTCCTCCGCGTTCTGCTCCTGCTTATCAAACTTATTCCACCCCCTCTCCAGGAGGACGCTTTGCACCACAGCCGGGGTGGTCTCGTCAACGCGAAAAACCAGCGGCTTCAAGAGGGCCCCTGAAGGTTCATCTTCCGCCATCAAATGAGGTTTTTTCTAAAAATGGATCATTGAGAAAGGTTAGGAGAGTGGTCAAGACCATAACCTAGTAGATTTTTCTGAGGAAACCGTGCACCCGGTGCTGCCAGCTGTCCTGTGTGTCCACCCTCCCACTGTGCAGTCTCACCGGACACCCACGTCTCTTCACCAATGCACCCATCTCTGCTCCCTTTATTAGAATAAATCCATCTTGTCCTGGGAACCCCTTTACTCTTTCTTCCGATTTTGCCCTGCTATTGCATTCTGTTAGTAACATGTTAAAAATGTTTGCAAATACTCTATCATACTTTTGAGGGCTGAGTCCCTGCAGACCCATATCTGCGGCCCGTCCTGTTGGCCTAAAAAGTGAGCATGATTAAGAACAAAACACGAATGTCAACTTTCATTTAGTTAAATGAATTCAAGTATGTTACAAGAGGTGTGAAACAATGATGTCATAAAATTAGTAAGAGTTCTTTTGGCCTGAGAAATTTAAGAAGGCCAGGCACCTACCATGGTTCCCCATGCACCCACCTGACCCATCAGGCCCACTGGAGGGGTTTCGGTGCATAGAGGCTTGGGTCACTCAAATAAGTGGTTATTAGTGACAAAGAGAGTCGGAAAGAACAACTTAAGTTTTTAAAACCTATTCAGTAAAAATAATAATGTAGAGATTTTGCCTCACATTTTAAAAGATAAAAGGCAGATTTGAAATATTCTTTTGAACTTCGAAGAAGGAAAGCAGAATAATTCTTAAGACGATCATAACTGATGATGAAGTGTGTTGTTTCATTAAGATCTAGAGAAAAGGTAAAAAACGTCAAAGACTCTTGATAAAAATGTACATATGTCAAAGTCCTGAGACAACGTGCTCATCAAAATTTTCAAGCTAAGGCAATTTTGATTTGTATTGTTCGTGCAAAATTGATCACATAATGATATAAATAACTTACTTGGTGGAAATTCTGTAGTGTTTGAAAATTTCTGATTGATATAAAAGAAGTAAATTTTGACAGATGCTGTACTTTCCGTGAAGGTTTTACAAGAAAGGAAGGAGGGAGGGAGGGAAGGAAGGAAGGAGGAAATGAGGGAAGGAAAGAGTAGAAAAGGAGGAAGGAGGGAGGGCAGGAAGGAGGGAGGGAAGCAAGCAGAGAAAGAAAGAGGGAGAGCAGGAAGGAGGAAGGGAAGGAAGGAGAGAAGGAGGAAAGAAAAAGAAGAAGGAAGAGGGGAGGGAGGGGAAAAAAGAAGGAGGAAAGAAGGAAGGAAGGAAGGAAGGAAGGAAGGAAGGAAGGAAGGAACTACCTGGCTTGCCCACCCACCTTCTTCTCCAGTGTTGGTGTTGGGCGGCCTCGCCTGGGAGGGATGGAAACACCTGCTTCCTGTAGCCTTGCTCCCAGGCCTGCAGGCGGCTGCTCAGTGTGGTTTGCCTCGGATGGAATGTTAAGGGTAAAGGCTGGGGTGGTGGTTCTCAAAGATCTGTGAACAAAGCAGCATCAACAATGAACACACAGCATCTCCCTTGTCACTGTTGCTTTAATAAGGAACATACAGAATTGATCAATCCATCATGGTTATTAAAATTCAGTTGTCCTAGTTTGCAGTAATGCTTTCAAATTGTTCCATGCTATCAATAAGTTTCAAGCAGTGTGTGTGTGTGTGTGTGTGTGACTATGTTGTGCCTGTTGAGTGTGTTTGTTGTTTCTGTGTTGTCTGTGCATGTTGTGTGTATTGTGTGTCACATGTGGTATGTGTTGTCTGTATGTTGTGTGTTGTGTGAGTGTATTGTGTGTTGCATATGGCATGCATGTGTGTCATGTGTGTTGTGTTGCATCTAGCATGTATGTTTGCTGTGTGTTGTGTATGTTGTATGAGTTGTGTGTGTTGCTTGTGTTGTGTGTATGTTGTGTGTGTTGTGTGTTGCATGTGGTATGCACGAGTTGTGTGTTGTATGTGCTGTGTGTTTATGTTGTGTGTGTATTGTGTATTGTGTTGTATGTATCATGTATGTGTGTCGTGTGTTGCATGTGGTGTGTGTTTTGTTTGTGCTGCTTGTATGTTTTATGTTGTGTATGAGTGTGTGTTGTATTGCATGTGGTGTGTTGTATGTGCTGTGTATGTCTGCTGTGTATATGTGAATGTGTATTGTGTGTTATACGTGGTATGTATGTGTGTTGTGTGTTTCATGGGTTGTGTGTGTTGTATGTGCTGTGTATGTTGTGTGCATTGTGTGTATGCTGCTTATATTGTGTGTATATTTTGTGTTGTGTGTGTGGTGCGTTGCATGTCTGTGTGTTGTGTGTATGTTGTGTGTGTTATCTGTGTGTATGTGTTGTGTGTGGTGTGTGTGTGTGTGCATGTGTGTGTAGGAGGAAATCCAGAGTGGAATAACCATGGATACTGGATTAAACAAAGTTAAAAATGCTTCTTTCCTATCACCAAGAAATACGCTGTTATCTGATCACAGCTCCCTCTTGAATCTTGTGGAAGCTCAGTCGCCATTTCACAAACCAATGTGGGGACACCGCGCCAGACTGCAGACTGAATGTTGTCCAGTCTCTGGCACCCCCACCTTTTCCCAGCCTTGAGAACGCTGCATCCAGGCTCTAGAAGGTTGGCGCGCCCTGGCCTGAGCCCTGCCTCCCCTGGAATAGGCTTTTAGGGCCTGGCCTGGACCCCCCAGGCTCCACCGTGCCTGGTCAGCGAGCGCCGTCCGAGACAGGGCAGGTCTGCAAACCTCAGTTCCGTCTCCCCACAGCAGCAAGAGGAGTGGCCGGCCCTCCCTGGAGCAGTCCATGAGGCTTTGCCCCTTCCCAGGGCTGCCCAGGCAAGCCATGCCGGGTTGGGGACCCCATTTCAACTACGCATCTGCCTTCCCATTGGAGTGTCCTCCAGAGAGCAATGCATACTCAAGAACTTTTTCTTCTCAAAGTCCTTTTGGAACTACCACAGATGTCTTGTATCCTGCCTTTCTCAGACTTGAAGATGCTGACCACAGCCAGCGGTTGGTTTGATTGTGTGTGGAAAGCATGTGCGGTTTGTTGAAGTTGGCTGGGACACGTCTGCAGCCCCTGGCATGGGAGGGAGAGCCAGCACTTTGTCCTGTGGCTGTGAAGAGGGCCAGGGTGAGGGCTGGGGTGTGGGTCATGGTGTGGCCTGATTGGCCATCATCCCAGGGCGGGGGACAGAGGTGGGGAGGAGCCCCCCAAGGCCCACACAGAGGGGAGGAAATGCTTCTTTTCAGTTAAATGGCTCCACCTCCCAATTCTGAAGGAAGCAAATGCTGTTTTTAAAGCTGACTGAGGATGTTCCGTCACCCTAGCTGTAGTGGTGGAGTTTGCCTGTGGGGTTGGGGTAGAGACTGCCTGTTTGGAACAAACAAGACCACAAGCTCTTCAGTGCAATTTTTAGTTCTGCACGGGTGAGGCCGAGCCCCCGTTCTGGAACAGGACAGCTGAGCCAACGAGCAAAACCACTGTCTTGTCTCGGAGGGACTCTCGTCCCTATGGTAAGAGGACAGTTCTCCCTGCAGATTTTCTTCCTTGATCTGTGCTGAGGGGGACAAAGTCCCCATCGCTGAGAAGGAGGATGGGGATGAGCAATGCCACCCACGACCCATGGCAGGGAATTGATTTAATTATATATTTATATGCTTAATTTATATTCTAAATAGTATATTATTAATACCTAATACAAATTAGTATACAACAATAACATCTTATGTAATATGCTAAATAAATATAGAACATAGTGACAATACTTAATTAGATATATTATATCATAACATATATTATTATTTCTTCTTTCAGTGAAGGAGGCTGGCTGGCGAGGATGTGGAGAAAAAAGGACTCTCATACACTGTTGGTGGGAATGGAAACCAGTACAGCCACTGTAGAGAGCAGCATGGAGGCTCCTCATAAAATTACAAGCAGAACCCCCATGATCCTCAGCTGCCCCCACACTGGACATCTGTAGGAAGGAAAGGAAACAGTTCATCCAAGAGGCAACGGCACCTGTGTTTACTATGGCACAGTCACAATACCCAAGGTCCGGAATCTACCCAGGGGTCCATTCAGGGAGAGATGGATACAGGAAATGTGGTCTCTACTCTATTAAATTGAATTTCTTTTTTTTTTTTTCCATTTCTTTTTTTAATTATACTTTAAGTTTTAGGGTACATGTGCACATTGTGCAGGTTAGTTACATATGTATACATGTGCCATGCTGGTGCGCTGCACCCACTAACTCGTCATCTAGCATTAGGTATATCTCCCAATGCTATCCCTCCCCCCTCCCCCCACCCCACCACAGTCCCCAGAGTATGATATTCCCCTTCCTGTGTCCATGTGATCTCAATGTTCAATTCCCACCTATGAGTGAGAATATGTGGTGTTTGGTTTTTTGTTCTTGCGATAGTTTACTGAGAATGATGGTTTCCAGCTTCATCCATGTCCCTACAAAGGACATGAACTCATCATTTTTTATGGCTGCATAGTATTCCATGGTGTATATATGCCACATTTTCTTAATCCAGTCTATCATTGTTGGACATTTGGGTTGGTTCCAAGTCTTTGCTATTGTGAATAATGCCGCAATAAACATACGTGTGCATGTGTCTTTATAGCAGCATGATTTATAGTCATTTGGGTATATACCCAGTAATGGGATGGCTGGGTCAAATGGTATTTCTAGTTCTAGATCCCTGAGGAATCGCCACACTGACTTCCACAATGGTTGAACCAGTTTACAGTCCCACCAACAGTGTAAAAGTGTTCCTATTTCTCCGCATCCTCTCCAGCACCTGTTGTTTCCTGACTTTTTAATGATTGCCATTCTAACTGGTGTGAGATGGAATCTCATAGTGGTTTTGATTTGCATTTCTCTGATGGCCAGTGATGATGAGCATTTTTTCATGTGTTTTTTGGCTGCATAAATGTCTTCTTTTGAGAAGTGTCTGTTCATGTCCTTCACCCACTTTTTGATAGGGTTGTTTGTTTTTTTCTTGTAAATTTGTTTGAGTTCATTGTAGATTCTGGATATTAGCCCTTTGTCAGATGAGTAGGTTGCGAAAATTTTCTCCCATTTTGTAGGTTGCCTGTTCACTCTGATGGTAGTTTCTTTTGCTGTGCAGAAGCTCTTTAGTTTAATTAGATCCCATTTGTCAATTTTGTCTTTTGTTGCCATTGCTTTTGGTGTTTTGGACATGAAGTCCTTGCCCATGCCTATGTCCTGAATGGTAATGCCTAGGTTTTCTTCTAGGGTTTTTATGGTTTTAGGTCTAACGTTTAAATCTTTAATCCATCTTGAATTGATTTTTGTATAAGGTGTAAGGAAGGGATCCAGTTTCAGCTTCCTACATATGGCTAGCCAGTTTTCCCAGCACCATTTATTAAATAGGGAATCCTTTCCCCATTGCTTGTTTTTCTCAGGTTTGTCAAAGATCAGATAGTTGTAGGTATGTGGCGTTATTTCTGAGGGCTCTGTTCTGTTCCATTGATCTATATCTCTGTTTTGGTACCAGTACCATGCTGTTTTGGTTACTGTAGCCTTGTAGTATAGTTTGAAGTCAGGTAGTGTGATTCCTCCAGCTTTGTTCTTTTGGCTTAGGGTTGACTTGAAAGTCAACAAGGATACCCAGGAATTGAACTCAGCTCTGCACCAAGCGGACCTAATAGACATCTACAGAACTCTCCACCCCAAATCAACAGAATATACATTTTTTTTCAGCACCACACCACACCTATTCCAAAATTGACCACATAGTTGGAAGTAAAGCTCTCCTCAGCAAATGTAAAAGAAGAGAAATTATAACAAACTATCTCTCAGACCACAGTGCAATCAGACTAGAACTCAGGATTAAGAATCCCACTCAAAGCCGCTCAACTACATGGAAACTGAACAACCTGCTCCTGAATGACTACTGGGTACATAACGAAATGAAGGCAGAAATAAAGATGTTCTTTGAAACCAACGAGAACAAAGACACAACATACCAGAATCTCTGGGACGCATTCAAAGCAGTGTGTAGAGGGAAATTTATAGCACTATATGCCCACAAGAGAAAGCAGGAAAGATCCAAAATTGACACCCTAACATCACAATTAAAAGAACTAGAAAAGCAAGAGCAAACACATTCAAAAGCTAGCAGAAGGCAAGAAATAACTAAAATCAGAGCAGAACTGAAGGAAATAGAGACACAAAAAACCCTTCAAAAAATCAATGAATCCAGGAGCTGGTTTTTTGAAAGGATCAACAAAATTGATAGACCGCTAGCAAGACTAACAAAGAAAAAAAGAGAGAAGAATCAAATAGACACAATAAAAAATGATAAAGGGGATATCACCACCGATCCCACAGAAATACAAACTACCATCAGAGAATACTACAAACACCTCTACGCAAATAAACTAGAAAATCTAGAAGAAATGGATAAATTCCTCGACACATACACTCTCCCAAGACTAAACCAGGAAGAAGTTGAATCTCTGAATAGACCAATAACAGGAGCTGAAATTGTGGCAATAATCAATAGTTTACCAACCAAAAAGAGTCCAGGACCACATGGATTCACAGCCGAATTCTACCAGAGGTACAAGGAGGAACTGGTACCATTCCTTCTGAAACTATTCCAATCAATAGAAAAAGAGGGAATCCTCCCTAACTCATTTTATGAGGCCAGCATCATTCTGATACCAAAGCCGGGCAGAGACACAACCAAAAAAGAGAATTTTAGACCAATATCCTTGATGAACATTGATGCAAAAATCCTCAATAAAATACTGGCAAACCGAATCCAGCAGCACATCAAAAAGCTTATCCACAATGATCAAGTGGGCTTCATCCCTGGGATGCAAGGCTGGTTCAATATACGCAAATCAATAAATGTAATCCAGCATATAAACAGAGCCAAAGACAAAAACCACATGATTATCTCAATAGATGCAGAAAAAGCCTTTGACAAAATTCAACAACGCTTCATGCTAAAAACTCTCAATAAATTAGGTATTGATGGGACATATTTCAAAATAATAAGAGCTATCTATGACAAACCCACAGCCAATATCATACTGAATGGGCAAAAACTGGAAGCATTCCCTTTGAAAACTGGCACAAGACAGGGATGCCCTCTCTCACCACTCCTATTCAACATAGTGTTGGAAGTTCTGGCCAGGGCAATTAGGCAGGAGAAGGAAATAAAGGGTATTCAATTAGGAAAAGAGGAAGTCAAATTGTCCCTGTTTGCAGACGACATGATTGTATATCTAGAAAACCCCATTGTCTCAGCCCAAAATCTCCTTAAGCTGATAAGCAACTTCAGCAAAGTGTCAGGATACAAAATCAATGTACAAAAATCACAAGCATTCTTATACACCAACAACAGACAAACAGAGAGCCAAATCATGAGTGAACTCCCATTCACAATTGCTTCAAAGAGAATAAAATACCTAGGAATCCAACTTACAAGGGATGTGAAGGACCTCTTCAAGGAGAACTACAAACCACTGCTCAAGGAAATAAAAGAGGATACAAACAAATGGAAGAACATTCCATGCTCATGGGTAGGAAGAATCAATATCGTGAAAATGGCCATACTGCCCAAGGTGATTTATAGATTCAATGCCATCCCCATCAAGCTACCAATGACTTTCTTCACAGAATTGGAAAAAACTACTTTAAAGTTCATATTAAATTGAATTTCGCCTAACATTGCCTCCTTATAAGTTGGGTCTAAAGGTTCCTTCATACACAGTGAGCTGTCAGCTAACGGGAGGGTAAACAAACTGTAACTTACTGTTGTACTAATCACCAAGTAGTGATTAGCACACTACTAATCAGCCGACCACAGGCAGCCAACTGCTGAAACTGTGTTCAAAAAAGGCAAACCCCGTGCTGTAACAAACAGGAGGTTCTGTACTTCACTTCCATTTTCCGTGCCTCACTTTCCTTTTTCTCTCCATGAATTCTCACCCACCCGGACGCAGTGTGGGGTCTTTGAACCTGTTCTGGTTTGGTGACTGCCAAATTCGTGAAGAGTTCCTTCTTAGTTAAACTCTGTTACATTTAATTTATCTAAGGTTTTTCTTTTAGCAATGGAATACTATTGTTAAAAAAAAACTTCAGCCAAATTAAATTTAAAGGAGTTTAGTTGAGCAACGAATGATTCACGAATCATACAGCCCCCAGAGTCACAGCAGATTCAGAGAGACTGCAGGGGTGCCTCGTCGTCAGAACAAATTTACAGACGTAAAAGTAAAGCGGCGTATAGAAATCGGGAGTGAGGTACAGCAACAGCTGGATTGGTTACAGGTTGCTGTTTGCCTTATTTGAACACAGTTTGAGCACTCGCCAGTGTATGAGTGGTTGAAGTACAGCTGCGGGGATTGGCCAGGACTCAGCGATTGTTACAGGTGCATACTCCTAAGTTGGGGTTTCAATCTTGTCTACCTATCCAGAAGGACTCAAATATAAAAGTACGGAGCCCTTCTCTGGCCATATTTACTTCACTTTAACACTATTCAGCCACAAAACAGAATGAAATCCTGTCATTCATGCCATCATGGATGGAACTGGAGAACATTACATAAAATGAAATAAGCCAAGAACAGAAAGTTAAACACCGCATGTTCTTACTCATAGGTGAAAGCTAAAAAAACAGTGGATCTAATTGAAGTAAAACGTACAACAGAGGTTTCTAGAGGCTGGGAAGGTTAGGAGGAGGGGACATAGGGAGACATTTGTTAAAGCACACAAAGTCACATCCACACAGGAGGAAGGAGTCCTAGTGTTCTATGCCACTGCAGAGTGACCAGGCTTAACAGCAGTGTAATATATAATAGTTTCAAATAGCTGGAAGGAGGATATTGAACATCCTCACCACAGGAAATGATAAATATTTGAGACAATAGATATGCTAATTACTCTGATCAGATCGTTATACATTATACATAACAAAACTTCACTAGTACCCAATGAATATATACAATTAATATTTTTCAGTTAATAAAATAAAATAATGAAAATAAAGAGAAAATGACACTCATTTGTACTGAGTAGCTCTTAGAAAGCCAACTTGTGCAGGAACAGGAAGGGCACTGGTGCACCATGACCTCACCCTGTGTTCTCCCAGCACACCCGGGGAGCGACTGGGTCCGGCTGGACAAGGAGCTGAGCTGCAGGCTTGCCCAGTCAGGCGCTATCGAGCTCATGCTGCAGTGTTGTGCACTGCAGAAGGGATCACGGGAATGCCCACGCTGCCCTCCTGGGTCTCTGGCTGAGCCTCCACCCCAAACGCTCTCCCTCACTGCCCTTTTTGGTCCTGGGGCCTGTGTGATTTGGGAAATGTCCATTGGCTGCCTCGCTGGCTGAAATATGAGGCCACGGGTGTCCTTTTAATCTGTGTTCCTGGACAGGGTGCCCTCATGTTTGTGGAATAAATGAATGAACCAACACACCAAAGTGCAGGGAGGGAGGGGTACAGGGGTCTAGATCTTTTCCTTTACATTAATGGAATAAAACATTTTGTATATTGTTTTCTTTCTTTCTTTTTTCTTTTTTTTTGTTGTTGTGAGATGGATTTTCGCTTTTGTCCCCCAGGCTGGAGTGCAATGGCACACTTGGCTCACTGCAACCTCTGCCTCCCTGGTTCAAGCGATTCTCCTGCCTCAGCCTCTCAAGTAGTTGGGATTACAGGTGGGCACCACCACGCCTGGATAATTTGTTTTGTATTTTTAGTAGAGACGGGGTTTCACCATGTCGGTCAGGCTGGTCTCAAACCCCTGACCTCAGGTGATCCACCTGCCTCAGCCTCCCAAAGTGCTGGGGCTACAGGAATGAGCCACTGCACCTGGCCAGTACATTGTTTTTATTTCAAACATTGAAAAACTGTACTGAGTACAAGTAATACAGACACACAATTCCCATTCCATTGCTCATATCTACCTAAAATTCTTCCTCCATTTTTATAACATCTGTTTTCTAGGTCGGAAGCCAGGAGATTTATGGCTAACTTAACCCTCTTGGCTTTGAACCCAAAATTCAGTAGAATATCTACTCTCAGTGAAAACAAACATCACAAAACCTGACATTTTACCAAAGAGAGTGAGTCCTACACTTTTACCCTCAGTGCTTAAATCAGTGTGTGCTGCATGTACATGTGTGTGTATCACATCTGGGTGTATATTTATACATATACATGGAAACATTTATATAATACAAAATGTGCTTTTGAATATTTGGACTTCTAGCCTATAATACATCAGATGTGCTGGTGGGGAACTGGTGAGATGGTGCTGGAACCAGACAAGAACGACTGCTAGCATAATAAAATTCACGAAAGATACAAATAACACATAAAACCACAGGGTCTGGGGCACTTGATTGCAGAGGCTGGGTCCTGGCTAGGCCCTGAAGGCATCCATTTATATTAGCCAAAGCTTATAATCAATAATTAAAATTATCTAGAGAAGAATAAAGTAGGTTTACCGTACTCAGATTTAAAAGGCAAAGGGACGTGTAATATGATACAAATGTACTATACAAATATACAAATATATTACAACAAAAATATAACGTGAAATTATGAATTATGTAACAGCATTTGCCACTTATTTGGGGCAGAAGCTGGGACACCTGTCAATTTAACCAACCCAGTCTTAACCCTGAGCATAGACAGAACAGCCCAACTAAAACCGCTCTCCGGGCCTACAAGATTTATCTGAAAAGAAGTCATTCAACATAAGCTCAAAATGTCGAAAAACTGTATTTGGGTTTTCAGGGCCTCAGTGAGGGTTTTCAGCCTCACTGGGAAGTCACGCTGTTGAGTCATGATAGTCTCTGAAGTAGGTAAAAGTGTGATTTTGCTACTAATATGTAAACTACCAAGGAACTTTCTGATTATATCAGCAACGTCATGATCTCCACCTTGCACTGCCAAAAGCTTCCTGAGGTGGGAGCCTGTGTTTCAGGTGCGGCCCGTGGGAGGGGTTCTGCGAGCAGGTCCTTAACGAGGTTGGGGGCCACAGAGAGAGGGATGGGCCCTTTGAACTGCGGACACTGAAAGTGCTCTTTTGTCAATGACACCTGGTATATAAAGAGTCCCTGACTGGGCAGCATCCTAGGAGAGTGCAGTCAGACCTCCACATAGAAGCTTCCAGAAGGAAACTAGAGTACATCTGAGCTATTCCCCCAACCAGTGTTCAGGAAGGGAGTGCACATTCAGAGAGTGGACACCCCTGTGCCTGTTTCCATAGGTAGGGAAAGCCCTGCCTGGAATCTCACTATCACTGGTGAAGCACCCAGTACCAAGCTCAGAGGATGTAAACTCTGAGATCCTGGAGATTAAACAGAGTTGTTGCCACATCACAGCCTACAAGAACAGGCAATGGAGGTGGATGTCCCATTTGTGTATGTCAGACTCCATTACTGTGAAACGCCACCCGCTGAAAACTTCTAAGGTCAGAGTCCTCATCTGGAAGGAAAATACCACCCACCATTCAGTACTAAGCCACCATTTAACCCAACTGCATATGCACCTAGAACAAGGAAACACATATGGCATCTTCCACCATGCAGCCAACAGACAGACACTTTGAAGCCAGCACAGCTCTTCCCTCTTCAAGGGCTAGAACACCAGTCAATGTCATCAGGGCATAGACAGCATTCCAATGACCAGGAGTGACCCAATTTCTTAAGAGCCACAGCCTCCTGGTGTAGGAAGGGGGAAGAGCCCCCTTTTTCCATACCTTGATGATATTCCTGGGTGTATGGGGCCCCATGGCAAGGAAGTCAGCCAAAAATAATGTATTCCATCACTGCGGGAATCCCGATCTCTAGATGAGGGCCCACTGATTTGCCCAGAAGACTGAGGGACAACAGGATGCAGTAGGAGAGAGCGGCTCCCAGGGACGGCAGCCTCCTTAGCCGACAGCTCCTAGTTTTGGTGCTTTCTTCCATCCAAGACAGGCTCTGCAAAAATAACTAAGAGTCTTTTTCTTCACATTTTATCTTTTTGGCACATTCACTGCTTACAGGACAGAGCCCCAGAGCAACTTTCCATTTGACCGGGATCCAGCTGAAGGGTTAAACCATGTGATTCAACACCAGGAATTTCAGGTGTCATCGAACTGAAATGAGGAGAAAATATTTTGGGGTCAAGGAGAGGGGCCCTTCTCAAGTGACCTTGATACCAGATGCTGTAAAAGGAGTTTTCACCAACATAGAGAACCAAAGAAAACATCCGCCAATGAATAGGCAATGCTGCTCTTTGCCTCTTTCATGTGCAAGAGATAGAAAGAAAAGTGTACATTTTTATATAAAAAGACCTATACTTTTAGGATTTCAGAGGTTAATTACAAAAGCATTTCCCTGCTTTACTTGGAATTCCTGGAGATTCACCATACATAACCTGTATGTTTCCGTTTCTCTTGTGCGAATATGGTTTCCTTCACTTTTTAACTATTAATAGCCACCCCTGTAGCCAAGCCGTAAATATGTAAAAACCTATATGCCATCTTGGTGTGAATGTAAAATTCATACACACAGCTGTTGTTCCACACGGCTTAGCACAGTGAGTTCCAAATTTAGAAGTGAGTTGTTGTAAAAGGAAAATAAATCTCAAGACCACAAACCCACTAAGCCAAAGGGAAAAGTCAAGCTGGGAACTGCATCAGGCAAACCTGCCTCCCATTTTACTCCTAAAGAAGATGGCTGCAAAGATGCAAAAGCTACATACAGACCTCCCTCACAAGGAAATTCCTGGTGGGCTCCAAGATCTTTACCCAAGAACAGTTCTGCTGAATTTCACCCTGACAATGTAAGATGATAACTCATCTTCACAGGCACGGGACAAAGGACAGAACTCAAAGTCATCCCTCCATTTACCTGAGGCAAATGCATAACTGATGGCATCCTCTGTCCTATGTTTATTTCATCTTATATAAAAATGAAGTTTCACTAAGCAAGACGAATGCTAAGCGACTGTTCCTCTACCCGCCCCACTTATAAAATGTGTATTCAGTGAATGCTGACCAAAGATTCAAAAAGTTGCAACTGCTTCCCTCTTACAGACCCTCCTTTTTTTTTCCTTCCTCTTTCCCCCAATACCTACTCTTTTCTCTTTACTTATTAAGGTCCCCAGACCCTCTATGGGGGAAAAAGCATAAGCCACAGCCTTTTCCTGTGGTTCTGTGTTCTTTTTCCTGGGTACATCCTTAACCTTGGCACATAAACTTCTTAAATGATTGAGACTTGCGGTGGTCATTTTCTTTGATTTACATTGTCTACCAGGGGTGTCCAGTCTTTTGGCTGCCCTGGGCCCATTGGAAGAAGAATTGTCTTGGGCCACACATAAAATACACTCACACTAACGACAGCTGATGAGCTAAAAACACAAAACAAAATCACAAAAAATTCATGATGTTTTAAGAAAGTTTACAAATTTGTGTTGGGCCACATTCAAAGCTCTCCTGGGTTGCATGAGACCCAAGGACTTCGGATTGGACAAGCTTGGTGTAGACATAGAAAATATCCCACCTTTATTGGGTAGGAACGCACAGTAGCTGCAGGCCTTGTGCGTGATTGTTCTAGGTCATTGAAGCCATTTGTGGAGATCAGTCACCCTCAAGCACTTGGCCTGTAAATGGTCCACATTCTGCTTGTCACCTTTCCTGATGCATAGTTGATAGCTGTGGCTTATAGTTTATATGGAATGTAGAATGCTTTTCACCCCAATTATAGATGAGACAGTCCCGTTTTTTGAGTTGACCAACTTAAAAAAACTTCCTACCTAAATGTTCTTTTGAATAAAAATTTGTATTGCTTGAAACACAGAATAATTATTTTATTATTAAACCAGAAATCATGCACTATTTTTTCTGTTAATTATCAGGAAAGTTCTGTTTTCTCAAGAAAGTTCTAAGGTCGCAGAGGTCAAAGATCAAGTCCCATGTGTACGCTCAGCCCCAAGACACCCAGAGTAGCCTCATTTCCAACAAACCCGGGGTAGACTGAGCTGCTTGAAACGCAAACGCCATCACTAGCCCAAGTTGGGAGAGCTGACTTTGCCTCTTTGAAGACTGGAGATGGGCAGGTGTGATCTCTTCCCTCATCATGACCTCTGCCTGCGGTGTGGAGGCTACAGGCCGGCAGGCACTCACGGCCTTGCACCCGTTCTCGGCCGCTGTTCGGCCTGTCACAGCCCGCTTCCCGCTCGCATGTGACAACAGGAGCCCAGTGCTTCAGCCCACCCTCCTCAGCCTCAAATGCCCCTAGAGCCCCTGAGTTTCTGCTGATGGAAGCCCACCTCTCCCAGGAAGCCCAGCATGAATGCCCACTCCTCCTTGAAGCCCTTCCTTTCTACACTGGGGGGATTTTCTTTTCCCCCGTGGGGTCCATACCACTTCACACTTATCCTATGGAAACAATTCTGCTCGGCCCTGAATTACAACCATGTGTGTTTCATAGATGATCCAGTTCCGTCTCATAACCCTAGCATCTGTCACAGTTCCCAGAGCACAGCGGCCATTCAATCGGCTTTGGTTGAATTCAGTTGAATTTCCTGTACCCACTATGGGATGCAGTTAACTTACACTCCCCTCCTTTGGTAACTTTAGTCTCAGGAATGGGTCTACTTCGTTCACTCTTATATAACTGGCACCTCAGCATGCAGGAGGCACTGGACACCATAGGAAATTTTTGGATTGAAAAGTACATGACTTCATACAATGCTGGACTGCTTTTCCCTTGAAGGAGTATGAAGGGCTGACTACAAATTGCCCCTCGGGGGTCCCAGTGCACACTCGCTGCTCCTAGTGACCCTGGCCCCTGTGCTCTCGGGAAGGGGCTGGTCCTGGAACAGAGGCATGATCGGGGCCACCCTCCCATCCTACGTGTCGCCTCCTACGCTTACCCCAGCGCCTGGCTTTGTGTGGAGGAACACAGGTCCCGCCCTCTCATTGGGCGCTGGTTCCGAGGGTGGCCTCTGTGGGTCTCTGTGCAGCAGCTGCAGCGCCAGCTGAAATGCGCGGAGGCTGGAGGGAGCACTGGTTGCTGATGATGCAGGGTCTGCTCTCCTCACAAAGGGGAAGCCAGTCATAGACTCAGGGTGGGGCCCAGACTGTCAGGACCCCTTAGGGACAGGGACCCAGGCTTCATCACACCTTCCTCCCTCCAAGCTTCAGAGTTCTCTCTCCGACCCAGTGGGCCTCCTGCCAGTCCCCATGCCTCAGGCCTCAGCGGCCAGCACACAGGGGGCAGGCCTTGTGGGCTGCCTGGCGGGGTGGCATCTGTTCTTGCCAGGTTCTCCTGTTGCTTCGCCTGCATGGAATCTTAATATTTAACGTGGGCTGGGTGCGGTGGCTCATGCCTGTAATCCCAGCACTTTGTGAGGCCAAGGCAGGCAGATTACAAGGTCAGGAGATGGAGATAATCGAGTTGAAATCCCGTCTCTACTAAAAAAAATACAAAAATTAGTTGGTCATGGTGGTGGGTGCCTGTAATCCCAGCTAATTGGGAAGCTGAGGCAGGAGAACTGCTTGAACCCAGGAGGTGGACATTGCAGTGAGCCATGATTGCGCCGCTGCACTCTAGCCGGGCGACAGAGCAAGACTCCATCTCAAAAAAAAAAAAAAAAAAAAAGTTATGTCTACACAAAAGCAGTTGAGATTCCAAAATGAATTACGTGTCTTTTTGTTTAAGCCATGTTTGTGTCAGAGATCCCAGTTGGACCCCTCCTTCCAGCTCAGGCTGTGTCCTCGCTAATCTAACGGCCTCCGGCCACCACCCCTGAGGTTCAGGACTGCAGGAACTGGAGAGGCCTTGCCAGGCGTCTCAGAGCCGTAGACTCTCTACCCTCGGCACATGTTGGCTCTGGCAAGTGGCTGCCTCTGTGGATGACAGTTGAATGCTTTATTGCCATCTATTCGATTACAGGCATTGCCACCGTCTTCCAGAAACAATCAATTGCTTCACGTAACTCTATAAAAACTGCACACCAAGCTGCTGAGGAGGTTGCCCAAGTTCTGTCAAGCACAGGGAAACATGGCTAATTTCCTTATCCACAAACCAAGAACAAAAGTCATTCATAAGATATAATCTGAAAGGCATTTTTCTTTTTCCATTTGACATGTTCATGCATTGTTAATTATTTATTGTTTTTCTCCCAGCACGTGGTGGGGTAAATTTTGTAAAAATGAAGTGAAATGAGGTTCTTCCACCAGGACTGTCTTCCTGAGCGTGCGAGGAAGGGTGGGTGGGTGGGGTTACTTTATCTGGGCTTCCTGCACTCCCAGGGAAGGCAATCCTGGCACAAGCAAGAGCACCTGGGCTCAGATCACTGGTGTGTCGATTTGTAAATCATGCATTTACTCAGCCATGTTTCATCTGTCCCTTCCATTGGAGATGTTACACCTGCACCTCCGAGACTTCGTGCTGACTCTCCACTTGGGTATCTGGCAGAAGAAGGGCAAAGCTATCAAGACTAGAGGAGACTCCTAGGGGCATTTTGGCAAGAAAAATATGCGGTGTGCATTTTTTATAAAAATGTATTTTTGTCTGAAGTGAGCACTAGAAGCAAACACATTTCCCCAAACCATTTGTTGTTCCCTTTGATTATTTCCCTGATTTCACATGGGGCTCACTCCTCTCCTTGGCTTCAGTTCTCCACCTAACTCCTGGTTACTGGATATGGAAAGGCTTGGAGATGGGCTTTGCACCTCCTAGGGACTGACCACACAGATTCTGGACTTTAACGTCAGAGACCCAACCCAGAGGAGCACTGGATCCCACCACAGTGTTGGTCCAGCGTCTCCTCCCGCCCTGGCTTCGTGCTGCAGTCAGCGTGCTTGGGGGCTCCCTATGTTCTGTTGTGTGGAACTCACAAATGCCCACTATTATGGCATAAATCTATCCCCCGCTTCCCACTGTTGGCACCAGAACACACTTATTTTACGCACCCTCCTGTGGAATCAAGAGGAGGTTAGATTCATTATGATGTTTACATCTATAATTTTGGCAAAGTGCAAGAAAACTCTGTACCAATACGTAGAATTTTCTCCATTTTATGACACCCCTATCCTATCCCTCCAGTGAGCATCAAGACTCTCATCCCAGGTGGTTGATGGAAGGAGAACCCCTTCTACCCTCTACTGAGCCTGAGGGAGAAAGACTGAAAAACAGCGTGGCTTAAGGGAATTCGGGGGGACTTCTGTGCCTCCCAAAGATCTTCCCAACCCGGTGGCCAAAGCCTAGACATTTTTCCAGTTAGCATTCCTCAAAAACCCCCCGACGAGCACAGTACCTGATTCACTGGGGGAGATAGTCAATATTAACTGAGAATGGACTTTTATTACCATCTTTACTTCAGTACTGTTTGAAGGACTATAATGAACATGATGCTTTCATAATAAATGTTAATGAAGACAGAGATACATCAAATTCAGTACATAAAACGAGCCTCCAGTTTTGGAAGCTGTTGCCTTGGGGGAAGTGGTGGTGTTGGGTCCCCAGGGTCTCGGCTGCTGCTGGTGGCGTTCCATGACCTGCTCTGGGTGCTGGTTACATAAGCATGTTCTTTTTAAAATGCTTCTTGTAGCCAGAATGATCTTTTTATAAAGAAGTCACTTCATGCCTGCCACTCCTCTAATCAAGGCCTTCTAGCAGGTTCTGTACTGGGATCAACAGTGTCCCCCAAAATTCATGTCTTCCCAGAACCTCAGAGTGTGACCTTTGGAAATGGGGCTGTTGCAGATGTGGTTAATCCAATATGACTAGTGTCCTTCTGTGGACACCAGTGGCATGAAGTTCCTCTTAGAGGAACTAGACACAGAGACACAGAGGAGAAGGCTGAGCAAAGATACAGACACATGGGGAAGAGGCCGCATGGAGATGGCAGCAGAGATTGGAGTGGTCCATCTACGGGCCAAGGAACACTGGGGATGGCCCGCAGCTCCGGAAGCTGAAGAGCCAGGAAGTACCCTCCCTTAGGGTTTTCAGAAGGGCCTGGCCCTACTGCCATCTTGATAGAATTCTGGCCTCTAAACTGTGAGAAAATGAATGAATTCCTGCTGTTTTTGCCACTCAAATTTGTGGTGCTTTATTATGACACCCTAGGAAATGAATACGGGTTCCCATGTGGCTCAGAATAAAACTTAAGGGCCTTACCTCGGTGCTGGGCCCTGTGCGATCTGGGCCCCCTCCGTGGGCCTCCTCTCAGACCTCAGCCCCTGCTTTACCTCCCTGGCTTTCCCGCTGGGTGCTGCAGCCTCTCCCACCACCTCGTCAGAGGAAGCGGTGTTTCCGCCCTGCACACAGCTGTGCCATGTCTGTCCTCATGCCCTCACCCAATTCCATTGCTCTTCCTGCCTCTGGCCACCCACAAACCGATTTTACATTTTTTCTGTAGAATAGAAACTTATTGAGAACAAAACATTGCCGTTTAATGCCTGCTTGATTCACTATATCTAGGTCAATATGTGGCACTTAGCAAATGCTTGATATTAAGTACATACTTCTTGGATGAATGAATAAATATCCTAATCTGCTTATTAATTTTCTTGCATGATGAGAATGAGACCTGCTTGGAATTTGTCAGGGTTAAGGATGGAAGTGGAACAGATAGATGAGGTCTCAGGAAAGGTTGCTGCAAAAACAGAAATCACAATTGCCTTCTGCAGGACTGGGCAGGTGAGGGAGGAGTGAGGGGACGGCCCTGGAAGGGGGCTGGCCTGGCGGGAAGGCCCGGGAAGGAGGGACAGGGGTGGTGGGTGGGGCTTTCTCCTGTACTTGGAGGCCGAGTGAGATCCATGGCTCAGTATTGAATGTGAGGTTCCCGAATCTGCTTCTCTTCAAGGCCGCTGTGCTCTCCTCGGAGCTGAGTGTGTGGACTGTGCAGCTCATCGGATGTGCACACACACACACGGGTGCTCATGGGCACACTTCCAAGTTGAACAGGTAAACCCTCTGGGTTTCAGGGCCATATTTTCAAAGGCCCACCCTGTCATTGGTGCCCTTTTAGGCCATGGCTGGAGATGAAGCAAAGCCTGCCCTGCCAGCAATGGGCAGGAAAGAACTATTCCCTAAGGAAGGAGGCTTCCTATTGCCCACACGCATCAGGACAGGCAGACGGAGGCGTCATGGGAGATAAATAACTTGCTTTGCGTTCCCGGTGTGAGACTTTACCTTCCAAAGCGGTCTGGTCGAACGCCTGTGTAGATTTTTGTTTTGTCTTATTTTTGCAAACAGAATGACTAAGGGAAGGGAGGGAGTCAGGGACTGAGGGAGGGCGTGTCGCGTTGGGAGTCGGACAGATGCTCTCCAGACAGGGATAGTGAGTCAGGCACAGGAGGGAGCAGAGTGGGACATTTGCAACGTGGGTAGGATGGAGGCTTTATAGTCACCAGGGGAAACCCACGGCGGCATCTGTCTTTCACCACAGGAGACTGTTCTCTGCCCATGCACGTTCCTTGAGGCCACGGTACAGCCCCTGTCCACCAGGGCACCACGTCTCCGGCCGCTGCTCCTTTGTGTGCGGGTCTGGCCGAGCAGGGGCCTGGGCAGGCGGTCTCGGGGGAAGGAGCGTGGCTGGCCCCGTGGCACCCGCAGCTCTCTCAAGAATGATTCCCGCCACACACGTGCTTCCTTCTGGATTTCCTACCCCTTCCAGGGTGCTGACCCCATGGGAAGAAAAGGGGAAGGAGGAAGGAAGACAAGTTTCCTGATTCCTTCCCCAGACTCAGATCTTCTTTCAGCTGGCGTGATCTGTCCTCGGGACGCTAGGAGAAGGTGGGCTGGGAACTTCTGAGAGAACATTCCAGAGGGACTGGAGTGGGGCCCCGGGGACTCAGGCAGCTTTGACTTGGGCCTGGAAATGAACTTAGGAAAAAGAAGTAATGTCTGTTTGTTATTTGGCTGTGAAGCTGGAACAGACTCAAGTACCTTGACAAAGGCCAGACACCTCAGTGCTTTGGAGCTCTCCTGCGGGTTAGCTATCTCGGCATCACGGCTTTCACTGGGGTGAGGTAGCGATGAGTCACTGACTAAACAGACCCAGGCTAGGCGGGTGATACAGAGGCCCCAAGCCCAGGCGTGGACGGCCCTCATCTCAGGAGGGTGCACACTCCTGGTCTCATTAGCAGACCTTGCTCACACACGTTCAGAGAATCACGTTCCAATGAGATCACTGCAGTTAGCAAAGATCACAGTCACCAAACAGCCGTAACAACCCATCAGAGAAGAGTGTCCACTACACTCGCTCCATGTTTTTTGGCCGGGGACCCACATGAAAATCCCCTTACATTTTGGGACCTAGAAAACGAATCTCTTTCTTGATGCTGGCAGGCCTCTTTTCATCAAAACTGACTATTTTATAATTTGCATTTATTTTTCTGCCGTGGCTGCCAGCAAGCTCAGGGCTAATCTTAGAATGCAATAGTAACTGCAGATGGGCAACAGATCTGGGTCAGCGGCACCCTCCCTGTCTCTTCATTATATGCTCTTAACGTTTTAATTTCTATATTTAAGGGCTTTCTTATAGATAGATCTTTAGATTTTAGAAAATTTTGTATAATATATTGTGGCATACATTATATTTTTTAAAAATCTTGCCTTCATCAAATCTCTGATCAAGTAAAAACAGGGCACATTTGCCTCTGAGTCCTGGGAGTTGGGCCATGGAAACTTAAGACTGATGAATGAAATGTTATGAAAGCTTAGAAGAGCGCACTGCAGTTCAGGGATTGACAGAAAAGCACTGCATTTTAAGCTTGGTCTAGGGGATGGCTGTTCTTATTGTTCCATTGTATAGCTCTTGATAGCATTTTATGATACACACTCTTTTAATTTTTCTTTGTGAAGTAGGAATATTCCCAGTTTACACACTGAATACTAAAAAAGAGTGAGTTTAACTAATTTGCTTTGACACAATGGAAAGTGAGGCTCCTATTAAGAGTTTCATAAATTGGACCCTTAACCAGGAAACTGGTTAGAAAGGTTTTGTGATCAAAGTGACCTGGACGCACCAGCAGTCATGCGAAAACCAGAGAGAGAAACTATTTTTTCTGTAGTGCGTAGATGATCTGATTGAAATAAATGCTATCTGGAGACCCGAAAAACCAAAAATTTGCTTTGAAGTCCGGTTACTGTTCAACTTTCCCGCTAAGCACGTGCTGGGCTGGCAATACCGATACGACCCAGGGACCCAGCCACACACCCTCCCCCCGGGACCAGGAAGAGATTAGAATCTGGTTTGCTCTTTCTCTAGGCTCTCACCAGGGCACTTGGGCGCAGCCACAAATGCTTCAGTTCCAAAATGCAAAGGATGAAGAAATCAGAAAAGTCCCCAATGCCACCGGCCACCTTCAGGGAGAGCCTGGCTGTCCAGACAAGCCGCTGGTCAGGTGCATAGCAGTGGGAAATGCTGTGTGTTGAGGGCATCTTCATAGGTCCAGCTGGCCGCTCCACATGGACACCCAACAACCAGACCTTCCGTCAAGCTCAACGGAACCCCCCCAGTGACTCGGAGGAGGCTCGGGCTCCTGTCACACAGACCCTCCGTTGAACTCGATTGAACCCCTCCAGTGACTCAGAGGAGGCTCAGGCTCCTGTCACACAGATCCTCCGTTGAGCTCAATTGAACCCCTCCAGTGACTCAGAGGAGGCTCAGGCTCCTGTCACACAGAGTCTGGCACTTTCCTGTAAGCATCAACATCAGCAGAACACGATCATGGCTCAGTCTCTGAGCAGAATTCTGATGATCCTGCAACCCCAACTGGACTCTTCTAAACTAGCAAGCTCTCTGTCCCAGGAGCACTTGGAGAGGCTGCCCTGCTCCACCTCACTTCTGAACGGCCGGCTGGAGCCACGCAGATGCACACTGGTTTGGACAAATGCACATGCACTCCCCAACTCCTCTCACCTCTGGGTCCTCCCCTCCAGCCTTAGGCCCAGGGCTCACTCCTTAGTGCCCCCCACACCTCATGAGCAGGCCTAGTTCATTGTCTCCAAGACATTCTGCAAAGGCCTCACTACCCCCGAAGGTCTAAGGAGTTCCTACTGACTTAGGGTCTACAGGGTTCAAAATGCTCTGAGCAGACTGAGAAACCAAAGACCAGTTCCAAATAAGACTTATCCTGAGGAGCACCAGGAGTGCCCATCATCAATTCACAAAATCCTAAACCTCCAAATGGAGGGGACATGACATGTCACCTTACCCTCGATGAACGCCCTCTACACAAATACCCTAGCCAGTCTTGACTCCTTTTGACATGACCCTGTTGTGGGAGCTGCAAAGACCATCATGGATCCCACAAACAGGCATGGCGCTGGGCAAGACGGCCATGGATCCCACAGACAGGGATGGCACCAGGCAGCCCGTGGTGCAAGGCAGGAAAGGGGAGGACAAAGCAGGGCAGGGATTAGAGAGTGCAGAGGCCCAGCTTTAGGAAGATGGTTGAAGCCTGCAAAGAGTTAACGGCATTCCACTGGGTCTGGGAGGATAAACGTGGTTTGGATAGAGACACAGGGACAGCATGAGCGAAGGGCCCATAAGGGAAGGACCTCGGTATTTAACAGAAGCATTGGACAGAGAAGTCTGGTGAAACGGACGGAAGGCTAGAGAGGCAGCTGGGATTAACTCACGGAGGCCTGGACTGTCCCGGCCAGTGGGTAAGACTGTGCTCTTTAGATGGGCGCTGGAGGTGAAGTGTCCTGTGTTTAGTGAAATCCCTCTCTCAATAGCCCGGATGGAGGATAAGAGGAGCCCTGCAGGGAGGACAATGAACCAGGAAGCAGCCGACAGGGAATGGAATGGAGGCAGAGGATCGACAGGGAATGGAATGGAGGCAGAGGATCGGCAGCCTGGGGGAGGAATGGCAGGGCCTCCTCCCTGATCAGCCAGGCCAGGGACAGAGTGGCACATAAAGGGCACATGAGCCTGGGTAACAAGAAGAAGGCTGCTGGTGGTCAGAGACACTGGGCTATCAGGGGAATTCTAACAGTTGGGAGAAAATGCCCAGCTCGTCGTGGGGAAGCTTGAGAGGTAACATTTGAGAGGCCAGGAAGCATTAGCTCGTGGCAGCTGCACTTTTCTCTGCCTTTGATCATCGCCCGTCTGGGCACCTGGCTGACACTGACTAGAAGGAGAAAGGGCCAGGGCCAGGAGGCATTTGCTCCCCCTCCCATGGCCAGAGGCAGCCAGCATCCTAATGAATGAGGGTGAGTGAAGGAAGTATTTGGAATTTCACAGAGAGGCCCATTTCCTTCTGCACATATGAAGCACCTGCTAGTGCTGTGTACTAGACACTGGAAAGCTGAATTTCCAGGAGGAGGAGATGCTCGTAGAAACAATAAACGAACAACATGCAGCGGGAGAGCCACAGACAGGACACATAAGGTCTAGAAGAAGCCTCAGTGTGAACCAAAGGGGAAGGGGAGGGGGAGGAAGAGGAAGGGAAGGGGAAGGAAGCAGCTTAGGGTTAAAGGACAAAAGAGATCCCAAGCTCCAGGCCCACAGGCCAGGGAGGTCCCAGGAGTGAGGGGGTGGGGGGGGGGGTCCAGGGTGGGCGGGGCAGGTCCAGGAAGCGAGGGTGGTGGGGGGGGGCAGGGAAGGCGGTTGGCGGGGGTGGGGAGGGCACGGGAGTGGGGGAAGGGTGGGGGGGTGCCAAGGAGGGTAGGAAAGGGGCCAGGAAGGGGTCTGGGGAGGGGTGGGGGGGGCAGGGGTAGGGCCGGGGAGGGTGGGTTGTGGGAGAGGATGAGCGGGAGGCGGGAAGGGGCTGGGCAAGGTGGTGCTAGTAATGGGGGAGGGCTGGGGAGGGCCTGGGGACCTGAGTGCAGTGGACAAGGAAGAAGCCTTGGAGATGGGCAGGCGGCAGTGCTGCTAGGAAGAACAAGGGAGAGAGGAGACCAGGTGCCAAGGGACAAGACGATGACTGTGAGATGGGCAAATATCACCCAACCCGTGCCCGGCACCATTTTCCATGTTAACAGACACATGTAGCATCTTCACCTGAAATGCTCTCGAAGGTCTGCGAAGGCCACAGCACACTAAAGCACTGATGTGATGAAGCGTGTGTGTGTGTCTATGTGAGTACTTAGCACAACAGTACTTGGGCAGGAGGTAAGTCCATTAAATAACCGTCTTTATTTAGAAACGCAGACCCCACACGTTTCAGGAATCCTGAGCCCCAGTCTGGCTTTGTCACCCCCTGACTCTGTGAGGTTGAGTCAGCTGACTTGTCAGGACCCCTTTGTAAAATGTATGAGGTTTTGATCCAAGTAGAGTTAGAAGTTTAAAAGTTCGCCCATTTGTAAAATTATGGGGCTCAACTACATTTTTTAAGCAGGCTTCCAATTCTTAAAAACAACTACAGCAATAAAACTAGGGTGAGTCTATGATTTCAGGCAAATTCTAATTGGCTGATTGTACGTTAGACCTTTTTCTTTTGCATCTAAAATTAAATGAACTGATACCTTCATGTATACACTTGATCTCTGTTAAGATGGTGGACGAAAAATTTGTTAGAATAGAAAAAAAATACATGAAGAGTGAAATAACATGATCTCTTCAGAATGGCCAAATTGTGCTGAGATGGTGATGAGGAGCCGCTCTATGTCCTGAGGCATCTTCTAAGAAAATTCTCTGGCTGGTGCTTTCTGAGTTCATCCTCCTCGGACCTCACTGCTCTCACATTTTTGTTTGTATTTCTTCATCCTCTGCCTGGTTGACCTGTCCTGGAGCGTGGGGTCTGATCGGGTTCTTGGACTCCACGCACTCCACAAGCCCATACGCCACCATGGTCAGGCTCAGGACCCCCAGCAGAATGTAGAGCTTGACGTGCACGCACAAAAACATGCTGTACCCGAAGGCAATGACGAAGCCCAGGGCCTCCCACAGGCGGTAATTGGCGAAGGCAGCTTCCTTGCTCTTCTCAAACAGAACGCCGTAGAGAGCTGCAGAGGAGAGAGCGGAGTGAGAGCTCTGCCATGGGCCCCACAGTGACCCTGTTTGTGAAAAGAGCACAGCTTTCCCACTGCCCCATTTTCTCAACTAAATCAAGACATTTTTCTTTTTTCACAACAGAATGATTTTACATGCCAGATGATAGCATGAACCCCGAAAACCTGAGGCAGGTCTCAGTTAACTTAGAATGTTTATTTTGCCCAGGTTGAGGACCGGTGCCCGTGACACAGCCTCAGGAGGTCCTGACGAGATGTGCCCAAGGTGGTCAGAACACACTGTAGATTTATACACTCTAGGGAGACATGAGACATCAATCAACATACGTAAGATGAACATTGGTTTGGTTAAGATGAGCATTGGTTTTGTCCAGAAAGGCAAGACAACTCCAAGCAAAGGTAGGAAGACTGGAAGCAGGGAGGGGGCTTCCGGGTCACGGGTAGATAAGAGACAAATGGTGGCATTCTTTTGAGTTTCTGATTAGCCTCTTCAAAGGAAACAATCAGATCTGCATTTCTCTCAGTGAGCAGAGGGGTGACTTTGAATAGAACGGGAGGCACGTTGGTGCTAAGCAGTTCCCAGCTAGACTTTTCCCTTTAGCTTAGGGATTTTGGAGCCCCAGGATTTTCCTGCTTGTGATTTAAACACAGGGCTCCTTTTGGGGCTCCACCCAGGCTGCTGGCCACAGAGACCCAGGAAAACCCTCCACAGCCTGAGGCGAAGTAGGCAGGTGGGGGGCAGGGACAGGAGCAGGGACAGTGGCAGCCTGAGCCCCGGTGAGGCAGGGTGTGCGGTGACCTTAACTGCAGGCAGCAGGGCCTGAAACCAGGGGCAGAAGCATGTGGTTCCCCAGGAGGATTCCAGACTGCCAGCCATGGGGTCCTTGAGGCAGGGAGGATGGCATTTAATTTTGTAAACTCCATGGCACCTGGTTCAGCGCAAGACACACAGGAGTGTGGAAAGAACCGTCTTGCCGAAGATTCGCTCTGCCCACCCCTCCCTTAGTGCTGGAGACAATGCCGTGTGTGGGGAGGCCCAGCACTAAATGTGTTAATGAGTTTTATACGAAACAACTCACATCATGAATGCTCCCTCTACTGCTGAAGACCAACGCAGATGCGCTTACAGCAGGGGAGTGCCCTGCTAGAGCCCTAAGATTCACACTGTCAACAGCTCATGGATGTTTGGGAAACAAGAAGCTCTTTGGAAGCCTCAGGACAAGGCACCCTTCTTGTCCCACAGTCTGCACATTGTCCACCTTAATAAAAGTAATGACCAAAGAGAACTGAATAACCAAATTTTGATTTAGTTGGCTTCTGAGACTATTCTAAACACCTCTTGTCTGTTTTTTGATGGTGACTGTTAGCATGGGATCCAAAACCAAGGTTCTAGGGAAGAAAATCCAAGTTGAGACACCATGGCTATAAGTGGTAGATCATGCCATGTTCTGTGGCTAAAAGCTCCCGGCTACACCCTGGGCAGGTCGGAAAACCAGAGCCAATGGACCCAGATTATAAATATTCTAGTAATACAGGCAACTCTAATTTTAAGCTAACTTTTTGGGAATATGGGTTGCTGTCATTCAAGAATTTCAAGATGAAATTTATATTGTGCTGCCGTGATTAGAAATCGTTGTCCTCCAAGAAAGGGACTCACTCCACTCCCCCAGCCCCCCCACCATCTCCCTTCGTCAAGTTCTGGTTGGTCCAAGGCCAATTCAGCTTCTTCATAAGTAGCCATGTTCTCCTCGGCCCTCTGAGTTTTTCCATAAACATAAACTTTCCGGGCCCTCAATGCCTCACATGTCACATGAAGAACTTGACATTCTCTGACTCTGGTTCCAAAATCTGGACCTAGTGAGGAGATCTACAACAAAGAGAGAAAGAGCTAGACTGTCTTCTAGCTCACATACTTGTGTTCAAAATCACCTAGATGTGTTTGGGAGACAGTAGGTTCCCCAGCATGGAGGACTTGGGGACCCAGAAGGTGGCTGGAAAGTGGGCTGTCCCCTGGCCACAAAACAGAATGGAGGAGGCCAAAGAAGACAGGTGTGGCCCCAGACAGAGGTGACACCCTCACTCCTGCCTGTCTGCTAATCCAGCTCTACCCACAGAAGCAGGGTCCACACCCACAGAGGGAGACGCCTAGGACCCAGATGAAGCCGCTGGAACTGCCTTTAAGAAACACGGAGGAAGAATCAGGGGAAACCGTTTGTCCCACTCGGGAAAGGGGAAGCCACACGTGTGGATGACATCAGCCCAGTCTAGGGGAGGAGAGGCCAATGCCAGTGATAATTAAACTCAGGCTTTTCAGGGAATTACTCAAGATTTGGTTCCTATTTTAATCCAAACATAAAGAAAGCAATGCATTTATTGTTTTGAATTGCATGGAACTACCCACAGCTAAGGACATAGTGGGGAAAGACATTTTTTAAAAAGGAAAGTAGACTGAAAATGGTATTTCAACAATTCTGAAATGACTGTACACATGTAAAAGATTGAACACATAAGGAAGCAGTCATACCTAGTGGGAACCAGGCTTCTGGCTGCCGGAGAATGGAGCGACAGCTACGCAGTGGGGGCTAGAATAAGCCCCGTGTCTTACCACCTTAATAAAGAAATAATGTGGTGTTGGATGGTGACCCAAAGTGTAGAGTAAATATACGAGCCCATGCTGATGCAGATCAATGATTGAGTAATAAATACATCGGGGAGAAGGGACAGGCGTTTTTTATGGAAGAATTACAGAGTACACATAGACATTCCTCAGGGTGGAGATTAGCTGCTGTCTTCTTGACTGCTGGCTCCCTGGGCACTCGCTCCCGCAGAACCGCGTGTGGAAAGGGAAGGCAGTGGGTTTGCAGTGGAGAGATGTGGCCGGCACCACGGAGCCAACGGGATCAAGGTTAACATCGCTGGTGAGGAGGCCTGTCCCTGTCCTGTATCCCCCATATGACGGGACAAGAAAGTGCCTCACCAGGGAGCTGTCCTCCGCAAACCCACAGCCCCAGCCTAATCATGAGAAAACAGCAAACAAACCAAAATTAAGGAACAGCCTACAGACTACGGTGCTCTTCAAAAGGGTCCAGGTCATGAAAAACAAGGAAAATGAAAAGCTGTCACAGAGCAGCCAGAAGATACGATGACTGAGTCCAACAGGGAATCCAGGACAGGATCCTGGCACAGAAAAAAGAACCCTCGTGGGAAGCCTGGAGGAACCCAAATAAAGGCTGTCCCCCCACTAACTGTCACATGGCAGCGTTACTTCCTAGCTGTACGAATGTGCCGTGGCTCTGTGAGATGCTCAGCATTTGGGGAAGCTGGCACAGGGCCTACGGGGTAAATGCATTGGATCTATAGGTTGGTACCTTTCAAGGGGACTCTCTGTACTACATTTGCAACTTTTCTGTAAATCTAAAACTATTTCAAAATAAAAGCTGTATTTAGAAAGACAAAGCATTGCTCTCAGCCTGGCCTGTCTGCCTCCTCTTCCCAGGTGGCCCAGGGTTAAAGAGACCAGGATGTGGATGAGAAGTCCAGCAATCTTGTTTAGTCAGAGAAGACAGGTTAAGTGAATAGGGCACTGAAGAAGTGAGATTTTCTGAGTTTATCACCCTGAAAACAGCCAACAGAGCAAAAGAGTATTTTTAGACTAGACATTCTGTATCTTCATGGCAGCGCATTGGCGGGGAAGGGTTGCCATGGCAACTGCACCCATCTTTCATTAGCTGTCTGAGGGAATAAGCAGAGAGGAGTGCCTGGCACAGATCTCCCCTTGCAGAGGCCAGGGGATGGCTGGAGCCCAGTGGGACAGTGAGCCAGGGATCCTCAATTCTGGCCCAGGAAGGAGGGGCTCAAATGGTGAAGTCTTCTGACCTGCTTCTAAGTGGGAGACTGTAAGGACCAGTCTTTAAATTGAGCAGTGATGACTGAAAGGTGAGGACAAAGTGCATTGGGTTTTATTCGGTGTCGTTAATTAAGAACATACGTGGTCCACATATGTTCTTAAAGGAAAGCATACATTTGGGGAGAATAGGATTAGAAATCTAACTTGCTACTTAGAAAAACAAAAATGAAGAGAGCTGTTCTTGAGATGTAGCCAAAGCTACATAAAATTTCCAGTTTTTTCAAAAAATAGAGAACAGAGACCTTGTGTGTGTGCTGTGCTGCATGGAGAGCCAGCCTGCCAGGAGTGCAGGAACGCGGCACTAAAATGCCACTCACGCATGACGATTGCGAGTATAAAGTCCACAGGAGCTTCTCAAGTATATGAAAATATTTTCCCCAACATTTTTTTTGTGAGACAGAGTCTTGCTCTGTCGCCCAGGCTGCAGTGCAATGACGTGATCTCAGCTCACTGCAACCTCTGCCTCCCAGGTTCATGTGATCCTCCAGCTTCAGCCTCCCTCGTAGCTGAGACTACAGGCATGTGCCATCACGCCTGGCTAATTTTTGTATTTTTAGTAGAGATGAGGTTTTACCATGTTGGCCAGGCTGGTCTTGAACTCCTGAGCTTAAGTGATCTGTCTGGTTCATCCTCCCAAAGTGGTGGGATTACAGGGGTGAGACACCGCACCCGGCCAGTTTGGTTTATTTTTGAAAAAAATTACTTTTTCCTGTACAGAAAGACAGAAACAGTTTCAATTTAAATTAGCATCCCTTATTAAAGGGAGTCTTTATTCCAGTCATTCACCGGACTTGGACGTTGATACTCTTTGTTTGACCTTAGGTAACTTTGTTTGCACAATTCAACAAGGCTTTCCCTGAGAGTATCATGTGTCCATATAAGGAAAAGGAGAGTTAAGTCCACTGTTCACATAGCTCAGGAAGAACAAAAACCAAATATGAATGATCACATTCATTGGGAGCATTTAGGGAATTATCGTATGGAATATTGTGGGGATATTTGTCCCAGTGTTCTCCTTTTCATTTAATGTGTAAATACATTTTAAAATTCATGTAAGTTCAGATAAGTCATGGTGCACTTCTGGTAATGGGATGTGCATTTGGGGAGCTCAGTGAAACACCGGCTCTGCCACACATCCAGGGGACAGTTTAAACAAATACTGTTTGATGCTTATTGGTAACGTAGCTAAGAGTCCTGCAGCGAGGTGACATGCCACTAGCTTATAATTCTGCACTGCCAAGAACACCAAAGTGAGTTGCTGTTTGTCTCCCCTCCATTAAATCAGTATTTGTTCTGTTAAGCAATGCCCCGGCCTGGCCTCGGGTCCAGTCTACCCCTTCCAGCCTCCAGGCCTTGATCCCAACAAGCCAGAGTGTGGCGCTGGGCCAAGTACACACGCATTTTGGTGAAGAGCTTCACTAGGTCCACCTGCATTACTGGGGCAGCAGAAAGGACTGTGAAACACGGCTCCTTAAATCCAACAGTGTGGGTTTGTTCAAAGGTGATTTTCAGCTGTCCTGTGGATACGCAACCCACCAGGAAGACAAGAAAGGACGTGGCTGGAGTGTTCTGTCCGCGATCTGAGGTCACATGTGCTCTTTATCCTCAGTGCAGGGACAGCAGCCAGGTCTGTCATCTCAGAAACATTGGCCTGTAGTTCGTTTGTGGGTTTGCTTTTTCCATTTTCTAAGCCCCGAGTGTTTCCCAGATAAAGGCAGAATGGTGAAGTCTCTCCTGAAGGGAAGAGGGTCTCATGTGAGCCATGCTCACCTCCGAGAGGACACTTCATCTCACCTCATCAGCATCTCTTAGACACGCAGTCTTGCCTCTTTGGGCCTCTGACACCCCTCGGGGCCTTAGATGGGGTTTTTTGGGAAATTCAGGGTTCCTACCCTAAGTCCTCATCTGTGTCATTTTCAACACCACCCAGTACGCACACCCTCCGGCAAGCGGCCACACACACTGCCCCAGCTTCCTTCTCTTCCTAGTGACCTTCCTCCAAAACGCTCTCACGCATCTCCTTGTGGAAAACACAGCCAGCCCGCACAAAGCACCTCGGAGCTCAGCAGAGCCTGGCATGAGTGCAGTGGTGCGATCTCGGCTAACTATGACCTCTGCCTCCGGAGTTCAAGTGATTCTCCTGCCTCAGCCTCCCGAGTAGCTGGGATTACAGGTGCAACGGCCATGTCCCCTTCCAGCTCTCTTGCCCTCAGGCCTCTCTAGTGCAGCTGCCTGAGCCTGGGGCCCCTTCCTCCCTGGCTCCTGCTTGGCTCCTTGGCTCCCGCTCATCTCCCATCCGTGTCCTCACTGCCCTGCCTGACCTCCTGGCCAGGCCACCCTATTCTGTGAGGACTTTGGCATTTGGCTCCTGCCATCATCATGGGATGTCACCTTCTATCCGACAACCAGCCCTCCCGGCTCCCCACAGGGCCGCACCTTGGACCTTGTCACCTGCCTTTTGGAATTGATTGTTGTGACACGGGGCCGACTCCACATAGCTCCCAGTCACTCCTGGGTGTCAGCGCTTTCTGCTGCTTCCAGTGACCTAGGTGCATCTGACCCTCCCCCACATGCTGGCCCCACACTTGGGGACCCGACTTGCCACTCCACCCCACTCCTCTGCACTCCCCCCAGGCCGCCTTCTTAGGGGCCCCAGCCCCAGCAAGGCCTTGGAGCATCCCTGCCACCTCCTGCCCTGGTTCCTCCTGCACCCCACCCCACCTGGACAGTGGTCAGCCCATACGTGATGCAGATGTAGCCTCTAGGAGGAAGCCCACCCTGGCCTCCCCTGCTCCCCCACATCCACAGGGCCCCCACCTGCTGCTCCCAGAAAACCCACCACTGCCCAGGATGCCCCAGAGCCCCGTCCACAGACACTGACCCTAGTGACCTGTGATGTGTGTGGCTTGTGGCTCACACTGCCACCTCCCATCGTCCCGTGGGCTCCTTGGAAGGCTCTGCATGTTTACACCCCAGGCCCAGGTACACGGGAGTGTGCCTCTGCTCACAAGCACATCTGAATAAAGGTTTTCAGTCATGAAGAGACTGCTGTCCTAGGGGTAGAGAGTCTTGCACCCCAGCTCGAATGGGCGACTTGACTTAAGCAAAACCACATCATCCTGAGGGAATGGTGCCCAGAAGGAACCTTGGGTGGTTTTCCAGTTTTGCATCATGAATCTGAATAAATGCTCAGAGAAAATACATCAGACTCAGAGGCGACATCAAAGCCCTCTTGGCCCTCCCGTCTCTCCCAACTCATCTCTCTTGGCTCTGGCCCATTGGCATCTAATGAGCCCCACAGTTGCCTTGGCCAGGGACCGCCCCCTGCTGCCACAGAGGAAGGGGCCTGGGCTGGGGACTCACCATTGTTTTGTGTCTGCCAGACGGCATCTGCCACGCCCCACAGGCCAGAGAATACGAAGAACACTGCCAGATGGTCAGCACGAGGTCTCCACAGCAGTAGGGCAATCATGCAGGACACGTGGGTCACCGCGCCTGGGGGTGCAGAGGGGAAACCGCCAGGCGATGAGGGCCATCATCATGGCCTGGAGGGGCCTGGAGGTGGGTCAGTGCTGGAGCAACCATCTCAACCGTCCTCTGGAACTGTCCTCTGGAACCGTCTCAACCATCTCAACCATCTCAACCGTCCTCTGGAATTGTCCTCTGGAACCATCTCAACCATCTCAACTATCTCAACCGTCCTCTGGAACCGTCTCAACCATCTCAACTGTCTCAACCATCCTCTGGAATTGTCCTCTGGAACCGTCTCAACCATCTCAACCATCCTCTGGAACCATCTCAACCGTCCTCTGGAACCGTCCTCTGGAACTGTCTCAACCATCTCAACCGTCTCAACCATCCTCTGGAACTGTCTCAATGTTTGCTTCATGCTCAATGTTCCCTTAATGCTCTGGAAGTCGTCTTTTTAGTTGGAACCTTGACATTTAATTTGTGAGCTGATGTGTATGCGTGCTGCTAGCTCTAAATCAATGCTCTGCACCATACACCTGCTGCGTGACCCGCAGCCTCAGCCTGGAGGGCCTTGGGTGTGGTCTGGCATCATGTTGGGAAGGAAGGTCACCCTGTCTGGGCCTGAGGTTGCCCCTAAGCTAAGAGGGTTTAAAGTCAGAAAGAGAAGGGCCTTCTCATTAGGTATAAATTGAAGCATCCCAGCACCTTTCCGAGTAGCCAGGGGGTAGGACAAAGTGTGCCCATGGTTTCATCTGAGCCTTCCAAGTAGGGGCATGGGGACAAAAGGGAGGAGGCCACAGACCCCCCAGGCAGGTAGCATCTGTGGGCCCCACCTTGTGACTCGTCCCAGCAGGTCACAGATTTGGGACCCCAATTTCCACAGGCTGTGGCATCTCTAGGATGCAGTAATGAGGCTGCCCATTGACGCTCAAGACGCCACAGAGGAAGAGCAGGGTCTCTGTCAGCGGAAAGGCAGGTCCACACCGCATGCCCCAGGGCTGTGCCACCTTAGGCAAGTCCCTCCACTTCTGCACTCCATGATCTCCTATTTGTAAGGGAACACTGTCTGCTTCACAGGGCGCCGTGAAGACGGATAGGAAACCCCAGGCAGAGCCTCCAGGCTCCATGGCCCTGGCAGATGCTCACCGTGTGCCCTTCCTCTGGCTGCGCCCCCACACCCAGCCCTGCCTGGGGCATTGACATGCCAGGCGCTGTTTTTCGTAGTGCCTGCATTCCTCATTGTTCACGTGATCTCTGACTCATCTCTTCCCTTCCCTTCCCAAGAAAAATGGAAGGTGCTGTGTGTTTAGGGAGGAGTCTGTGGCCTTAGAAGTCTTGTCCTTATCCACTGTGTGAATAGATGTGGAACAGAGCTGCCCCAACCCCAGCGTGTCTTTCCGTGAACCCCATGGCCTCACCACTGGCTTCGTGTCCCTCATTTGCACCTGCAGAGACCCTGCCCTGCCCCACCCTGGCCTGGTCACCACACCGAGTGCCCACTCGGAGCAGGCACTTGCTGTGTGGCCTCATGCCGAGCACAGTGCCTGCCCAGAGCCAGCTTGGGGAGAGATCTGATTCCTGCTTGTTGAGGGGGTGAAGAAAGGACTGAAAGAATGAATGCATCTTACAGGGCGTTACTGATTTCAAAGCAGTTTCAGGGGCACTTTTCCAGCCTGTCCTGACTGTGAGCTGTGCGCTTTTGCTACTGCAAATCGTTATGACAGCTGGGATGGGACCCACGCTGATACCTACCCAGCACGTACAGCACAGCCCTGCCCGTGTACTGCGAGACCTTTCCATACAACACGGAGCACAGCGCGTCAGTGGCCGAGAAGCAGATCATCACGTAGCCGACGAACTGGATGCCCAGGGTGCAGGTGACATAGGACTGGGGAGAGGGGTGCAGAGCCACGTCATGGACGCTCCCAGGCCTCCCGTGCTCAAGCTAAAGCTGCAGTCGGGTGCTTAGAACATCTGCTCTGAGATGGCCAGCAGGCCAGTGTTGCCTACACCTTCCTCTAGGCTCTGTGGCTCCCATGCAGGAGAAAAGCTGGTGTTTGTAAGAAAATCCTGTTTGGGGAGAACTAAAAGGAGGCAGTTTGGACAACTGCAGACAAAATTCTTTCTCATGTATTTCTCACTATTTGCTGTGAAATGGGCACTATTTTATATGGAAGCCAATACACCCTGCCCTTGCTGGGGCCAATCATTACCTGTTAGGTCTAAAGAGAGTTAAAAAAAAAACAGAGAGAGAAAGAGAAAATGAAAAGATTGCCCTGACACCTCTTCCGGGGCCTCAGAGCAGCCCAGCAGCCGGCTGCACATGTGTCTCATGCCCACCGCACCACACTCCCATCACGGGCGACCTCAAGGGCGGGCACGCAGAACAGGGACTGAGACGAGAAGACCAGCCACAGCCACATCAGGGGGGACAAGGACAAGTCCAGTGGAGGAGCAGGAGGGGCTGTCCCCAAAACGCCAAGTAGACCTTTCTGTTATCCTGTTTCTACTCTTTTAAGCTCCTAAGATTCTCCATCAAGGCTGTCCTAAAAGTAGCACTGCCAGATAAAGTTGAGGACACCCACTATGGCCTGGGCATACTCCTGGAGAGACATTTGTGGTTTATCTGAAATTCAAATTCTACCTGCTGAGGTGCTTTTTATCTTGCTAAGTTGGCAGCCTTGCCTGGGAGGGATCTGGAGCAGAGAAGTTTCCTCCGGAAGGAGAGCCTCTGCCAGACACAGGCCCTTGCTGGTCCAGCTCTGGCCCCCAGCTCTCAACAGCCTCCAGGAGTGGCTTCTTTCTTTATGCACCCTGAGGTGGGGCACCGCCTCTCTCACCTTGAGGGGAGAAGGTGGCAGGAGTGGATGGAGCAGAAGCTTCAAGAGCCACATCGATTTTTAGATTGTGAAGCATGATTTGAAAACTAGAGGTGCCAGGCACAGTGGCTCATGCCTGTAATCCCAGCACTTTGGGAGGCCGAGGCAGGCAGATCACCTGAGGTTGGGAGTTTGAGACCAGCCTGACCAACATGGAGAAACCCTGTCTCTACTAAAAATACAAAATTACCCAGGCGTGGTGGCACACGCCTGTAATCCCAGCTACTTGGGAGGCTGAGGCAGGAGAATCGCTTGAACCTGGGAGGCAGAGGTTGCGGTGAGCTGAGATGGCGCCATTGCACTCCAGCCTGGGCAACAAGAGTGTTACTCCATCTCAAAAAAAGAAAAAAAGAAAGAAAAAAAAAAACTAGAGAGATAAGAAATTTTGGTGGTATTCATGGACTTAATGCTTTTCCTATATGTAAACTCTAAAGTAAGAGTGCAGGGTGAGGTCCAGGCAGGGGTAACACCGATGAGTGTCTGTGGGGTGAGTCAGCGGCAGCTGCCCATCCACTTGTTCCGGCTCCTTCCCCAGGAAGACACGGATCAAGCAAGACGTTCTCCCTTGAGACAAGAAGTGGAAGCTCCTGTGAGTTGGAAGTTACTTGGAGGTTGAGACCTTGAATCATAAACTCAGCTATGGTAGCACTGGGAGCATAGGACCCCGCTCCCTCCAGCCCCAGCCCTGGGCAGGTGGCCTGAGACACTCTGCGGTCCTGCAGGTACAGACACAGGCAAGGCAGTGATGCCACGCATGGCCTGAGCCACCGGCCCTCACTTTCGTTCATACCCTTGTGTATTCGCTGGAGAGGAATCCTTGCTGCAATCCACTGTACAGCGGCAGCAGAATTAAGAGGCACAGACGTTTATCTCTATATAGCTTGAAAGTCGACAGTAAAGTGGACCAGAAAGGTACTGATTTCTTCTCTCCTTCACTTTCCCGCTGAACATCTCGTATGGGTTGGAGGAACGCAGCTATCATCAGGACAGCCAGGACACCACTCCCTGAAAGGACATAGCAAAGGCTTCAGCTTTCATGGGGGCCCAGAGGCAGGGTGCCTGGCAAGGATTTGTTTCAGTCACTCATCCTCCTCTCGCGAGGGAGGGCTAATTCAGATCCAGATTTCAGGCGACATTAGACACAACATGCTTAAGGATCTCAGGTGTCTAGTTGCACTTGATCGTGCTGATTCTCTGATTACCTCAAGACTTACCGGCTTTCACATGAAACCTGCCACAATAGGTCAGTATTGTCCTCACCGGCATAAAATACAAAAAATTCCGGAGCGACCCCAGAAGTTCTGAGTGTCCTTAACCATTGGACTCTGCTTCTCATTCTAATCCCCAACGCAATTTCTAACAGGAGACAGCTTTTTATTGATTTTTTTTTTAGGATAATGATTCCCACAAGGTACCATTTGCTACACTTTTGTTTATTTCAAATAAACAATTTTGTGCAAAAGTCCTCCAATAAGAACTGGTTAAAGATATTAAGGGGTATCTGAACTACAACAGAATGTTGTGCATTTGAAGAAAATAAAAAAGAAGCTCTTTATACACGGATGGGAAAATCCCCCACCATAAATGGTAAAAAGAGAAAAAACAAGCAAGATGCAGACCTCTGTGTAGAGTGCGCTACCAATTGAATTTAGTAAGAAAGGACATAAAGATGTGCTTGTTTATATGTGCATTAAATATGTCTAGGAATAAAGCAGGCATGGACTTTCTATGGGTGCAGAACGGGGTCTGAGGACGGCAGTGAGAGGGAGACTCCCCACCGCACACCCTTTTACAGTGCAGTGCTTGCCCACCCAAAGGGGTTCATTCCAAGGCCCCAGCGGATGCCTGAAACCACGGGTGGTGTCAGACTCTACATGTACCACGGATTTTCACTCTGACAGCAGAGGTGGCTACTGAGAGACTATGGCCCGGGGAGCATCTATGGTGCGGACACGCTGGACAGAGGGAAGGGTCACAGCCTGGGCGGGGTGAGCAGGACGGCAAGAGATTCCATCACACTACTCAGAACAAGCGCAACTTAAACCTTATGAATTATTTATTTCTGGAATTTTCCACTTAAGGTTCTCAGACCGCAGCTAGCCTCAGGTCACTGAAGCCACACAAAATGAAATGGGGACAAGGGGGACTCCTGGATTTGCATTTTGAACTATATAAATGGGTTATCTATACAAAAAAATATTTTAACTATTCATTTCATCCATGAGGAAACATCCTGTACTTTCTCATAATTCCAAAATATGACTAAATCTCCATCTGCCCACCACTTTATTATTTGATCCACCTCAATTTCTGTCGATGGAGAACTGATGTTTATTTAGGCGTTTCTCACTTTACTAGAAGCCCTTTCGTCCCCTCATGATTGTAAGTGCCGTCTGTGATACCATTGCATCTCCACTGTTTTCCTCCCACCTGGCAGTGGTAATGATACACAGTGTTTGGGGCACCACAGATGACTCAAGAGTGGTGGCGATCCTTCCCTTCTCTCTGGGCCAGAATCTTTCAGAACGGTTCATTTCTACCTCCGAGAACTTAGACCCCTGCTCCTCTAAAGACGACGGGAATTATCCTATCTTACTGTGCCTGACCAACCTTATCTAGTGCTTTCTCTCTCAGCATCAGTGTCCTCGTGTGACCCATGCAGTGGACTTGCTGCAGCACTGTGCCCGGCAGCTGAGCGTTCCTGAAACTGGGAGGTTTGCAAAGCCAGCTCTCTTCCAAGCTGTGTGCAGAAACAGCAGAATCCTAGCACCTGTCTCAGAAAGCACCATTGGTAATGTGGTTCCACCTAGAAATGCAGATTTATTTCTAGGCTTTACTTTCCGTTATCTGGCTACTTTCCATCTTGGCTAAACATATTCCCCTTCCTATTTCATAACTCAAGATTCTCATGAAGTTTGTGAAATTTCGTATGAAAGCAGGACTCCTGCTGCCACAGGTGTTTCTTGGTCACCCTTGATTTTCCTCTGTGTTGTCCTGGCCACCATGTGGTCTGGCAGGTTGTCACGCCTGCACAGGAGGCCATAGGGTATTTACAATGATCAGGGCCCCCTTCCAAGCCGACCCCCTGAGCTGACTGTGTGTAGACCATGTGGAAAAGGCACATTTTTCCTCCACTCACTGAAGGCAGCGCCTTCTTCACAATCTCGTCTTGTGGGCCAGGACTTCAGTGTCAAGCAGCCCAATAGGACACAACCTACAATCTCCCCGAAAGCCTTGTGGGAAGGGGAGAGGCAGGTTATGAACACAGAAGCCACACCCCTTTGTTCAGAATTATGTATGTCCGGGTGTCATGTGACTCAGAGCCTTCTGTGGGGCATGAATTGGGGGATGCTGCACAGCTGTGTCCTAAATTCTAAAGAGAATGGCTCTTTGCAAGAAACTTGACTATGAATGCAATGCTCAGAAACCCAGGAAAGTTACCCAGGGAGAGGGTGTTCTTGTTCTTTTAGGTCCATTTTTCTCTCTTCCTATGTTTTTCTTTATGGAGACATGGTCTTGCTTTATAGAAAAGGACACACACAGGATCCTGCAGGACTGTTACAATCACAATAGTAAGACCACTTCTTCATTTACATGTGTGTGATCTCTGCTCTACATAACTTCTAGACTTGGACTCCCTTAGGCTGCGGGATTCCGTGAACCGAGATGGGGCTGTGGCCAGAGAGCACACTGGGGGTAACCCTGCAGGGGAGGTTCCACAGACAACAGCCACCTGCGGAGGACAGCTGGCAATGAAGGGCCTGGAAGCCACAGAGAAGCCTGTGCTGTTCCTCTAGAGCAGGGGCCAGCAAACTATGGCCTGCGGGCCAAAGCCTGCCCACTGCCTGCTTTTGAAAATAAAGTTTTATTGGCATGCAGGCATGCTCATTTGCTTACATGTTGTCTATGGCTTTTTCCCATTACAAAGACAATGTTGAACAATTGCAACAAGGACCATATGATCCTCAGAAAGATACTTACATGTAGGAATATTTGCTGTCAGCCCTTCACAGAGGAAGGCTGCAGCCCCCACTCCAAAATTCTGTTCTTTTATAGATAGGAGAAGTCTTTGTTGGTGGCTGCCTAACTGGAATTTGTGGAGCTGGAAGGAGACCTGATGGTCTTGACTCAGCTCAATGTCCCCGAGTCCCCCAGCCTCCTAGTTATGTAGAGGAGGTGGTGAGGGGAAGTGTTGGGGAAGCACAGGCCTGGCTGGTCCCTGGGACCATGTTGATGGGAACCTTGGGGCCTGCTGGGAAAACATGACCACAATTCCAAGTCAGCAGAGACTTGCAGACCAGAGAAAACCGTGGCTCCTCCTGACTCCCTGTCCACACCTTCCACTCACTTCTGAAACCCTCAGTCTGGGCCTTGCACACGAGCACCCTCCCCAGGTTGCTCGCCTGATGGGCATCAACAGCCTCTCACTGGCTAAGAGCCTCGTCCAGCCTCCCCCCTGAGCCTCCTAGGGGCCCTGCCACACTCAACACTCTCAAACCCCCTCCCCAGCTGATTCTACAACCCTGGTGTCCTCCAAGACCCTGGTTTGGTTTTCTGTCTCCTTCCAAGGCTCCAGTTGTCTGCCTGGCCCTCAGTGTTGCTGAACCAGGGGTCCAGCTATACTCCCTTCTCTGTAACAATTCCCTCTGCTTTTTCTCCCTAAGAGCCTCATCCCTGACATGATTCCAGTCACCATGTTGGAAGATGCCTCCACGTCCACACTTGCATTGGCCTCTGGCCTGAGCCCTGCACGGCGTCAGACTGCCCACTGGACACTATGCAAGAGTCCCACTGCGTCCTCAAGCCAGGTGTTCCCGGCCTGAGCTCATCTTCCTGTCAACCCCAGGGCTGTCTTCTCTTCCCCACACCATGTCCAACCCACACGGACCCTGCTGGCCTCTCTCTCAGCCCCTCCATCTCTGCCTCCCCGTACCTGCTCCCTCCTCTGGACTCAGCACTCCGTCCTCAGTGGGTCTCTGCCCGCTGTCTCTCTGCACCTCTAAGTCACGCTGGCATGGGGTCTGTCAAGAAGGCAAGTCTGCACTCGTCCAGACCCTTTGGCACAACATCAAGGGCCACAGCTAGTCTTGTGCCCCATTTCTGCCCCTCCACCTTGCCCCCAGCCCTGCGGGCTCTTCCTGGACATCTCGCCTCCAGGGACTTCAGCATCACTTCCCTGCCTGGCCAAATCTTGCTCATTGTCCAGACTCGGCTTAGGGACCACCCGCCCTTGGAGGCTTTCCTGAAACTCCGTGCTCCAGGGAGATGCAGCTGCAAGTCAGCTGGGAACTGTGCTCAGAACACTGTCGGACTGGTCTCGGTTAGTTGGGTGTGTGTCTGCCTCCTTCACTAGGCTCTCAGCTTACTAAAGGCGAGCTTCTAGTCATCTGAATGTCTGGACCAAGAAGGCCTAGCATGGCCTAGCACGTGCTCAGTACACTTTGTCGACTTCCAGCGATAGCTTTACAAGTGCTCACTCAGAGCCTCTGATGTGGAAGTGGCCTGAGGGGACCTGAGGTTGGTGCCGCACATCATCTCAGCATGAGGAAAAGCTCTGCAGTGCCCACGAACCCTCCTCACCTCTGACCCCGGCAGAGTGCAGGAGTTGGTACCCCCAGAGCTCACAGGTGCCAGGCCTTTGATCTTTAAGAAGGACCCATTCCAAGGCCTTTATGAATCCCCAAATCCAAGAATGACAAAGAATATATATATATATATATACATATAGAAATATATACGTGTATATGTATATGTACATGCATATATAAATATGTGTGTGTGTGTGTGTGTGTATTTTTTTTTTTTTGAGATGGAGTCTCGCTCTGTTGCCCAGGCTGGAGTGCAGCAGCGCGATCTTGGCTCACTGCAACCTCCACCTCCCGGGTTCAAGTGATTCTCCTGCCTCAGCCCCCCGAGTAGCTGGGATAACAGGCATATGCCACCATGCTCGCTCAGCTAATTTTTGTATTTTTAGTGCAAATGGGGTTTCACCATGTTGGCCAGGCTGGTCTCGAACTCCTGACCTCAAGTGATCTGCCCGCCTCAGCCTCCCAAAGTGCTGAGATTACAGGTGTGAGCCACCATGCCCAGCCAAAAAAAAAAATATTTAAATTATTTACAAAATGGTTTTTAAAACTCTCTAAATGTATCCCCTTCAAAGTTGTAATAAACCTTTGACTATAACACTGAAGTCACATATGAAACTATTACATAACATTCTCTATTAAAATGAACTTCTAAGAATGAGCCTCGTCATGACAATTAACTTCCTTTGGGCAGCCCTTTCACCATGAGCTTGCAACGTCTCCAGCTAAGGTGCAACAAGCACTTGGGAGCACTCGCCCCTCTAGCCTTTCCACAGAAGGTACTCAGCACATTTCTCAGAAAAAAAAAAAAAAGTGGCTTATAGCAATTATGGATGTTCAGGGCCCCTTGGCCACAGCTGAAACACAAACAGTCAATCCCAGTGCCCTAGCCAGCCACCAAGCTGTCTGTAATGGTAGCCGCCAGCCCCCGTACTGCTGAGCACTTGCAGTGTGGCTGGGAGACTTAGGAACTGAAACTTTAATCAGTTAAGATGTAAACAACCACAGTGCTTAATGGCTGCTGTGTTGGGCTCTGGAGATGTATAACAATCTCATCACCCCAGGATCCTCTGTTAGACAGCACGGGTGTACTGCATTTGATTCATAAGAACACCGCCTGCATATAATCCAGACCAATACATTTTGCAAGGATATTTCAGAAGAAGAGAGATTACTTTTACATTGGGAGAGACAGTCTTTGTCAGCCCAGGAAGGAGGCTTGGCTCTGCTTTGCTAGGGACCCTGCCCTGGGCCGATGGAGCTCGTACCAGTGTAGATGCCCAGGAGGGTGTAGACCAGCTGCTGGGAGGGCCTCTGGGTGCTGTTGGTGGTTGTGGTGGCCATCAGGCAGTCACTGGCCCCACAGGACGTGAGCTGCTCTTCTGGAAGGGTCTCTATGAAGTCAGAGTGGACAGGAGACATGAGATGACGGCAAATGTGACAAGATGTAGGTTCTTGAGAAATCAAAGTGACAGTGGAAAGGACATTGGACACCTGGGGGGAGGCATCACTACAGGTCACGTGGAAAGACCCAGTGTCTCAAAATAGATTTAGATCGAGTCTAGGCACATGTCCCTAGACTCGATTTAAGACACTTTGGGAGGTGGAAAATCCTATTCGTGTTCTGCAAAGATTCAGGGAAGAATGAACTTGGAAAAGTGCTGGTTACTTGTTTTACTGCTTTTCTGACATAATTAAAATTTTTCAAGTTTTCAAAATTAGTCAAAAAGAAAAAAGTACATGAGATTGGGTGCCAGGAATGCTGGATTCTCTTTCAGATTCATCTGTTACCAACTCAATGACTTTGGGCAGGTGATTTCATAACTTTTCTGTTTTTGAAAACTAACGTTAGTTCTGTGATCTCTTAGAAAAATACAATTTGAATTAGCAATGACTCTCAGTCAGAAGTCCTGTCAGAATCTCTGGGGAAAGGAGAAAGATGTGGTGGGAGAAAGAATATTCAGTGTTTTTATTATTTTAATAACACAAATTATATAACAGACAGCTTCACAAAATCTTCTAGGTGGGTGAGATGTGCAGCTGATAAGAGAAGGTACAAGAAGGTGGAGAAGCACACGACGCCCTCCAAATCCCTCCAGCCCCAGATTCTGTGTCCTGTGCTGACTTGGAGAACTAACTCACCTGCAGAAAGGTCTTCGAAAGAAATGCCTGTTCCTCCACTTCACTGGCCGTGATATGCAGACTGAGCTGTAACCCCAGTTTCTGTTTCATTGTTGCTGACACCAACAGCAATAATGAGTAAAAATTGCTATGCATCACCTTCACGGCTTCCCTTCTTCAAATGCACTTAGCAGGCATGACATCGCATGAGAAAAAGGGAGAGGGGTTTTGGCTACAGAGTTTACCAAGCGTGGGATTTTTATGGGATAGCAAGATGGAGAACCTTGATGAAGTGATAGAAATAGTTGTGATACTAGTCAGGAGGGCTGGATTGGTTTTTACCCCGTTGGGAAAGTTTTCCTGTAAGCATGAAAGAGATGTATGTCCTCTGCCCTGTGCTTAAAGCCTCAACGTGGGCACTAAGGTCATGGGCACAAATGAGATATGCACTTTATATTTATACCAGGGCAAGGTCGGGTAGAGACAGAGGAGCCAGGGCATCAGCCCATCCAATGTCCACATCTGTCATGGGATAAGGGGCCTGTCATAAAACATTTGAAAATCTGGTCATTGTATCAAGTCACAGGGAAAAGAAATCAGGCAACCCCATCCTTAGTCTAAAAAGGACAGTTGTGCAGTTGAGACTCCATGAACACAAATTCTACTGGCGTGGCCCTCAGTTTCCCATGGCGCCCTCTCCCAAGGGCTCCCCTGCCCCTGCGGAGGCACCTGTGGAAGACGCAGATCTTCTTCAGTCCCACCCGACTGTCCAGAAGACAGCAGGTAACAGGCAACTCTGAAGCACAGGCAGGTTGAGAATCTCACCTGTGGGGCCTGACTCACCTGCTCAAGTTACAGAATCAAGGCAGGTGTGCAACTGAAATCAGGAACCCTCTCCCCCATCACTGAAACCCCTGCTCCACTTGGAGACAATTGCTTGCCCCTTTTCCTTTTACCTTGGCTGGGAGTCTGGCCAAATACCAGCGATGAGATCAAGTTGCCCCACACACCGGATGACTGGAATATGAGGAAGAAGATGCCAAAATACTGGTTCACCATGTCTTTGCCACGCTTTCCCGCCTTCTCTGCATGTGTGTTTCCCGTGATCGTGAGGTATGTGCACTGTGCAGACCACAGCGGGGCGGCCCCGAGTCCCAGCAGTATGGAGGTGGGGATCAAAGTGTACCTGTGGGTAAAATGCAGACCCATAGCCTGTAACAGGAGACGCAAGCCCATTGCACCCATGTCCCTGCAGTTCTTTAGTCAATCTGGGAGAAGGAACCACCGCCTGGCCCATTGCAAGCGTGGTGATGAGTGTTGCTGGTTGGATGGATGGATTCACCATTACACTCAGAAAAATGAGCAATATCAGTGCATTTCCTAGCTTGGACTGATTTGCAAAAGTGAAATTGAAGCCAGTGAGGCTCCTTGTATCGGATGCGATTGCAAACAACAAGGTGAGGAGCACGAGGGAGGCGAGGAGCACGAGGAAGGCGAGGAGCACGAGGGAGGCGAGGAGCACGAGGCAGGCGAGGAGCACGAGGCAGGCGAGGATCACGAGGGAGGCGAGGAGCACGAGGCAGGCGAGGAGCACGAGGGAGGCGAGGAGCACGAGGGAGGCGAGGAGCACGAGGCAGGCGAGGATCACGAGGGAGGCGAGGAGCACGAGGGAGGCGAGGAGCACGAGGCAGGCGAGGAGCACGAGGCAGGCGAGGATCACGAGGGAGGCGAGGTTCACGAGGGAGGCGAGGAGCACGAGGGAGGCGAGGAGCACGAGGGAGGCCGAGGATCACGAGGGAGGCGAGGAGCACGAGGGAGGCGAGGAGCACGAGGGAGGCCGAGGGACAGCCCCGGTTAAAAAGACCTAGTGACCGGCTCGGGCCTCAGCGGCGGCATGCCATGTAAGACTCTGCAGCTACCGGGAAGAAGGACTTGCAGCCATCATCAGCAGCATGTCCTGGCACAACCAGGGTCCCTGGAAGAGATGCTCCATGGCTGTGTTCCCGGGGCCTGGGGTGCAGGCCAAAGCCCTCAGAGCTCAGTCTCTGTGGTCCATCTCACCAGGGAGCAGGGTGGCCTCCCATCCCTGTGACCTGCCCTGGCCATACCCACCTCCTAATGGTGGGCGAGGTGCAGCTTTCGGTCCATTGGTGACATCTGCCTAGGTGCCCACGAGACTCACCATCTGCATTGCAGTTAGAGTCCCCTGTGTTACTGGAACCCTCGCCCAGCCAGGGGAGCTGAGGACCAGGACGGATCCCAGGGAGAGGCCAGCATCGGGGATCGGGAGGAGGAGACAGAAGCAGTGGGGGGCACAGAGGAGCCTTGGTGGGAAAACAGGAAGGAAGCCCAGCACCGTCTGTCACCAAAGCGAGGCGGGGGTGCAGGGGCAGGAGAGCTCATTTTAAAATGCCTGCAGTGAACAGTAATCAGGTGCAAATGCAACTCATGTGCAGAGTGAACGTCCCTAGCGTGGGGAACGGCCGGGGTGGGGTGGGCAGGGGGTGGTGGCTGCGTACCAGCTGGCGAAGAAGTTGCCCACGGAGAAGGCCACGTAGCCACACATGGAGAGGATGATGGTCCCCTTGCAGCCCAGCCTCTCGATGAGGAGCGGTGGGAGGAACATGGAGGACAGGAGCATGCCTCCATAGAGGGTGCTGAGCGCTGTGACACCCAGGCCCTCCTCGCTGTACAGGCTGCTCTGTGGGAACAAAGCCAGCCCTGTCAGAGCACAGGATGGACACAGCGGGATGAGGCACCAGCAGGTCCTCAGTGTCCCCCAGGCTGGAGGCCGCCACAGCTCCCAGGAACCGCCAGCCACAGGCTTGCTGCCCTGGGAGCCTCCTCTGAAGCTGGTGGGAGAAAAGTGCAGGTGAATTCGGAATAAAGCAGTTAGTGTGTCTAAACATCAGGGAGTGAAGGCCCGGCACCCCTGTGAGTGCTTGCGCCGGGGCTGGATGGCTGTGAGAGCCGCTCACGCCTCTGTGGACACCTGCCTGAATCTCAGCTGAGAACAGGACAGTGTGACAGGATGGGGCTGGAGACTCTGCCAGAACTCATCTGTGAGGAGCCTGCGTGCTCCCAGGGAATGTAAGGGGTCCTTCAGCCCATGGGGAGGCCCGAAGGATATGAAGCAGCTGAGTGCACATGAATGATTTCTTCCTTCACCAAATATCCATCGCCCGCCTCCGAGTGCCCGTCACTGTCTAAGGTTTGAGAATGGACCAGGGACGTGGCCCTCGTATCCTGGAAACTGCAGGCCGCCACCACTGGTGGAGACAACCCGGGCAGGCACACACCGCCACGAGGGTGCTGGGTGCCCCATCCAGACCTCAGCTCCAGGGCAGGGTGGGGAGAAGGAGGTGACCTCCAAGTTGAGAGCTGAATGAGAACTTGGAGGCCTGCAGCCAGAAAGGGTGAAAGGAGGTGGTGGCTACAGGGGGAGGTGCCACAAAAGAGCGTCCTTTGTCCTTGGACGAGGGGACCTAGTCCAGACCAGGGTGAGGACTCAGGAGAACTCTCTGGAATGAGGCCCTGTCTTCTCACTGGGGCTGCTGAGCTCTGAGGAGGGAGCCTGGGGATGCATGTGCCTTGTTGGGGCCTGAGAGCGAAGCCAACCCCATAGTAGCCTTGGGGTTCTTGGAGAGAGGTGGGCTCGGCTCCTCAGCATGCTGGGGCAAAACCAATCCTGAGTCACTTCTATCTGAACACTCTGTGTTGCCCATGCCAGTCCTGAGTAGCAGAGACAGCTGTCCCAGTTAGAGGGTTAAAGCACGTCCGCATGCTCAAGGTCAGCTGCCGACAATAGGCCCGGGTGGGGCCTCGAACCAGGGTGGAGCTGGAGTGGAGGGGACCCTTCCACAGTCCTGGGGCCCTGCAGAGAGGGAGGTCTGGCTCCCCTGCATCTCCAGTCTTTTGAGAAGGAAGGGCTGACATCATGAGACAGCAGCTCCCACTTCCACCAGCCCAGGAGGAGTGGGAAGTGCTGGCGGGGCGTGGGACAATCTACTCCCCAGGCAGCTGCTCACAGCTGCGGAGCTCATCCAGATGCCACCATGAGTGATTCCCCAATGAGGCACCCCCAAACTGGGGCTGAAGAGGCAAAGGGTTGTCTGCCCGCATTTGCCCACAGCCTTGGGTCCTGCCGTCACAGCCTGAGAGGAGGGACCCCTGGCAGCTCCCAGCCCCCTCCAGCCCCCTTCCTCTGGCTTCCAAGTCCAGAGGCCAATTTTCAGACAGTGGCTGAGCCACAGCGGATCCACCAGAACTGGTTCCTAGGAATGCTGACCCCAGGGGAGCTGTCGGTTCCTAGGAATGCTGACCCCAGGGGAGCTGCTGTGCCAGGAGGACAGCAGGGTCTCCTTCTGCAGGCAGGTGAGCTTTCTAAAGAGAAAGGGCTACTGACCAGTCCACATCCTTGAGACTCCCTCCTTCCAGAAAGTGCACACCAACCACATTCAACATGCACTCACCTCAACCCAACAGGCATTTCACTCACACCAGCATTCTGTGACAACAACACAAAGTTCTGGGCAAAGCAGGGACTCCAAAAGTAATGAACCATTGCGGCAAGAAAAGAGACTGTGTTCCCTTCCACTTGACTTTGAGAGTCACTGTTGGCTGCCATTTTATCCTCTGTAAGCCTGATCAGAAATAGAACCAGATAGGAGTTCAGCAAAAGGAAACATTACTTGAGAATTCAGGACTGAATTCCAGCTTCCTTGGCAACCCAGGAGTCCCAAGTGTTTGCACAACAACAGTGAGAGGAGAAACCTCGGATTCTGAGTTCCCAGGTGTGCTTTTCTGGTTCCATACTATGCACACAGTAGGTGCCCAATTCTTATTCTTCATTGACGAACCATGTAAGACCACACTAATTTGTCATCAGAAGCTCTGAAATGTTTTATGTGACCACACCAGGCCACAGGGTACAACACTGTGGCAATGAATAAGCCGGGGGAGTAACAATAGCCCTGCTTCCTGACCAGCCCTTGGAATTCCCTGGAATTCAGACTGGAATCCAGGTAAAGATCAGACTTGAAATGTAACCAGCTTGGGAAAATGTGTCAGGTCTATGTCTAGGTGCACATGATGAATGCTGCAGCCTTTCGGAGAATGCCGTTTGGCTTTTTCATGGGCTCACGGAACTATGGAGGAGAGCATGCCATAAGGAGTTCAAAGTATAGAGAGATCATGTTGTCAAAGTTCACAGTTTAGCTTAGAGTAGGCTTGGAATGTATAAGGTCTAGTGACATTTGATAAATTCACATGGCTGCCCCTAACCACAAAGCCAAGGGCATCCAATCAATCATAGAATTCACAATGACTTTTCCTGTGTCTCCTTTTAACCACCCAAAGGCAAAGAATGTCCCAACAAATCACAGTCCCAAGACCCCTGCTGTCCTTGTCCAAGAGCAACGTGCACCTCGCTGTTGTGCAATCCTATTGAGACGTGAGTGGGAACTGCTCACTGTAGGACTGCATCTGAGAACCACTGTTTGTTTTAGAGGATTTGGTACAGAGTGAAAAAGAAACACCAGGTGAATTAGATTTTTCAAATTTCCAATTCATTATTGTCTGTGACCACAGGGATTCTTGGAGGCCAAGAAGTTCAGGTAATTTGATGACCGGACACACATACCTGCAGGCTCTGCAGACCTCCATAGGCTGTAAAGAGAAGCAGGAACCCAAAGGAAACCACAAGGACGTTCCTTAGACTTCTGTCCATTGTGCTGGATGAAAAGATCAATCACCAGTGAACACGTAAATTTGTAGCTCCCTAAAAGAAACCAATTGAGGCATGGGAAAAACAATCAGTACCAAGAAGTCCCATTCTCTCTCTCATCTGAGCTAGAGGTGAAATGTTAGAGGTGTGTTAGTCATTAAGACTGTCACTCGTTAATGAACTTGGTTATCACTGACCCCATGAAGCATACGGGAGCTCTGTTACTCATTTACCTTCTCTGTGATCCACAATGTCCACTTTGTATGGGGCAAAAGATCATTACTCTTACCAGCTTCTAGTTAATTGCGCTTTTTTCCTATTAAATTCTAATAGACATGGTCCAGATGGTAAAGTGATATGTTTCACTTTTTATGTGTATATAGAATAGAACCTTCCACAGTAAGAGAAACTGTCAGAAGTTGTCAGTGGTGCAGAATGAGGACTTCAGTCTTAAAGAACAAAGCATAAATGTCAACTTCAAGACACATAGTTCAACTTCTGAAAAAGAGCTAACGTGATTGTAAGATCCTGGGGCCAAAGTCTTAGTATTGCAAAGACTGTACAGTTTCACAACACAGTACAGCAATTATTAAAAGAAAAAACAACTTACATGAGTATAGTACTTTACAATATGCAAAGAATTTCATGCATTATTTCATGTTACCAACAATAGTGCTATGCTAATGATCATTAGAAATCTTAGACCCATTATAAGACAGGAAACAGCTTCAGAAAAGTTAAATGATTTGGTATTTTGGTCTGGGGCAGTGTTGTCCAGTATGGTAGCCACTCGCCACATGTGACTATTGAGTTCTGAAATGTGGCAAGTGCAACTGATAAAATGAGTTCACAACTGCATCTCCTTTTAGTTAATTACAATTAAAATTTAACCACATGTGGCTAGAGACAACTGTATTAGACGGGGTAAGTCTGGAGCTTTAAGCAACTTACCACAAATGTCATAGCTAATAAGCAAGAAAAATTATTTTTATTCAATTATAAGTAAAACTTGATGTCTGCAGATTGTTTCCAAAGTTCTGTGAAGTCAGCCATTTCTGTCTAGATTAGATCTATAAGGCAAATCTCGCAGGTAAGTCTAGCATCCTGGCAACACTACTCAGGGAAGCTTGCCAGACCATCAGAAGATCAGGGCCAATGATAAATGGGGTAAAGTTCTTGTCACTTAATGTATTTCAGTGAAAATGAAAGTTTTATGAAAACAATAGCTTTTTATATTAACTAAACATGGACTATCATGCTTACATAGACATAAGAGCCACGCAGTCTAGCAAAGGGATTCTGAGCATGGAAACAGATGAGCTCCACGGGTTCACACCCTAATCCTGTAATTTGTTAGCTAGGTGATCTCAGGTGGGTCACTGAGTCACCGAACCTGTTTCCTCTTTAAAAAGGAGGGTTGCAAAAGTTCAAGACTTGGATAATTTTGAAAGCCCCTAGAACAGCACCCGATATATAGCAAAAATGTTAACTTCAAGATACATATATGGTTCAACTTCACCAATAAATGTTATCACCAATAAATGTTAATTGACTAAGATGATATTTTGACTTTCAGAGACAATACAAATTAGAATAATATGTAAAGAAATTAGCATAATGTGGACTTCTTCATACTAACCGTGTTATCGATCAATCAACTTGGACCTTATTTTTATTTTTTGGCAACACTTTAGTTTACTTCAGTTCTGGCCTCTCATTAGTTCCCATGGATGACCTGTATTTTGATATTAGAGGACCTTCCTGATGTTTTATTGCACTGTCTGCTGGTCTTTCTCCCTTGGTTGCTTCAACTCACCAGCCCCATCCTCTAGGACTCGCTCTCTGGCTCTGGGGGCTGTTTCCAGAGGCTGCTCTTCCCCTCCCCTTCACCAGCCTATGCCTTCTAAGGAGCTTCCCTTTGTGCACAAATAAACCTGGTCTGTTTCCATCCTTCCCAGCCACACCCTCCCTGTCCCTCCAGCACTTCTACTAGGATTGAATTTCTGAAACCATGGCTTCAGTTACGTCTGCTTTTTCTCTCTTTTCCTCCCAGTTCCTCCCCTTTATCTATGTTAAAAGGGATTTTTTTTAAATGAACAGTATATTTCACTCTCTGCCTTTTCTCTGTAGCAGAATAAAATGCTTCTCTTAGAGGAGATAATTCCCAGCACCCCTCAGTGTTCCTGTGACCAGGGCAGGTCTTAGACATGGTCCCCCAGTGGTCTCGTCATAAACAAAGGGACACTCTTATCTTACCCGACCCCTGAGGCTGCCTTCCCGCAGCCTACACATTCCTGCAGACATGGAGTTGCCTGAGGGAAGAGAGTGCAACCTCTAGAAACCCAGAGCTGGCTTGGCTCTCAGAGCTGGTTTTGGCGTTATGAGCTCTGTGTGTGCACTGGAGCCATGGCCTGGCCCAGGGCTGACCTGCCAAAGGCCAAAGACGGGTACGTGTAAAGGATTTAAAAGGTGTCAATAGCCACTTCAGTCCTTAAAATTAACATCTGGGCTCTATCAGCTTGAGAAAAGAGGTGGTTCTGTAGATCTGCTCGAATCTGCAGGTCACTCATTGGACGTTAAAATGACAGATGCCCTGGGTGATACAAAGCTCAGAGCACGCGTGTTCCGGAAAACCGAGACTTCACCAGCCACTAGATGGCACCGTTTTGCTACGGCTGAGTTCACCACAGGCGCCATGCGTTCTTCATGCTGTAGAATCACCTTGTAAATCACCAAACTTCCTGCCAAGAATCTAAAGATTAATTTAAGGGAAGTCTACCCAATGGTTTGCTTTTTTAAGGAATGTACTCATGTAAGCAAATTAATATCAATTTTCTTGACATTTACATCTGAAATCTTTGTTAATAAAAGCAATACCAAATAAACTCAAATGTATCTTACATCTTTTTATCCACATAAAGATGAAGAAGGTATCTATAGGGAGTAGAATGAGTTCTTGGCTACTTTAGGGAATTTCACACTTTGGAAATAAATGTACTCATGCTGTGTGTGTGTGTGTGTGTGTGTGTGTGTGTGTGTGTGTAAGGAAGAACAATTTGTGCTAACACAACCATGGCTTGAGAGAGTATTTTCTCTTAGCAAATGTTCCAAAGCATCTTAAATCTTGGCGGGGGCTGACCACTCCGCCTTCCCCTGGCTAGACAGGCCACCTCCTGAGCTGAGCGGGCATTCGGGGCTCTGGCTTCTTCCTCGGCCAAGGAGAACCCAGAGAGCCAATCAGAGAAAAAGCTTTGGGGCCAGTTGGCTATGTCAGGCCCTCAGCCAAGACCCTTAGCTAATTTCCATTACTTATCAGAGAGGGCAGAGACCCATCGTGTGGCAAGCCTGGCTGGAAATACTCCCATCCTCACACCATTTGTGAATCCTCCCAGCTTCCACGGTGTGGTTAAAGCTGCTGGTGATGTCCTGGGATTCTGGGTCTTTCTCTCAGCCCACGTCTCCACCTGGGACATGTGAGTGGCCTGACCACCCAGCCAAGACCGTCAAGGGCCTGCAGGGTCCCTGAACAACAGCATCTGATTGGGCTAAGGCACCCTCATTTTGCACCAGAATGAAGGAGAGCAGCAGCTCTGTGATTGATCACCGTCTTCCACTCTCCCTGTCAGGGCGGCAACGCTAGGTGAGCCCGAGTGCGGAGAATCTGGCCTGTTCCACTCTCATAGTCAGGGGGATCGTGTAGGTCCTGGTTCAGAACACACTCATGTGCACAGTGCACACACACACACACACGCATGCACACACGCATGCACACACACACATATGCACACACATGCACACACACACACACCCTTTTTATTTTCCAAGTTCGTAGGTCCTTTTCCTTTCCCATGAGCCCTCTGCAGCCTGGGATACAGCACCCACTTCTACAGTCGTCCACACTATTTATTGAGCGTCTACCCTGGGCCAGGCATCCTTCCTAATGTACTGGGGTACCACACTGATAAAAGGGCCAGGGGTCTCCATTCTCACAGAAGCCTAGTTCTAGTGGAGGAACCAAACAGTGAACAACTAAGCAAAATAGAGAACTGAAATTCCCATGGAGAGAAGAAGTGCGATCCCAAAACTAGAGCAGGTGGGACGATAGGGAGTATGGGGTGGTACACACGCTATCCACACCCCATCTCCACACGGGCGGCAGAGCAGTGTCCAGCTTTGGAGAGAGCAGCTCGGCTGGACCCAAGCATCACCAGGTCTGCAGCTCAGCAGCCGTTTCTATGAACCCTGCAAACTGGAGCAAGTGGCACTTTGGGTGGAAAAGATCCAGCTGAGTGCAGCGAGCAGTGGAGGAAGCCGGGCTGTGATTGGACAGCTGAGGGCCAAGTATGGCTATGATTGGACAGCTGAGAGCCAAATACGGCTGTGATTGGATAGCCGAGGAAGCCGGGCTGTGATTGTACAGCCGAGAGCCAACCACTTACATGTCTTCTAAGCCTGGATGAGGGGCAGAAAGTGCTGATTATGCTGGAATTTTTTTTTTTTTTTTTTTTTTTTTTTGAGACAGAGTCTTGCTCTGTCGCCCAGGCTGGAGTGCAGTGGCGCGATCTTGGCTCACTGCAACATCCGCCTCCCGGGTTCAAGCAATTCTCCTGCCTCAGCCTCCCGAGTAGCTGGGATTACAGGCACCCGCCACCACACCCAGCTAATTTTTTGTATTTCAGTAGAGACGGGGTTTCACCGTGTTGCCCAGGCTGGTCACGAACTCTTGAGCTCAGGCAATCCGCCCGCCTCGGCCTCCCAAAGTGCTGGGATTAAAGACTTGAGCCACAGCACCCGGCTGATGCTTGAATTTTCTAGGTATTTTTTCTATCAATTATTTTTGTCTATACAGACAAAGATACAGTGATGGGAAATTACGCCCAAAAATCTCCAAAGATAATTTCGTGCCTTTGCTCTCACAACCACAAACATCCATACAATTTGAACTTTGTCCCCAAGCGAGATAATGCCATCCTGGGTGACGTGACCTATTTGCAGTCCCTTCGCTCCAGCCGCTATTGCAGCGCGTGGCTTCTAAAATCTCAGCGAGTGTCAGCAGGTGAGACTGAGGCATTTTCCCCGTTTGTTTCCAGCTACGATGCAATGACCGCCTCTTTTCAGTGGTCCCTTGAGAAGCCACTGTGCCGCTTCTTCCCGCTCAGCGGGCGGTAAGGCCTGTATGTGCAGTGTGGGTCTCTCAGCAGCTGCTCCTGCTGGAAACTTCTCCACTGTCTTTGGAAAGGGTTTGCTGGAAAGCTATAGACAGACAGACTGGAAAGGTACTCGATATGATGAAGGGAGAACATCTTATAAAGACAAGCATTGAAGGTTATTGCTTAAGTTTTGACTAAAAATGCATATACACATTTTGTATATATGCATGTCCATATATACATATGTGAATATAAGATATGTATATATATTCATATAGCCATATGTGAATATAAATAGAGACATGTATATATAGACATGCATATATACAAAATGTATTATAGGCTCATTGTGTGTGTGTGTGTATATATATATATATATATAGAGAGAGAGAGAGAGAGAGAGAAAGAAAACTAACTCTTCACTGGACATAGAATTGGTGGGAGGAAAGGGGTATGTTTACTCTTTTTATTTCATGCACCTATATACTACTTCTATACTTTAAAGAAGAATATCTAATTTAAGAAGAATACAATTTTTAAAGAAAACTACACTTTTATAAAGGAATTGTTGTAGAAAGAACTCTGTAAGGTAAGCTAAGCCCCCCACCTACCCTCCAGGCTGCCCATTCTCCTGGTTGAGCTGCTGCCCAGGGCCGCCCTCCAGAACCCCCACCCCAGTGGGTTATAAAGAAACTGAATGCCAGCTCAGGTACCAGATGCCGTCACCTGAGACAGCAGCAGCTGCAGGGAAGCCGCTTCCACGACTCCAGCCCTGTGCTTGCGACAGAGGCCAACTCTCATCCCCGCCAGCCCCACGGGCGAGTCAGGCCACCATCGAGGCACATGTGGGCACTGCAGTGTGAGTCCCGGCTCATCACCAATCATTTAGGCCCCAGCTCACTTCCCCTCCTGGCTGGCAACTCCTTTTGTCCTGACCTGTTTATGATGAGCTGTAAAGAAGCACACAGTGGGATTGGGCCCTGGGATGAACCCTGGCAGACAGCTGGCTACATGGCAATCCTGCCCTCAGAAGTATTTCCCGAATTCTGCACTTTAGACACGGGAAGACGTGTGACAAATGCCAGCCAGGGCCCCTCCCCTTGGCCTAAATGCCATGGCTCAGGGCCAGCCTGTGTGGCAGGGAGTGTGACTGGGCATGGTGTCCCAGATGGTCAGCCACCCTCTCTCGGGCAGGTAACCACACACCTATGTGTCCCACTCAGTCCTGCCCCTCTGCAGTGGTGCCACCTGGCAGGGCCCGAAGGCCCAGACGGTGTGGGAAGGAACAGGTTGGCTTATGCTGGCACAGCCGAGGAGAAAATCAAGCTGATGATGTGTTTTGAGAACTGGAGAGGATTATGGAGAGGACTACAAGGCGAGTAGGAGTTCTGTGCTTACAGCGTGATACCACCAGGGGTCTGGGGTTGGTGGGCTGTGTGCGCTGTGTCCGGCGTTCCCAAGGTAAGGACCCACGGACCTCTGTAGCAAGATCTCCCAATGTTCTCAAGCAGCCACGATTTGGCAACGCACCCACCTGTGGCGACCGCCCTCAGAGTCCCAGACTGTGGGTCTGCACCCCGGACACGGGACCAGGGCCCTTCTCAGGAAAATGGGCTGTGTGTGGGCACTACAGGCAAGACTCTGTTTTTCCAAGGAATCCCCAATATCCTGTGTTTTTCTTACCCAGTGTGTTCAGTTAATGAATGATATTGAGCTGTGTATTTCCAGTGGCCCGAAAGCCATGATCAGTATCTACTCAAGTGGGCAACGTGAGCTCTGTGTGGATAAACCTAATGAACAGGGCTTAGCGGAGAGGATGGGCATGCCTGGCCTTCGCTTTCTAGTCCTCCTCTCCTCTGTCCCCCATCCCTCCCCAGCCCGGATGTTCGGAAGTTGTTTTTAAACCCCTTTACCCCACTGCCTTCACACTGTGTCTCTTATTTTGTAGGAACTGAGTGTCTTGATTTATCTGCTCATCAGCTATTAGTTAACACCAACTGCATGTCATGCACTGGGCCAGTCTCTAGAAGCTCACGCAACTGTTATCATTGTGGTCTATGAAGAAAAATGTCACATAAAGTTTAAAAAACAAGAAGAAAGATTCCATGCTGCAGTAGAGGGTCTGTAAGTGCTCCCGTACCCATGGGGTTCTGGTAAAATCTGCCCCATCCCTAGTGTTTTGAAGATGGAACAAGGCTTGTTCTGTGGGGCTGCCCCAGGCCCAGAAGTGAGCAGAAGCCAGAGAGCATTTTGCCCTGGGTTTCGCACTTGTTTGCATTCAGCAAGTATTTGTTGGATTTTAGTAGAGTTTTAGTAGAACGTACAGGCTCTGCCAAAATGAGGGAAAGCCTGACCCTGAGTGTGAACCTTCCCAGATGGGATTTAATGTGCTGTGAGATCCTGATGCTATGAAAGCGTTTGCTGAAATGCCCTCATACCACGAAGACTCAATTTATCTTTGAAATATCTACAAATTACTGTCTTTTTAACATCGTAAGTTGTTATTGATGCTGGTTTTTGGATGTTCTTTCTTGTGACTATACTCTTTTAACCATTGAGTAGTTATAATTTCTCTCTGAACATGATGAAGGGTCTCTGTTACCTCTTATTCATCAGACCAACTGTGAAAGAATGAAAATTAAGGTGTGTGTGTGTATCTCAAACTTGGCATGTTCCGCAACTCATTCTAGCTGGCAGGCAACGCGGGGGAGTGAGGGAGTGAGCATGTTTTAGAGGTAGGACAAGCGCAGAAATCAGTTTTGCAGATGTACCTGCACCCACCTCTTTCCCTGCCACCTTACCCTTCCCACTTTCAGATAACTGTAGACCAAAATGAAATTGTAAGACCCGCAACGGACTGAATGGACCCCTCTTTTCAGCCAAGGGGATTCCATAGAATCCTAACAATCTAGTTCAGGCCACGATGGGAAGGCAAGGTCCGATGTGCCTCATTATACCCTCCTTGCTTTGGAATTCAGGAACAACTGGCCAGACTTCACATGAAAACAGAGATCTTAAGCATGACAAAACAGACTCTTTGTAGAAATAAGACACCACATTCCAACCTAACTCTATTATAGCATCACATGACAGATAGCAGGCTTTGAAAGAAATCGAAATATTTTACCCAAAAATAACTTTGTTTGACACATTTTGAAATGGCCCTGCAAAGCTGTGTCTTGCAGGGAAAATTTACATTTTCTAAAGAATCCTCTTCTTTTTCCAGGTCTTTTGTGGACCCCAAAGTGATTAGCTCAGAGTCTAGCATTTTTTAAATGTCTGAATGGGAAACATTTGCCATCTGTTGTCTCTAAGGGTACCACCTATGAGACTTCATCAACATAATAAAACCTTGGTCTTCACAACCCCTTACCTGAACCTAGACACTCCTTTCTATGGATTCCAGATCTTTAGATAATAACTTTTTCAACCGATTACCAATCAGAAAATCTTTGAATTCACCTCTGACCCGGAAGCCCCTGCTTCAAGTCGTCTCGCCTTTCAGGACTGAACCAATGCACACATTACATGCATTGACTGATGTCTTCTGTCTCCCTAGAACATATGAAACCAAGCAGTAGCCCAACCACCTTGGGCACATGTTCTCAGGATCTGTGTCCTGGATCATGGTCTTCACATTTGGCTCAAAATAAATCTTTTCTAATACTTTACAAAGTTTAGGTTTTTTCATCAACATATAGAATCCACATTTCACCTGATATTTGGGACACAAGAAAGTCTATAATCAACCCACCATTTCTTGAACATTTGCTACAAAATCTGTTGTTTTTTACTGACAATGAACTTGTCAACATTTTCAAGTGAACCTGAACCCATGCTCCAAGAAAACAATAATAGTCATAAAATCCCTCCAATTTCTTATTTTCCCAAATCTCCCCCCACCTTTTTCTGTTCCAGGAAAGAATCAGCACAAAAAATCCCCCTCCCCCACAGACCTTGGTGGGGCCCCCTATGCACACTTTCTCTTGACCCCATCAGGTGTGTGATGACCTCTTGTTTACCTGTGACAAGGCCAGACCCACACCCTGCAGGCCTCCACTCTCTCTCATGGTTGACTAGCTGAGAGTAGAACCTCTAGACCCCCTGGAATGATACAGACACATTGAAAATGTTTCCTGGTCAGCTGATGGACTGAGGCATCCCCCAGCTCTACATCACCCTGTCTGAAACTTGTCTACCGTCCCAGGAAAGTCTACGATAAGCCACCCTGCAAAGACTGATTCTAGCATAGCGGCTCTCCCTGGTACAATAAAAATTAGTCTGCTGGTCTGTTTGTTTTTTATCTCTCACAACACACATGTATTTCCATATGAATCTTAAGGAAAGACCATAAAGTCTCAGTCTACTTTCCCAGGAAATAAGTAGAGGTCGTCATCTACATGTCACCATGACTTGGAGTTGTTTATTCCCTTTCTTTAATTGAGAAACCAGAATCCTTATCTCCTCTGAAAGGAAAGTCAAGGGGTGAGCCTGAGAGTCAGCTACACAGGCCAAGCTCCACCTGCAGATGTGGGCACTGCTGCTGGCTGGCCGGGCTGGGCCAGCTTCTGAACAGCCCACTGCTTGGCTTGACTTGTGGACATCAGCACCTAGCAAATGAAGAGTCCCAACTCCATGAGGCCAAAAGCCCCTCTCACCTTTTTGACAGCCCCTAATCCACCCAGAGCTTAGTCATGGAGCCTGAATCTCCCCTCACCACACACAGGCTACGTTGTAAAAAGATACACAATTTATGGGCGTTTTGTGGAGTTGCTGGCTCCTGCACATACTCTCTCCTCCCCACGTGCATCTAAAACTCACTTTCCCAAGGGGCCCTGCAGGCCAGGGAGTGAGTGTTAGAATCCTGCTCTGTTGCTAGGCCTCCTGGCTGCCTTTTAGCTACAAGAAGTATTCAGCTCAACTCATCTCATCCTCAACTCCAATCCATTCTCACTCCTGGCCAGGGAGGGCATGTATGACCCTCTGGTCTCAGAATAAACAGGCAGCTTGGGAGTAAGAGGAATGGCTAATGATTGGCCTGAGTCTCCCCTTGGTGGGCATCCTCCTCCTGGGGCTCCTCTCCGTGGGATGACCTCCTTAGGCTTCTCTTGGTGGGCTGTCCCCCTGGGGCTCCTTTCAGTGGGATGATCTTCTAGGGCTCCTCTCAGTGGGATGACCTACCGAGGCTCCTCTCAGTGGGATGGCCTCCTGGGACTCCTGTCAGTGGGATGACCTCCTGGGGCTCCTTTTGGTGGGATTACCGCCTGAGGCTCCTCTTGGTGGGACATCCTTCTGGGCAATCATGATAATTTCAACTTCAGAAGGAACCTCTGAAAAATAGGTTGATTTGCTTGTTTGTTTTGCTAAGGGAAAGAAGTATGGCTTGGGTTTCCTGTTGAAGATGATTCTAAATGCTGTGATAGAGATAAATTTGTACTCCTTTTTCTTACTGACACAGTAAGTTCAAGTTAAGGGCCTGCCTGCTGATGGGCGTTTTCAGTATCAACCTTGATCCAACCGGTTACCTAACTCAATACTGCTGTATTTCCTTAACAGTGAAGCATACAATTTTTTCCCTAGTTTCATTCCAGTGTCAGCAGGTTATGCATTGGTCTATACAACAATCATTTGAGGAACTTATGATAAGACAGAGTGCTGTCCCCTGCGAGCTCTGGCCAGGTTCCAGCCAGCAAAGGGACCCACAAAGGGAGCCACTCCAGCTGACCTAGACTGAGCGGCCTCGGGGCTCTCTGTCTGACTCTCTAAGGACTGAGATATTCATAATTCTTTTTAAATTATCCATGGAAACAGCAGGACAAAAAATGCACAGGGCCTCCTAGTGCCTGGGTGAATGTGCTCAGCCCTCTTTGAAGAGAAACCTCAAGGATACGGAAGTGAAGGCTTTGAAAGACAGGGTTCTATTGAGATGAAGGGTGCCTATTCCTTAACAGCAAGTAATTCATATGTTATTGAAATGAATTTAGCATTTTCCCTTGAAAGCACACAGCATTTTCCCCCTCATTAACAAATGTGCTCCTCCTTCCCCTCCCCCAGCCTCTACAAAGGATTTGAAGGCACCATCTGAGCTCACGGGGAGCCTGCAGGGGGTAGGAGCCACTCTCAAGGCAGGTGGCCAGTTTTGCTGATCCTGAGACCTCATCCTCGGCTTTTGAGTATCAAATGTACAGTTACATCTGTACCTTGAAACATGAGATTGGGTTTTGAAATCTCAAACTAATACTTATCAATAAAAGGCCAGTGATAGGAACTAAAGAGGAAGTAAAGGCACTGGAATTCTCCCAAAGCAAGCATCTTCTTGTGCTCATGGACTTCCTTAAGAACATCGCTTATTACACAATCTCACAGTGAATGGTGGATTGCCTGGTAATGTTTTCTAGGTAATTCATGTAGTCTTATTTTCTCAGCAGGACTCCACTGAAATTCAAACTAAATTCAACTGAGTGTCATATGTCAGGCAGTCCTACTCTCTTTTATGCATGCCAACTTCTTTTATTCTCCAAGGATAAGGGTCTGGCATCTTTTTCATTCTCTACTATGTGCAAACTAAAAGCTTTGTCCTTTGATTTTTCTGTTGCTGTGCTCTGTTTGATGCAAAATATACGCACATTTTTCTGTGGAAAATTCCATGAGTATTACACACTTCATCTATGGTTATACTCGACTGAAACAAGGAAAGAATATGTTTTCTGATTCCCGGAAGCCCATTCTCACTCACATGGAATAAAATATAAGCAATGGGTTAAAAATCTAAACAGTACAGCATGTTCTTTACTTTATATCTATATACTATCTGAAAGATAATTTTCAGAAAAAGGTAAAATCATGACTTGCACCAAGATATTAAAATGCAGAAGTGTTAAAGATTTTATTTTACACATACGATAGGAGGGAACTAGGCAGATGTTAGAACCTGTTCAAAGGAAAAGTGAAAACATTTATATGGTGTAAAGGAATTTTGAAATGAATTGCAAATGGAGAGAAAGCTGTTTTTTTACAGGGTGAAGAAGCCAGTAAAAATCACTACTAGACAGGACAGAATGTCCCTCTCTCTTTCTCTCTATCTATCTCTCTCTATATATATCTCCGTCAGTTACCTGCAATTCTCAAAGAGTTGTAAAATAGTTCAAAGACAACGAACAGCCTAAAAGTATGTGCCATAGATTTCCACTGAAACACATTCTTTTTAACACATCTAATAAGTATGTCTTAACTAGTGAATTTGTACCACTCTGCAGGAAAAGGACTATTTTTAACTTCTTTTAATTGATCATCTGCCTGTGTGTTGCAGGTTGCTGTGTACCTTTTCAAAATTCGAAGCAAAGATTTTTATTAAAAGATTTTCGTCAAAGTTAATTAAAAATCAAAACCCAAATCAAAACAGAACACACGGCAAGCTGTGCTAATCACATGGATGACAACTTTTCCTGGACATTACAACTGTCAGGGTGACATCCGTGTAGATGATTCTGTAACTGTTAAAATGAAAAACTCCCACCCTGTGGGAACAGAGCCGGGTGAGCCCTGGCTTCCACACAGTGCCACCCTGAGAAGGCGAGGTCTCCCCAGCGTCTGTCTGCAGTGCAGCCAGGGCGGAGGAATGAAGTGTCACAGCAGGAAGCAGATGGCTGCATTTGCAGATAATCAATCTAGAGACTTGCAGCCCTGAGTTTCAGGGGAACTTGTCTAAGTAGCATCCTGTCGCTGGAAGGCATCTAATGAACTAAGTTACTGGTGTTCTTGCTTGTCAGATAACCCTGGAACACTGTATGGATTTTATAATCATTTTCTTCTTTGAGACTGACAAAGTCTAAATTCTTCCTGATTGTCAGGTGAGGGCAGGCCGTGGGTCCTCATGATCCCAGCAGCGCCATTTTGGCCATGGAGTTGTGGTGCTGCAGCCTCATGCACCCACCGTGCAGCTTTGATGGTAACTGATGAACCAGTCTCACGTGCGCTGGCCTCACGGGCCCTGGGGACACCCGAGTTGGCCTTTGGCTGCTTCTCTGTGGCACTGTCCTCTTCGGCTACTGACTGCAATTGGCATAAATTCTAGACACCATGTTGTCAAACCTTCCCCAACCCTGGGCTTGCTTCCCGCCCTCACTCAGGTATATGTCAGTGAAAACAAGTGACTGAGGTTCATGTAATGTAATGTAATGTGTCCCTTTTTCCTTTGTGGTAGCCCTGTCTGTGCCTGACAGGACCCCTCGGGAAGTCTGGGCTCTGAGGAAGACATTCTGTAGCTCTAATTTTAAACCTATTTGGCATTTCAAATCCGGTTTTCAAGTCCCTGGGGTGGGTAGAGGATGCTTCAAGAAGAAAGCGCTCTGACCCAGAGCAGCAACAAGGGTGAGGGGTCCAGGACAGCACAGGACAGGAGCCCGCCTGGTGGCTCTGCCAGGGCCTGGGAGGACAGGAAAGTCAGCTGCCAGCTGGGACCAAGAGACAGACAGAAGGAGACAGAGAGGGACAGAGACAGAGGGAGAAGAACAGAGACATAGAGATAGGGAGACAGAGACACAGAGACAGAGAGAGACAGAAAGATACAAAGAGGCAGAGAGACAGAGATAGCCAGAGAGACAGAAAGAGTTATAGAGACAGAGACAGATAGCCAGAGACACAGAGACAGAGAGAGACAGAAAGAGAAAGAGACAGAGAGATAGAGAGACAGAGGGAGACAGAGAGAGAGAAAGTCAGAGAGAGAGAGACAGAGATAGCCAGAGAACGGTGGAGACAGTGGCCCAGCAGCTGCCCGTCCACTCTCTGCCTGACCTGCAATCTGCCTCTTCTGCCCTTGGATTTGCCCTGACCAGAGCTTTTGCAGGAGGGGCCGTTCTTTTGTGGAGGGGGAGCCCAGAACTGGACAATCAGGAGACCCAGGACAGAAGCCCTGCAGCAAAAGCCAGGACACCTGAATTGGTCAGGCCAGCAGTGACTCAGGGCCTGGAGAGCCCCATGGTCAGAGGCCAGCTGGAAGGCTCCACCGGCTAAGGGTAGGTCGCCAAGGCAGGTCACAGGCCAGAAGGCAGAGGGGCCAGCACAAAGCCCAGCTTTGTAGGCACACAGCAGAAGCCAGGCAGGAGCACTGGGGGCACAGGCGCAGTTCTCAGGGTGAAGATGGCTCCTTGGCCAGACTCCATGTCACTGGTGACCAGTCAACAAGGTGCAAGCTGCTACCTTCACAGAGGGTGATCCTACTGGAGACAAATGCACCTGACTGGCCGTAACGTGCCCCCGGCCCACTGGCTCCCCTGATGAGCCCACATCAGGGGAGTCTGTGGTGGCCTGTGCATGGCCTTGGGCTTGCCAAGTCCCAGGAGGGTGGGCGTTGTCTGTGTGGCTCCCTGCTGCCTGCAGCGCATCTCACCTGGGCACAGAACAGCAAAGACAGCCAGCGTGGGCTGCAGGTACACCCCGGGGACTGGGCACAGGATGGCAGCTGCTCATGTTTATTGGTACCAAAGGTCAAAGCAGAAACCAGGTGTGATGACAGGGATGGCCACGACTCCCGGGGTTTCCTAAATTCTAAAGAATGCTACCCATAAATACATTTTTTTTGCTTAGACTTGAGAAAGGGAGGACAAACAACAGCAGTAGTGTCCTGTGAAAATTTCCCAAACATGGAAGAGTCCTGGAATAAACCATGCCTTGGATCCCACAGCTGAAGGAGGAGCACAGCACAGCTGGGATCCCGGGACTCTGAAGTCTCCTGGATGTGGCAGGAGTAGGCTCAGCCACTGTGCACAGTGTGTGTCCTCGAGCAGGTCACCTAAACTGCCGGGGTCTCACATCTCTTGCCCCTAAAGTGGGAAGAATAATACTATTGTACAAGGTTTAGAAATTCATAAAACTATTGGTAGGAATGTAAACTGCTACAGCTACTATAAAAAATAGTATGGAGATTCCTCAAAAAAACCACAAATAGAATCACGATATGAGCCAGCTAACCCACTCCTGGGTGTTCATCCAGAGGGAAGGAAGTCAGTATATCAAAGAGACATCTG